>NC_000016.10:53350378-53653409 GCF_000001405.40 Homo sapiens
TGGAGTGCACCCACTGTCTGACAAGCCCCAGTGAGATGAACCCGGTACCTCAGTTGGAAATGCAGAAATCACCTGTCTTCTTCGTCGCTCACGCTGGGAGCTGTAGACTGAAGCTGTTCCTATTCGGCCATCTTGGAACTGGACCATTGGATAATTTCATTTCAATATCAGTCATTTAGTCTGGATACACCATAATGCAGACTAATTTTCCCTCTGCTTAAGGTCCACACAAAAACATTACCAATAAAATTTACTTGTGTATCAACTTTTGCTCCCGAGGCTTGGGAGAAAAAAAAAAAAGCACTAGACCAGGCACAATGGCCCATGCCTGTGATCTCATTTAGGGAGGCCAAGGCAGGTGGATGAGTTTGAGACCAAGCTGGGCAACATGGAAAAACCCCATCTCTACAAAAAAATACAAAAATTAGTCAGGTGTGGTGGCACATACCTGTGGTCCCGGAGACTCCCAAGAGTGAGGTGGGAGGATTGCTTAAGCCCACACAGAGATTGCAGTGAACCAAGATGGCACCACTGCACTCCAGCCTGGGTGACAGAGCAAGACCCTGTCTCAAAAAAAAATCACTATACTATTGAAATTCACAAGAAAATGTGCATACTTAACCTTCTTTTTATTTATTTATTTACTTATTTGTAATATTTTGAGATGTCATCTTGCTATGTTGCCTAGGCTGGTCTTGAACTCCTGGGTTCAAGCCATCCTTCCATCTTGACTTCCCAAAGTACTGGGATTACAGGTGTGAGCCACCATGCCCGCCAGCCCTGCTACACTATTCTTGGCCCCTCAATGACTACATGAATTTTGGGATCAGCCTGTCGAGTTCCACGAAAAAATTATATTGGGATTTGTGTGGGAATTTCTTGAATTTATAGATTAATTTGTTGAGAAGTATTATGTTTATAGCATTGAGTCCTACGATTCATAATATATATGGCATATATTTCAATTTAGTCAGTTCTTCCTTGAAGTCCCGGGGTAATTTTTATATTTATCTTAGTCCCTTTGTAGTGCTATAGCAAAACACCTGAGACTGGGTAATTTACACAGAGCAGAAATTTATTTTCTCAGTTCTGGAGGTTGGGAAGAACAAGATCAAGGCTCCAGCAGATACAGTGTCTAGTGAGGGCCTGGTCTTTGCTTCCAAGATGGTACCTTGAATGCTGCTTCCTCTGGAGCAGAAAAATACTATGTTCTCATGACGCAGAAGGGACAGATTGACCACCACCCCCAAGCCGTTTTAAAGGCACTAATCTCATGCATGAGGGCTTGCCCTTACGTCTTAATCACTTCTTAAAGGCCCCACTTCTTAGTGCTATCATCTTGGGAATTAAGTTTTAACACATGAATTTTGGGAGACACATTCAGGCTATCGCAATGCTCTTCATAAAAGGCCTGGTGTATATTTTGCTAGATATATTCTCAGCGTTTTGTTGCTATTGTGAATAGAATCTCTTTTTCTATTACATTTTCTAATTTGTTATTATTGATGTATAGGAACGCTAATAGTTTTTTAAGTTGATCTTGAATTCAACAACCTTGCTAACTCTCTTACTAGTCTTAATAATTTATCTGTATATTCTTCTGGATTTTCTGCATAGACAATCACATGGTCTGAAGATACAGGTAATTTTATTCTTTCCAGTTTAAAAATTTTATTTCCTTCATTTCTTTCTTTCTTTCTTTTCTTTTCCTTTTTCTTTTTCTTTTTTTTTTTTTTTTGAGACAGAGCCTCGCTCTGTTGCCCAGGTTGGAGTGCAGTGGCACAATCTTGGCTCACTGCAACCTCCACCTCCTGAGTTCAAGAGATTCTCCTGCCTCAGCCTCCTGAGTAGCTGAGATTATAGGTATCTGCCACCACACCTGACTAATTTTTGTATTTTTTTTTTTTTTTAGCAGAGACAGGGTTTCATCATTTTGGCCAGGCTGGTCTCCAACTCCTGACCTCAGGTGACCTGCCTTCTTTGGCCTCTCAAAGTGCTGGGATTACAGGCATAAGCCATCTCGCCCTGCCGATTTATTTCTATTATAGGTTGAATTACATTCATTTCTGATGTTGTGCCACTGCACTCCATAACCTAAAAATAATATGGCAATTTCATATGTATTAGTCTAACACATTACCTAGGACCTCCAGTGCCATGTTCAATAGAGACAGCGATAGAAGGTACCTTTGTCTACGTCCTAACTTTGATGAAAAGTGCTTCTACAATTTTACTATTAAGTATGATAATTGCTTTACATTAAGGAAGATATGGCCGGGTGTGTGACGCACACCTGTAACCTTAGCACTTTGGAAGGCTATGAGGAGGATTGCTTGAGCTGGGGAGGTGGAGGTTGCAGTGAACCAAGCTGTTGATACTGCACTCCAGCCTGGGGACAGTGAGACCTTCTCTTAAAAAAAAAGGAAGCTAGCTTGCTAATAGCGCATTATCTGATGTTGACTCTGCCCTTGCATTATTGTAATAAAACCTAATTCACCATGATGCATTATTTGTGTGTGTGTGTACATTGCTGTATTCGACTTGGTATTATTTTATTTAAAATTTTGGAATTCATGTTCATAAAAGTTAATAATAGCTAACATCTATTTGGTTTTCTGTGTTCTGGGTATTGTTAAGTTACTTTCCTTGAATTATTTCATTTCATCCTAGAAGGCTTATTGTAAAGGTTATTTCCCCCTTTATCTATGAGGAAGTTAAGGCACAGTGAAGGCAAGTCATTTTCCCAAGGAAGATAAGTAGTGGCAGCAGGAATACAAATCTGGATTGCCTGGCTCCAGAGGCCGAGCACTAAGCACTACCCCGTGCCCTCTCCCTGTGACAAAGACTCGTCATTCAGACTGTTCTATCATGAACTTTCCTTGTACATGGAAAACATCCAGTTTTGTACCAAGATTATATTATTCTCTATAGATAATTAGATAGCTCTTCTTTTTCTTTTATTAAAAAAAACTTGTCAAACTTTTATAAAAACCTATTTAATCCTATCACCTTTGCTAGCCTGATGTTGACAGTTTTGCAGTGCATTTGCAAGCTCCTGTCCTGGGGATATTGGGGAGGTATACATCCCATAAAGCCAGGGATACAGACCACAGAGCAGCAGTAGACTTCCCCACCCTCCAGCACCCTTGTTTGTTTGTTTGTTTGTCTGTTGTTTTTGTTTTTTTGGGGGATTTTTTGAGACGGAATCTTGTTGCCCAGGCTGGAGTGTAGTGTGATCTCAGTTCCCTGCAACCTCTGCCTCCTGGGTTCAAGCGATTCTCCTGCCTCAGCCTCCCAAATAGCTGGGATTACAAGTGCCTGCCACCACACTCGGCTAACTTTTTTGTATTTTTAGTAGAGATGGGGTTTCAACATGTTGGCCAGGCTGGTCTCCAATTCTTGAGCTCAGGTGCTCGGCCCACCTCAGCCTCGCAAAGTGCCGGGATTAAAGGCATGAACCACTGCACCTGGGCAACATCCTTTCAAGTACTGGGGTACACCCAAGCTCCCAGCTTCTAGCTAGGAGTCATTTGGTCCCCCTTTATCCCAAAGGACCTGTCACTGTCTTCAGTTTCCAAAGCCCAGCAGGGTCCAGGCTCTTCAGGCTCCAACCACTTTGCATTTCTTTTCTGCTTTTCGTTCATGGAGATGATTAACTTATTTTTCAGCCTGGGTATGTCTTTTTTATTTACTTAATTTTTTATTTTTTATTTTTTTGAGATGGAGTCTCACTCTGTCACCCAGGCTGGAATGCAGTGGTGAGATCTCCGTTCACTGCAACCTCTGCCTCCCAGGTTCAAGTAATTCCCTTGCCTCAGCCTCCTGAGTAGCTGGGACTACAGGTGTGTGCCACTATGCCTGGCTAAATTTTGTATTTTTAGTAAAGATGGGTTTTCACCATGCTGGCCAGGGTGGTCTCGAATTACTGACCTCAGGTGATCCGCCTACCTCGGCCTCCCAAAGTGCTGGGATTACAGGCATGACCCACCATGCCCAGCCTTTATTTACTTTATATATCTCACCTATTACTGCCACAGTTTGCAGAAGAGAGGATGCCCTCAACCCTAACTTCTCCAAACCATCCCAAATGGGAAGTCTGCTCCACATCAACAGTGTTGTTGTTTTTAAAGACCGTATGTCAACATGCCAGATTATAGCAAAAGGATGTTAAGGGAGCAATATGAAAGCAAGCCTGAGAGTCCTGGAGAGAAGGTGGCAAAGCTGCCTTTTGAAGGTGGTCACTCCCTCAGACCTTGCCCTTCCTGCCTTGTTCCTCCAGTTGTCAGATTTGCTGTTGGGGCCCTCACTGGGGAGGGGTGGTCTGGACTGAGAAGGAGGTGGAGAAGCTGCCAGGGACCCTTTTGGATCCAGAATTGAGGCAGCAGTTCCAGCCAGGTCCAGAGATGGGGGCTGCCCCCCAGCCCCAAGGGAATGGTACTGATTCCAAAACATGGCGAGACCTCCCTGGCGGGGAGAGGAAGGTGCTTTCTCCCTTGAGTCACCTGAGCCCAGGCTGGAAGGCACAAGAGGGAGGATGAGGCCAGCTCACTCTAGCTCCATCCCCTCCTTTTAACTCTGTGCTAGTCACCCTTCCAGTTTCAGTCCCTTTTCCTAAGTGTCCTCCCTGCAAAGTCTGCAGACAGCAACACTCCCTTGCTCCAGCTCACCCCGCACTGTCCTTTCTTTTAGCAACCCCATGGGTATGAACTTGAGATGATTCACTTTCCTAAAAGCCTCTTTGAGCTGAAAAAGGTGTGGGTGGCTCGGCAAGGCTTGGAGTGAGGGCTGCCTCTTCTCAGAGCCGCTGTGAGGGCCAAGGCCACCTTCCCTGGTGGGTGTCTGTGGCCTGAGCAGTGGCGCTGGATGGCACCGGCTTTGCAGGCAGCCCGGGTCATCCCCAGCGGTCTGGGAGGCTGGGGGTGCACCGGTCCCCACTCCCGATAGGGCCGAGGGTCCTTCCTCACCTAAGAGGTGACTGTCTTGAAGAGTGGACACAGAGGAGCCAGCAAGCTGGGCGGTGTAGGCATCTGGGAGAAAATCTGCAGCTCGGTCTCAGAGAGAAGTCTCCACCAACACAGCTATTGTAGAGATGGGGAAACTGGGCCAAGAGGGAAGGGAGCGTACCCAAATCACCAGCCCTGGAATGCTTTGAGGTTTGGGGGTGGATTTCCCAGGAAACGCGTTTTATGGCACTGCCACCTCTGGTCACCCACCCCGAGGTGTGGCAGACCTGGACAGACAGCATGACCGAGGGCCAGGCTGGTGAAGTCAAACCTACCACTCAGGAAGGAGACCCAGCCCTTCTCCAGACAGAGTTCAAATGTGAGGACTGCCTTCTTTGGGCCTCAGTTTCCCCATCTGAATTCCAAGGATCCTTCTAGCTCCTACACTCTGGGCCAAGCTTTTCCTCTGAGCCCCAGTCAGCCTAGAAGACCAGGGGTACATCTTCCTTGGACAGAGACCCCCGATAGGGGCAGGAGGAGGTAGGGGTGGGGGTAGGCAAGGTTCCTGTAGGGAGGTGGAGCTGTCATCAGAGATGGTGTCTGCAGGCAGTGGGTGTATTGTGGCTCTGCTACTACTTGCTGGGTGACCCCGTGACATTTCTTTCCCCACTCTGGACCTCAGTTTCCCTATCTGTTCTATGGAGATAAGATGTCTGCCTACAAATTTGGGGACTTGGATGTGTGTGGGGGCCAGTTGCAGTGTTTCTTAGGTGTGGTCCTGGGGCAGCCTGTACCACCCCATAGCGATTTCTGGGCCCCACCCTAGGCTCACAGGACCAGAATCTCTGGGAAGGAAGCCTGGGAATTTGCATTTCCACAGGCATCCAGCTGATTCTGACATGATTGAAAAAGCACTAATAGTATATGGCAAGCTCCTTATAAAAAATAAATCCATAGCTGCCTTTTACTAAACATAAATCTCATCTTCCCTTCCTCAGTTAAGGACACACAACCCAGTTGAAAATCACTGTGCCTTTCCAGATGCAGAATTTGACCTTTCCAATATGATTCTGTTAACTGTTACTTTCTGTAGTTTGTATTCCAAAACAAGGGGAATAGCTTTCCATTTTTTCAATATAAATGTTTAAGTTGGATATGCTTTTTCAAACTGGACACACACTCACACAGTTGAGAATTTCAGCTATGGCTTCCTCTCAAATTATTAGCCCGTTTCTGCCAGGGAGCAGTTTTTCCAGACAAGACTCTGGACAGAGGCTGGTGGGGCCCCCTCCTCATCAGAATCACTAGATCATGACTGACCCCTAGAGGTGGCTTTTCTGCTTAACTGTCAGCCCATGGGCTGGGATGTAACCCCCAAAGCTGCAGCAGAAGCTTCCACTCATCCTGGGCCACCCCTGTGATCTGTGGGGGAAAGACCTGTCCCTTGTCCTCTGAGCCCAGCTGGCCTCCCAGTCATTCAGCAGATTGGAAAGTCGAAGCATGTGCTGTGCTTGGCTGGGCTCTCCTGTGCCCCTTTTTGGGGTTAGGTGGAGTGCATTCCAGCCCCCAGCATCTCTGCTGTTTATTCCCACCCCTCATCCCCACCCCCATACACACTCACAAGTACAAACACAGGTGCAGTCATGGGCACACGCCACCCTGGACAGCACCATTTCCAGACTCAGCAGGGCAGTTTCCTTGCAGGGAAGTTAATGGGCACCAAAGAAAGCTCAGGGGACAGGGAGAACCTCTGTTGAGAAGAGACTCCTAGACCTGGCTCTGCCTCTGGTTTGGTCGGGGTTCTTGAGAAAGTTGCTTCCCCTCTTGGGTCTCAGTTTCCTCAGCTGAGAAATGGGGTGGGGGCAAATGGTCTAAGGTTCTGGGAACCTCTAAGTCAGATGAGGGAGAGGCCCTGAGGGTCAGCCGCACGCCTGAGAGGCAGGACAGACCCAAAGGTGGGCAACCTGAGCACATCAGGTGGGCTCAGAGCTGGTGCATGAGCCCCACAGCCTGCAGAGCAGCCCTGGACTCGGGAGCCCGCTCACACCAGCCCAGTGGGACTTGAGAGATGTGGGGTCCAGCCTCTCCTACGATTGCAGGGCTGGGGGCTGGGAGCTGCAGATTCTGACCCCACAGCTGCCTTAGACATGCCAGATGGGCTGGGGCAAGACACACCCCTCTCTATGAAATGAGCAGGCAGTACAAATAGATACACTAAAGAAGGGCTGTGGGATGGACCCAGCTGTAGCCTGGGGTTACAAACTGGCTTCCAGGGTACTCAAGCAGCTGGCCTCTGGGGTAGCAGCCCTGGGTGTGAGAAGCAGGACTCAGAATCTAAGCCAACCCTCCACAGGAATCCCCTCTGGAGAGCCCGGGCACTCTGCAGGAGGGGCAGCAGGCAGCAGGTGCACCAGAAGCATGTTTCGCAAGGTGCCCAATAATGCCTCTGCTCTGATAGGCAGCGAGTTGGAACATGGATGCAGTAGGCAGGGTGGTGGCTGCTCCCCACAGCCAGGAGTCCAGCCCAGCACCCACCTGAGTCCACCTGAGTCCTGCTCAATTGGGTCATCCGTGCTCTGGGCCCTCTGGTCCCACCCACAGAGGGAGGGCTTTGGGGTGACCAGGTGAGCTGGCCTTTGTGGAAGGATGTAACTGACTCCTGAGCCTGGTGAGCTAGGTAGCCCCCAATGAGCATCCTCACCCCCACCTCTCCAGCCCCCCTCATTCCCTGATCCTCCCATCCCCTCCCCTGCCCCAGCAGTCTCCTCTGCTCACTCTTCTCTGCTCACTCTCCTCTCTTTTCCTGCTCCCAGGCTCGCCTGGTCACGTGTCCTTCACTTTCCTCTGAGTCTCCCTCTTTCCAAGCCGCCTCCACTCTACTGGACACACTGTCCCTTAAGACACCAGAGTACAGAAGCTCAAGTCCCTGCACCTCACCTTTACTCCCAGACATGGGAGGGACATGACATAAAGACCCAAACGCCACTTGGCAAGAGTTCTGGGGTATGCAAAGGGGCAGATCTGAGGCTGTAGAAGCTCCAGTGGCTCCCTGCAGGAAGCTGCATGTAAGCTGGCTATTGAATGTGGCTCTGAGCTGAGACCTCTCCTTGAAGCTCCAGACCAGGAGCCAGCTGCCAGCTGGACCCCGCCATTTGGTGCCTCAGAGAAACCTTGCACTCTGTAGGTCTAACTCTGAACCCAGAAAATCCCCCCATGTCAGCCCTGTCTCTTCTTAGGGAAAGCACCACCTCAGACCCAGTTCTGCACCAAACCCACATTTGAGTCATGGGGCTCCTGCCCTGCACTGTGAGCACTCTGGATAAGCCAGTGCCGAGGGGGAAAGAGCTCTGCCTGCCCAGCCAAAACATGAGTTTCAACTTCACCTCCAGCTCTGAGAGCTGTGTTTAGGGAAGGGCCCTAGTCCAGTTTGCTGTAGAAAGACCAGTCTTCCACTGTATGGCACATGGATGGCAGGGGCAGAGTGCAGGTGGGGAGAGCAGAAGGTGGGCAGGGCGGAGGAGGCAGGGACATGGCTGTAGCCATGGAGATGGGAGGACAGACAGGACTTGGTGGCCACTTGGATGAACCAAGGGAGGGGTCTGGAAGAGACACCCAGTTTTGTATCAGATGTGTAGAGCGTGGGATGCTGTTCATTGATCGAGGGAGGAGGAGGAGGAAGAGGTGTGGCATGGGCGGAAGTAGCTGAGCTCTGTCATGAATGTCATTTGAAGTCCCCAGGGAGAGCCTGGTCCGCCAGCACCTTCACTGCTTCAGCCGGCCCCCGGGGTGCCTGTGCTCCCTGGCCCTCTTGGCTCCTGCTTTGTAGCTGTCATCTGCAGTGTGGGACAGCTGCACAAGGGCCCAGCATGTCTGTGTGTTTACCCAGGGGACTGCCGCATGGCTCATGCTGAGCAGAAGCTGATGGACGACCTTCTGAACAAAACCCGTTACAACAACCTGATCTGCCCAGCCACCAGCTCCTCACAGCTCATCTCCATCGAGACAGAGCTCTCCCTGGCGCAGTGCATCAGTGTGGTAAGTGCAGAGGGCACCTGTGGCTCAGGCTCAGATGAAGAGGCAGCTCATGCCCAAGCCTCAAGCAATCAATGTCCAGAGGAATGAAATGACCAGAGTTGACTTAGACTCACCAATACGTGGCGGGGAGGCTGGAGGAAGGTCCCTGAGGTTTATAGGTGTCCAATATTTAATGAGGTCATGGTTTTCTTAACAAAGAAGAAATGAGGGTGGGAGCGGGATCACCACTGGCTAGGCAGCCAATGGGCCTGCATAGACTCTGCTCAGCTGAGTCTCCAGCACGACTATAAGCTTCTCCTCCTCATCCTCCCAGCCCCACCCTACTCTCTCCCCCAGCTTGCTCAACAGGTGACCTTACAGGCTCCCTACTTGTTGGGGGAAATAAGAACCAAACTGGGGGAACTGACGGGTACAGTGGCCCAGGTGTAGGGGCAGGACCACAGGCAGTTCAGTGCCTACTGAGTCAGGTGGTAAGGGTCTGGAGAGTGGTCATGGCTGCTGCAGGCATGGAAAGGAGGCGCAGATGGTGGCACTCCCAGGGACCATTGTCAGGGTCTCCATATGTGGATGTGTGCAGAGATAGGGGTGCTGAGGAGGGAGGAGGTGCAGGGAATTTCTCATCTTCTCTCTACTGCCTCTGAGTTGGAGATGACAGAGGGAGCCATGGCCCACTGTAAACTAACACAATGTCCCAACCCACAGGGTTAGAACTCCTCCCCTGGAGGCAGCTCTGAGAGGAGCAGTCACATGTGGAGAGTGCAGGCCACTGTGTCCAGCCGGGGGAAGGAGGTCACCAAGGGGGCTGACCCTCCTCTGGCCAAGTGGCTGCCTTCTGACACACCAGCCTCTCTCTCTAGCACGGTGGCCCCCACACACCCAGCCTGTCAAACCTACAGACCCCAAGAACTCTTTGGCCAAATTAATGAACGGCTCCCTCTCTCAGGAGGAAGCACAGCTGAAGGATGCGAAGGGCAGTAGAGTTGTGTATGCTCCACCCCCTCTCTCCACAGTCAGATCAGAAAGAAGGGGGCTTTCAGCCAGGCTCGCCCAGACTGGGGTCTGAGTGTCACTGTCCAGCCATTGGCTTCTTGCTTAATGGGTGAGCCCAGCTGCTCCCGTGCAGCTGCCACCCTAATGAGGGTGAACCAGCAGGTGAGTTCCATTTCTGAAAGCTTGGGTACACAGTAAATATTAGGCAGTGGGCTGCTGGGCCAGGAAGGGGTGCTGATTTTTCAGGGTTTGTTTATCTATTGACTTGGTGAGGGAGGGTTATAGGTACAACCAGTTTAGAGATGGAAATTTTGATAGAGCAGGCAGGGATTTAGTGCTGGGTAAGGCAAGCAGGCTTGTCAAAGCAGCTCTTTTGGGGAGGCCAGAATCCTGGACCAATGTCCTCAGCACGTTCATCAGCTGCTGGGGGAGTGCCGGATAGGATTTTTTTTTTTTTTTTTTTTTTTTTTTGAGGCAGAGTTTCACTTTTGTTGCCCTGGCTGGAGTGCAATGGCGCAATCTCGGCTCACCACAACCTCTGCCTCCTGGGTTCAAGCGATTCTCCTACCTCAGCCTCCCAAGTAGCTGGGATTACAGGCATGTGCCACCACACCCAGCTACTTTTGCATTTCTAGTAGAGATGGGGTTTCTCCATGTTGGCCGGTCTAGTCTTGAACTCCCGACCTCATGTGATCCGCCCACCTCGGCCTCCCAAACAGCTGGCATTACAGGCGTGAGCCAGGGCACCCGGCCCTCATTTGTTTTCAAAGAACTCTACTAAGGTGGAAGGGACAGGGAAAGAGATTGAATTGATAGCTGGCTAACAGGGGCCCAGAGAGATCAGATAATATTGCCATTGTTATTACTGTTATTACTACCACTGTTGGAACCGTTATTGAGTGCTTCACCAGGCACTATGCTAACAATCCCATTTAATCCTCACAACCTCCATAGGAGATGGTTACCATTATTACCTCTATTGTGTAGATGAAAAACATGCGGTATTAAAGGTTAAGTGCTTGCCTAAGATCACTTAGAGCTGGGATTTCAACACCCCGGTATATCTGATTCTCTAAGCCCATTCTTTTGCTGAGGGTAGGGGCACAGACAAGAAGGAGGAAATTAATCTTTTATTGACTTTTTGAAAGGATGATATGTTTGCATAGTCCAAAACTTAGAAAGTACAAAAGGGAAATATCTCCCCCCCAACACTGTTCCTCTCTCCTGAGTATTTTATGAATCCTTACAAACATGTTTTATGTATATTACCATAATACACACACACACACACACACACACATATACGTGCTCCCTCTCTCCACACAAATAATAACATACTCAAGATACTCTTCTGTACCTTTATGGTACAAGTACTCTAACCACCACTTAGTACTTGGTCAAGGCCATGGCTAAGTATGGGCAGGGCGGGCACTTGGCCTCTGAGCTCTATGTCCAGTGCTCACTCCCCACAGTGTCCCCCGTGTCCCCCAACTCACCCACAGCAGCTGACTCAGCCCCAGTTTGCCTCTAACAACCACACACAAAAGCAGCAAGAAATGGCCATGCTGCCTTCTGGGCAGGACACTCCATCCTACAGAAAGGACCTTTAGGCTCACTCCTCTATCTGCAAAGGTGGGGTCCCAGGGGATGGGGCAGGTGGTTGGACTCACCCTGTCCGCCTTCTTCTTCTGTGTAGTGACAGCAGAGAGAGCCCGCTCTAACTCTCCTGCAAACTTCCATGAATCATGCAGGCAGCTGACCAGATCCCTGGACTCTCCTGGAATGACAGACATTCAGATGCGGCCCAAAGGACTCCCCCTAAAGGCCTATCAAAGTGCCAGGCTGAAGGATGATGGGGTGCCAGATTCCCACCTTCCAACTGCCTGGCAGCATGCTGGCTGTAATAGAGTGCTGTCTGAAGCTCAGTTTTCTGACATGTAAGGATTCGTATGGTATGAACCTGGGCCTTTGGGAGAAAAGACAAGCAAGTGCTGAAAGAGAAGCAAAGAAACATTCTCCAGAGGACAGGAGGGAACTTCACACCCTCCACTCACCTCTAGCTCCCTCCTTAGGGCTTCCTGATGTTGGTGGCTTGCCTTCTTTTCCTATAGAAAGAGGAAGACAGAGCTCTTACTAGGGGGAGGCAGAGATGGCACAGCAAGAGACATGCCCCCAGAATGGCACCACTGCCCCAGGACAGGCCCACCCATGGGACAAGGTTATCAGGGACCCTGTGGGGATGGGGTGGAATCTGGGGGGTGAGCCTTCTTCCTCAGCCTGGGAGTGGATGAGACAAGACTGGGGCCTCTACATCTGAGTGCCCCCCAAACCCAGCAGTCATGTCATGAGCAAACAGAAATCACGTTACTTCTTCCAGCTGAGCTCGGTTCTGTTGTTTCTATGGGGAGAGTCAAAGGAATGCGACTGAGGGTGGCTCCCTTGACTCTATTCCCCAGGCCAGGAAGCCATAGGCAGGGGCCAGGAATGGATTTTAAAGGCAAAGTTCTCAGACCCAATGGGAACATGAACTGGTAAACTCTCCTCAACTCCCAAAGAAAAAGGATTTGGGTCTTTGTTGGTTTTTGCCCACAGCCACAGAACTGAAAGTCTGAAACTAGATTCTCTCAAAAAGACAGTAACATAAACCTTCAGAGATAGAGTGTGAGAAAAGCCCACCCTTCTGCCAGCTTGTGATTTAGAAAGATGCATTCACTCAACAAACATTGACTGAGCACATACTGGCCAGGGACTGTTCTTCACAGGAAGGATATAGGACGGAAAAGGCAGACAGGAGCCCTTGGCCCCAGGGTTTCCATTCTAGTCAGCCTTTAACTCTCAGACTCTCAGAGCTAACAGAAACCTCTGATACTCTCTAACTCTACCTCAGGAAACGCAAGCCCAAGAAGGATAGTTTACAGCAGGGCCTGGACTAGGGATTAACATAAAAACAACAATGACAAATCTCATTTAAACTTCACAAATGTAAGGAAAACAATACCACTCCTATTTTACAGATGTGAAAAGAGAGGCCCAAAGAGCTCAAGCAATTTGCCCTAAATCATATCCCTAGCAGATGGAGAGGCAGGATTCAAACCCAGAATTCTTAACCGGTACCTGGCAGTTCTTCCACAATCTTAACAATTACCCTCCACCACCCCTTGGGCCCTCTGTCTCCAGGAGCCTGGCCAGCCAAGACTCACATCCTCAGGTGAGTGGCAACCACCAGAAGTGGTTGTCTCAGGGTTAGTGCCATTATTTATTTTCTTCTTTTTGGTGTCGGTTGCTCCTGTACCAACACTAGGGCTGGTCTGGGGAGGAGAGTCTCTCAACTGTGGAAAGGAAGAGCAGTGATACTCATGAGAGCTACAAGCTCCTACAGTCACATCCTGCTTTACAGTTTATACAAAATACTATTATAGACCATCTGATTTAATGCCACCAAGAACTGTAGGAAGTGTTGTCACAATCACTTAGTGACTGAGAGGGATTGATACCATGGCTGAAAAAAAGGCAATAATGGAACTTAAACTCAGTCTTCTGACTCCGAGCTCCAGGATTTTGCCACAAATCAGCAGCTGCCAGGGACCAAAACCAGAGGCAGAGGTAGAAAAGCAAATATTAAGTAGGCAGAAACTGTATACTGTGTGGTTTAGAGCCATACACCCTCACACATCTGTTAGTGTTAAGAAGTGCACCAGTACCTCTCAAACTTTTACATCAATGTATCCTCATGGCAGAAGGCAGCCTTTCTGTTAAATCTGGGAATTTAACAGAAAGAGGATAACCCAAGCCTCATTTCAGAGAGAAGTCTTGTATACTCATAAATCTATGTGACTGTCATGCCTAAGTACATTAATGTTTTGTCTCTCAATAGAATCAAGGGAAACTGATGCTTCAGAAAGATGCCCCATATTTATCCTGTGGCACTCAAATTACCCCAGGTTGAGATGAGATGAGCTTAAATCCCTGCCTCTTGAGGGAAATCAGCCCAGTTTCAGGACGTGCAGTTCACAAAACTGCCCCATCTTCCCTTTATTTTTTCTTTTTATTTTATTTATTTATGTATTTATTTTGAGATGGAGTCTCGCTCTGTTGCCCAGGCTGGAGTGCAGTGGCGCATCTCAGCTCACTGCAACCTCCATCTTCTGAGTTCAAGCGATTCCCCTGCTTCAGCCTCCTGAGTAGCTGGGACTACAGGCATGCACCACCATGCCCAGCTAATTTTTGTATTTTTAGTAGAGAGGGAGTTTTACCATCTTGGACAGGCTGGTCTCGAACTCCTGACCTCAAGTGATCCATCTGCCTTGGCCTCCCAAAGTGCTGGGATTACAGGCATGAGCCACTGTGCCTAGCCTGTCATATTATTTTTAAAAATTTCAGTGACATTTCAATTAAGTTAAATTTAATTCTTACTGACCTGATCTCTTATCTTCTGTTTAATGATATATTAACAGATTACAGTTAATATATTACAGTTAATAATAATATACAGTTAATATACAGTTATATATACAGTTAATATATATTATTAACTGTATAACATACAGTTAATATATATTATTAACTGTATAATATACAGTTAATAATAATTACAGTTAATATATTACAGTTAATAATAATA
This sequence comes from Homo sapiens, assembly GCF_000001405.40. Taxonomy (NCBI): domain Eukaryota; kingdom Metazoa; phylum Chordata; class Mammalia; order Primates; family Hominidae; genus Homo; species Homo sapiens. Next base: position 53,364,968 of record NC_000016.10, read on the forward strand.
ACTGTAATAACTGATTACAGTTGAAAGGTGTTTCCCCTGTAATCACAAGTGCTAAAGGAAATATAACATGTATTCATTAGATAGATATCCACTAAACCACTGATTCTCGCATTGTAGTCCTTAGACCCTCAGCATCAGCAACACGTGGGAACCTGTTAGACATGCAAATTCCTGGACCAGCCCCACACTTCCTGAATCAGAAAGTGGGGAAGAGGGACAGCTATCTGTGCTTTAATAAGCCTTGAGATGCTCCCTGAAGTTTGAAAACTACAGAACTAGAATACATATGGTAGTAAGTGCTCATACTTTATCCAAGGTACCAGGGACTCTTCCCCTCTTTTCCATTCTCTTTTCTGTTGAAATAAAATGAAAACTTATTTTGACTTAATGGGTATAAAAAAGAAGGCAATGAGATGACCAGGGTTTCAAGTTAAGAGTTCAAAATTTAATCAGTGGACAGTGACAGGATGCAAGTCTTCTAAACAGATTACTGCAAGGAAGCTGATTATAATCTATACAGTAGGTATCATTAGTGTACTGATGTTAAATGTTTTGGGTGGATTAATGGTATTGTGATTATATAGGAGAATATCCTGGTTCTTAGGAGATATCTGCAAAAGTACTTAACAGTGAAATGCTATGATACTGGCAACTTACTTTGAAATGATTCAGGGGGAAAAAGGGCAAATATACAATCTTCCATATGGGGAAAAGAGAACACAAATATGACAAAATGTGAACTAGTGAATCCAGTTGAATAGAATACAGATGTTCACTGTATGATTTTATCAACTTTTCTGTGTTTGCAAGTTTTTAAAATAAAAAGTTAAGGGAAAAGAAACATCGCCCCAAATCTTTCTATGAAATGGAACCACAGAAAAAGCATAGAAGTGAACTCTTTGCAGAAGAGGGCACTGTACCCATCCAGACAGCATGGTTAAAGTGCAGGGTCTCCTCCAGGAAGCTATTCTCTGGTCTCTTCTGTGCTGTCACTTCCCCCCGACGCTGCCAAGGCTTTTTTCTAATAACTCTTTTTCTAAAGATGTAATTTTTTTCATTCATCTAAGAAAGAGACAAAAAAATTAGTATACATTTAGAAAATAAAATTATACTTGTGTAAAAACAAAAAATACTTTGAAAAGTGGGGAAGCAAAAAATGTACTGTTCTATAATTCTGTTCTGTTCTTACCATCTTTTTATTCTGCCAATGACCTCCTATTCCTGCTGCCTATGGTGAGGTGAGCTGCAAATAATTTCTTATCCTCATTTATTTAAAATTTCATGTTTATAATATACTAAACTCCCTCAGAAGCATTTGGGTTTATTTCTGGGCTCTATTCTATTCAAGTGATCTATCTGTTCACAAGCCACTATCAATTTTGATTATTAGAGCATCCTAAAGTTAAGTAATTCTTTTTTTTTTTTTTTTTTTAGATGGAGTCTCTCACTCTGTTGGCCAGGCTGGAGTGCAGTGGCATGATCTCAGCTCACTGCAAGCTCCTCCTCCCGGGTTCAAGCCATTCTCCTGCCTCAGCCTCTGGAGTAGCTGGGACTACAGGCACCCGCCACCACGCCTGGCTAATTTTTTGTATTTTTAGTAGAGATGGGGTTTCATCATGTTAGCCAGGATGGTCTTGATCTCCTGACCTCGTGATCCACCCACCTTGGCCTCCCAAAGTGCTGAGATTACAGGCGTGAGCCACCACACCTGGCCAAGTAATTCTTTGATTAGGATATTAGTATTTGATGGAGTCTGACCCTTTTGACTTTAAACTCAAATTCTTATTATCTCTAACTTCTAAAAGACAACAATTATGACTTCAGTGTATAAAATGCCAGCTTTTTCAGCTAACTTACAGAATTCTCTTATTTTCCTAATATTGATTCAGTTTATCCTTTCGGTTTTCTCTCCAAACACTAATGTTTTCATTTTAGTATCCCTAATCTTTTTTTTTTTTTTTTTTTTTTTGAGACAGAGTCTCGCTCTGTTGCCCAGGCTGGAGTACAGCTGCACTATCTCAGCTCATTGCAACCTCCATCTCCCAGGCTCAAGCAGTCCTCTCACTTCAGACTCCCAAGTAGCTGGGACACAGGCACATGTAACGCGCCCAGCTAATTTTGTATTTTTTTGCAGAGATGAGGTCTCACCATGTTGCCTGGGCTGGTCTCAAACTCCTGAGCTCAAGTGCTGAGAGCTCCTGAGCTCCCAAAGTGCTGGGATTACAGGTGTGAACCACTGCTCCTGGAAGTTTTCCTAATCTCTTATCTTTTGTAGTTGCACTGGCTTATGTGGCTATTAACTGTTAGTGTTAATTAACAGGGGTAACTGTAATACTGGACATTTTGTCTTATTCCTGATCTTAAAGGGATGTTTGTAGAATTTCACCCATCATGCATGATGGCAGCTTTTGGCTAGATGTATTTATAACCCACTAGGAGTTAAAAAAAAATCAGAAATAAATATTGAATTTTATCAAATGTCTTTCTAACATATATGGAGGGAACCGTGTATTTTCTCCTTAACGTCTTGCAACCAGGAATCATATCAGATCTTCTAATAGTGATTCAAAAGGATAAGGTTCATGTGGTTGTGTGGCATAATTTTCCCACTGTGCTATGTTTGCATCACTAGTCATGAATGAGAGAGTGTGTGTGTTTTAACGCCACCTTTGTCAGGTTTGGGTTTTCATGTTCTAACAGTTTGAAAAGAAAAAAGTTTGAAAGTTCTATTTTATTCTTTATCTGTGGAAATTGCAATAAATTATTTGTGATTTACTGAAAATTTCACTTGAAGGTCTGATATAATTTCAAAGCAAAACCAAACCTTTCTTTCTTTTTTGTGGGGGAAGGGTGGGAGGAGTGGGATGGGAGGACACTAACTCATTGATACTTTATGGTTTTTTTCCCCCTTTAGAATTTATTTTCTTGGGACAATCTGACAACGATGAATTTAATTTAGATTCGCAGATTTTAAAAATAATTCTTTTGATATTCTTGGTATAGTTTATTTGCCTGTTCTCCAGCTCTGTTGCCCAGGCTGGAGTGCCTAGTCCAATCATAGCTCACTGCAGCCTTGAACTGCTGGACTCAAGTGATCATCCCCGATAAGCCTCTCGAGTAGCAGAGACTATAGGCTCATGCTACCACACCCAGCTAATTTTTTAAATTTGTAGTGGAGACGGGGTTTCACCGTGTTGTCCATGCTGGTCTTGAACACTTGGGCTCAAGCAATCCTCCCTCCTCAGTCTCCCAAAGTGCTGGGATTACAAGTGTGAGCTACTGTGCCTGGCACTATTCTCATTTTTATTATAATAAAATTTTGGGATTGGATAAATAATATAGCCAAATTATTGGAGCCAGACTATATCTACTAAAATTAATGAGATTTCACTTGTCTGAAATCATGACATACTTTGGGAAGATATGTTTGTCCTGGTATTAATTAAAATTACAGCTATTTGACATTCACCAAAATCTGTGGAGCACCTTAAAGACATAGGCGGTATCCTCTAGAGCAGTCAAAACAGTTACAAGAAGAGGCTCTCAGGACAGCTTTGTCAGGAGAGACAGGCTATACATATAAAGACACAAGGGAGAGAGAAAAGAAACAACTATTTTACACGCAGGCCCCAAATTGAAAGCTATAGGCTGGGTAACGCAGGCACTGATTTCTGCAAATCAGATGCTTTCCATATGGCATCTCTATAAGATGTGCTTTTGCTTTAGAGAGTAGCAGCAAGATCTTCAGTTTTCTGTTTGTTTGTTTGTTTGTTTGTTTGAAGACAGGATCTTGCTCCACCACCCAGGCTGGAAAGCAGTGATGTGATCATAGCTCACTGCAGCATCAACCTCCTGGGCTCAAGTGATCCTCCCGCCTCAGCCACCTGAGTCGCTGGATTACAGGCATACACCACCATGCCCCACTAATTTTTTTATTTTTTGTAGAGACAGGGCCTCACTATGTTGCCCAGGCTGGTCTTGAACTCCTGAGCTCAAGTGATCCTCCCGCTTCAGACTACCAAAGTGCTAGGATTACAGGCATCAACCACCACACCTGGCCAAGATATTTGTTTTCAAAGGATGGTTAATAGTTACAACAAGAAAAATAGGGAAGGCTAGGGCACAGTGGCTCACGCCTGTAATCTCAGCACTTTGGGAGGCCAAGGCAGGAGGATCACCTGAGGTCAGGAGTTCGAGATCAGCCTGGCCAACACGGTGAAACCCCATGTCTTCTAAAAATACAAAAATTGGCCAGGCATGGTGGAATGCACCTTTAATCTCAGCTACTCAGGAGGCTGAGGCAGAATCACTTGAACCCGGGAGGTGGAGGCTGCAGTGAGCCGAGATCACGCCATTGCACTCCAGCCTGGGTGACAGAGCAAGACTCCATCTCAAAAAAAAAAGAAAGAAAATAGGGAAGATTTGTTAGTAGTCTGTGAGTTCCACAATCATGCGAAGCATATTAAAAATTCCTTAAATTCCTAATTACCTTTTCCTGTCTTTTTTCAAAAGAAGATTAACTTCATCAGAATTTTTCTTTACATTTAAAACACCTGCATCTTCAGTTGCCTCATCATCCGGCAAAGCAAAAGTCACTCTTTTCAAGCTTTCTTTACATTGTTTACTGTCTTCTCTTTCTTCCAGGTGATCACCTTCATCCCTACACTACCAAAACTCTTATAAAAAGAAATATATTGTTTTCCATTAGAAAAACAAAAGGAAACATATTTTCCCTTAACAAAGTTCCTCTTTTATATGCCTAATGCAACCAGATACTTAGAACTTCCAAAATCATTCAGGTATTAAGGAAGAGAAGCTATCATTTAAGTGAAATGCTATGTAAGAAACAAAAAGGGTCCAATATATAGAAAATAAATTATTCATCAATCTATAATACAAACCTCTTATCTCACAAAAATAACAGGATTTTGGGGGCACAAAACCAAATCAAAGTTCCTGGTAAGAAAGGTTTGATTGCTACTGTCAGTAATATTTTTCTTCATTAAATGATCTCTAATGTCCGTTTAAATCCAGTGACTTTCCTCTGGCTATCTTGAGAAGATCTGATAGGAGAGTATCTAACTTCTTAAAACAAACATATGTGAAAACCACAAATACAAACACTGATTGGGCAATTCCAGCTCACAAAGTAAAGGATGTTTCAAAATACTCACATTTCAGAAATGCTTCCTTCTTCTGCTTCTTCTTCAGCAATTTCATCATCTTGTTTGAACCCAGCTCATCATCATGATCACTTGCTATGTCTTCATCACTTTCAACTGGATCAAAAAAATCTTTGTTGTTCACATTTCTGGAACTTTTACCTGACTAAAATAAAAAGATTTTTAAAACTATTAATTAGGAATAGAAAAATACATCATTAACACATGCATATATATATACTGTATGTCTATATTACTTTCTAACTTAACACTACAAGTCAAAAATAGTTACTAGGTGAAATTGGCAACTAAAAACACTACCATAAAACTATTATAAGAACAACTGGAACATAAACTGAATGGAAGTACAGATTCATTTATAACTGATAAAACAAAGCATAATATATCTTAGCTCTAAACCTTCTAACTACAATTACATCTCTCCTAGAAAAACAGAACAAAAGCTAATTTGAGGAGGAGGAAAGTGCTCTCTCCTTTCTCAAACTTAACCTTAAGTTTTTTACTTCCAAACAGTCCCCTTTTATCTTCATCAGAATCAATATCTTCAAAAAAAAATCAGTATCTTCCACCTCATCATCATTATCATCTTTTCGTTCCTCTTCTTTTTCTCTGTTTTCTAAATAAGCCTCCATTTCAGAGAGTTGGAAGAATTTCTCGTCTATTATGGACTTTTCTCTTGGTTTTCCATGTCCTGTGTTTTGCACCTTGCTCTGCTGTTCCAATTTGCTGATATCAAAGTCAAGGTCAGAATCCTCATCACTGAAAACTGGGCTTTTCCTCAGCTCAAATTTGCTTGAGTTTCTAGCTTTCTTGCCCACTTCAGGATTGTCACCACCCATATCTGACACTTCCTCTTCCTCCTGTAAATCTTCTAGGTCCTCCTGGCCACCAGTCTCTGTCTCTGAACCATCCTCTTCACACTCCTGTTCTTCACTCTCTGGGAGAAGACTGATGTCTTCATCTTTGTTTCACTAACTGCATTTTGGAAGCATTGTAAAATTGGTTCATTTTGCAATTCCAGTTGTTGCAAAGTCTGCTCATCATCAAAACTTTCTATCACAAGTTTTTGTAAAGGGCTTCCACAGATCCTTCCATTCTCTAATATTTTATTAAAGTCATAAACCACTTTTGTTAAAGAAGTGAACTTTGATGACAATCCATCTTGAATCCTATTGGGAGGAATTAAATGAGATTTAGAATTATAGGTAATAATTTCACAGCTCTCTTAATTAAAAGAAAAATAAAAACCCCAACTCTTCTGTAAAATCAAATTTGAATGAAGTGTAAGTATAGATTCTGGCCCCAACAACATACAAGCTGATGAGCCACAGTGATATATAAAACCTGTCAATCAAGTATTTGTGAATCAGCTGTATAGATTTTAGGCAGGAAAAGCATTACAAATCTGTTTGCTTGGAGATACATAGTGAATTAGCCTTAAATTATCAACTCTGCTATATTATACACCACTCCATTCATTCATTCCCTTATTCCTTCAGTGATCAACATTTGCTTTGGCTACAGTGGTCAAGGAAAACCTCTTTTGGATGTGACATCTCAGATGAAACCTACAGATAAGGATAGTCTTATAAAGATTGGGAAACATGTATTCCAGGCAGAAGAAACAGCAAGAACAAATTCTCTAAGATGCAATTGAGCTTGGTAGGCCTGAGGAATAAAAAAGTGAGCACAGCTAGAGTGTGAAGGAGGCAGAAGGTGAAATTGGAGAAACTGATGGGAGCCAAATTCTACAGGGCTCAAGGGTAAGAGTTTGCCATTTTAAGTGTAATAAGAAAACATGAGAAGATTTTAAGCAGAAGGATGAAATGATGATTTACAAGAAGGAAGAAGAAAGGGAGGAAGGAGGAGGAGGAAAGTAGAGTGATTAGAAGGTTGATGCAGCATTCCAGGCAAAGGATGATGGTGATTTAAGCTGGAGTTAGAGCAGTGAATATGCTGAGTACAGTCTGGAGGTAGAACTGACAGGATTGCTAAGGAATTAGATACAGAATAGAGAAAAATGAAGACATCAAAATAGCAGCCTAGTTTTATGTGTGAGCAACAGGAAAGACAGAACTGCCATTTACTGTGACAGGCAAGGCTTGAGTGCTGGAGCATGGGGAAAGGACTTCAGCGGATGGCAGAGTATAGGTGGGTAGAACAACATTCTACTCTATTTTGGACACAGTGAATTTGCGATGCTGAGAGTACCAAAATTTTAAAAATTGTTAAAAGCCGTACAGTGCGGATATCCCAGTTGTGTGCTACTGAATTCCAACTAAGCTCAGTCTGTAGTCGCTGTGAGCCAGGAACTCAAGGGAGAGGTTGGAGTTTGAAATATAAATGAGTCATAATTTTATAGATCATATTTGAAGTTCTTCAACAGAATACCCATAAAACTTTTGTGCTGGGAAGAGACAGGAAAGTTCTAATTCTCAAGAAGCTTAGTTGGGGTGGACAGACAAGTGACGAGTTTGTACTTTCAATAAAGTATGATGACAGGTAAATACTGAGTGCTTTAGGAGTACATAGGCGGAAGGAGAAACCAAAACAGTTTGTGTGTAGGGGTATGGCGGCAGTAATAAGCCTCCAGGGGAGCTTCTAGGCGTTAATAACTGAGGTTATTTGGTGGATTTCAATAACATTCAACTGAGAGAGCCATACTGTAAAAATTTTAACAATTTTGAAAATTGTGATAGCCTAGGAAAGTATAATCTCTGAAATGTGGGGAAAAGCGATTTACATTTCCCCTTACCTTCCCCCAGCTCCACAATTTGCCAGGGGTCTGCAACCCGCGTCCAGGTGCGACCCCAGTAGCACCGGAGCCAGGGATCTGCGCGCATATGTGAGGATGCACTGGGGCCAGCCGGTGGCTTTGCCGACCTCTGTCAGACACCGCTCCAGGGTCCGTCAGCGCCAGGCCCGCGGGGCTATGGCTGTCCGCAACTCCCGACACAAGCTGCAAGCAAGGCAAGAAAGCCGCTGGGAAACCTCACAGCAAGGATGCGCCTAGCTTGGAGCTCAGAGTCCAAAGTGCCACGGCTCACAGGTTCCAGACTCACCCCCAGCTGGAGCCAATGGCAGCGCCAGCGCTTTCGCGGGTGCAGGGGGGCGGGAAACAAAAATTACCACTGGTCGACCCAAGCGCCTTTGAACTGTCTCCAAACTTCTTATTGTACTTTTCAGGGGCCCACAAGGGGTAGGCCTCCTGGCTTTAATTTCTGCTTTAGGTAAAGTGGGTGTGTTGTATGCAGTAGGAAATCAGCGGCCTTCGCCACGCCCCCTGCCGGATCGCCCCGCCCTCCACCGCGCACCTGGCTCGGTCAGCGGCTAGTGCGGAGAGACACAGCGGAGATAGCGCGCCTGCTAAAGGCTGCCGCCGCCAACACCTTAGGTGAATACCGAGCTCCAGGAAGGTCGCTGTGGGTAGGGCATGTGGGAAACGAGGCCAGGGGGAGAAGGAGGCCTCAACGTGGCCAAAGCACCTTGATGATGCGCTCTGTCCCCGGAGGCGCGTTCCACGGCCGCTGCCGGCACCTAGGCAGAGGGATACGTTCCAGAAACACCTCAGCTTAGCGCGGGGATGGCCTTCTTGTGCGTGAGTCCCTCTGCACACGGGAACTGTGCGCCCTGGGCACTGCACCTTCCAGTATGTGGGCCGGAGAGGCGGGGGATCTTGCCCAGCGGGTCCGACAGGGCATGGAAGGAAGTAAATGGAAGCCGGTAGGTAAGTGTTATTTTACCGCGCACCCATAAAGAGGCTGGGGAGAAACCAGAAAAGGGAGCAAGTCTTGTTTAAAAAAAAAAAAATCAGCTGAACTGCAAGCATGACCAGCATCCTGTTGGGAACACTCAAAGGTCAATGTTGTAAGGAATACAGAAGGAGTTACTTTTCCACGTGCCTTAATAAGTTTATCATCGCGTGCATAAATGGAAAGATAAAGCATGTGGATTTAGAAACTTCCTTGATTTCTCTCTTCCTTCATTTTTTTAATTGTCTAGATAAAATCAGTTATGACAGAAACTCGCGTTTTCTGAGTCTCACTTTCTTTTTATCTTTTTTTTTCTCTTTCTCCTTTTATGAGAGGCAAGTGTTTCCCTTAATCTGAGATTAAGTGCCAAGTGGTAAAGCCCCAGAGTTACTCCGGGACATTCGTGATAAATCCTTCTAGCACCAGAGCCCACATTCTTAACCATGAGACATACTCACTTCTTAGGTGATACACCAAATCGGAAGGTGAAAATATAAATTAAAAAATGAATATTCAGGAAAAAGTATTTTTATATCTGTGTTTTTAGAACTGCACCCTTTAATGATTGACGGTTTGGGAAGAGTATGACTTCCAACAGACCATATACTTACTGGAAGAACTAAATACAGATAAAGATGCATTTTTGTTTTGTAACTTACACATCTTGGCAGAAAGTAAAGGAAAAATGAAAATAGTGTATTCCAAAGACTGATTTTGATTTGTCCTATTAAGATACTTGAAACTTCATGGCTCCATTTTTTTGTGTGTGTGGTTGAATATATGTAAAGTAAAATTTAGCATTTTAACATTTTTTAGTGTATAATTCAGTGGCTTTAACTACACTCACTTTGTTGTGCAACAGTCACCACCACCCCTTTCCTGAGCTTTTTCATCTCACCAAAACTAAAAACTCGGTACCCATTACACAACACCTGCCCATTCTCCTCTGACCCAGCTCTTGGCAACCACTGTTCTACCTTCTCTGTGAATCTGACTATTCTAGGTGCCTCATATAATGTGGAATCACATACTGTTTTTCTTTTCTGTGTTTGGCTTGTTTCACTTAGCATAATGCCCTCAAGGTTCATCCATATTGTAGCATGTGTCAGAATTTACTCTTTTTTTTTTTGAGAATGAGTTTCACTTTTGTTGTGCAGGGTAGAGTGCAATGGCACAATCGCGGCTCATTGCAAACTCTGCATCCCTGGTTCAAGCGATTCTTCTGCCTCAGCCTCCCAAGTAGCTGGGATTACAGGCATGCGCCACCAAGCCTGGCTAATTTTGTATTTTTAGTAGAGACGGGATTTCTCCATGTTGGTCAGGCTGGTCTTGAACTCCCGACCTCAGGTGATCCACCTGCCTCGGCCTCCCAAGTTGGTGGGATTACAGGCGTAAGCAACTGCGTTCAGCCTACACTCCTCTTTTATTAACACTTCTGTTCTTAATTATCTTGTGCATTTGTCCACACGTGGTTGTACACTATAGTTTATTCATGCAAAGCAACCTTTATTGGAATATTGGAATAATCACAAATTATACATTACAGTATTCAAAATAATGCAATTCTGCTGCACCATTCTGAAATGGGAGGCAGAGAGACCTAAAACTGAAGAGTTGTGAATTTCTACCAACTGAGGGCCAACCTGAAGTAAAAATATCTTTAAAAAGTTAGCTTGATTGTCAGTAATCATTTCATAATTTATACATATATTAAAGCATACGTTGTATACCTTAAAGATACATAATTTCTATGAGTCCTCATACCTCAAGCTAGAAAATATAATAATCAAGAGTTCAATTCGCAACAAACTTTTCAGGCACACATTTTTATCAAATATAAAGCTCTGTTTCATTTTAACCCCTTTATTCAGGGTTCTCCACCCAGTTTGCTTGGTCTACACAATTTCACCTTTGGATTTTTATTGTTGGATCATCTCTTCTTTTTTTCTTTTTTCTTTTCTTTTTTTTTTTTTTGAGGTAAAATTTACATAATAAAATTAACCCTTTAAAAATGTACAATTTTTTTTTTTTTTTTTTTTAGACGGAGTCTCGCTCTGTCCACCCAGGCTGGAGTGCAGTGGCGCGTTCTCGGCTCACTGCAAGCTCTGCCTCCCGGGTTCACGCCATTCTCCTGCCTTAACCTCCCAAGTAGCTGGGACTACAAGCAACCACCACCGCACCCCGCTAATTTTTTTTTTTTGTATTTTTAGTAGAGACGGGGTTTCACCATGGTCTTGATCTCCTGACCTCGTGATCTGCCCTCCTCGGCCTCCCAAAGTGCTGGGATTACAGGCGTGGTCCACCACACCTGGTGAAAAATGTACACTTTAACAGCAATGATCACATTCACTGGGTTCATGCGACTATCACCTTTATCTATTTAAAAACATTTTCACTGGCCAAGTGCAGTGGCTCACGCCTGTGGTCCCAGCACTTTGGGAGGCAAAGGCAGGAGGATCACTTGAGGCCAGGAGTTCAAGACAAGACCAGCCTGGGCAACATGGCAAAACCCCGTCTCTAAAAAAATACAAAAATTAGCCAGGCGTGGTGGTGCATGCCTATAGTTCCAGCTATTCAGGAGGCTGAGGTGAGAGGATCACTTGAACCTGGGAGGTCAAGGTTGCAGTGAGCCATCATCGTGCCACTGCACTCCAGCCTGGGCAACAGAACAAGACTCCGTCTCAAAAAAAAAAAAAAAAAAAAAAAGAAGGTGTTTTGTGTGATCTTTTCTCTTGAAGACCAGGAAGAGTTTATCTTTAAATGTCCCATTTTACTTCATGTGCCCTTAACTACACAATTGTAACTTACTCTTCACCTTTTTTTTATCCTAGTACATGCATAATTACGTTGATATATTTGTTTTTAGCCATAGCAAGTTTTGATGTGCATTCTTGTCAATATTGTTTGGTTCAAAAATCTATAAAGGCTAATGATTTTACTAGCTTATGACTTAAAGTTTACTGTTTCAGGAGAATTTTCCCAAATACTCAGTTGACTCAAGTTTATTTCAGCATAAATTTCTTGCAACATACTTTTAAATATTATCTCTTAATAGTGTATTCCATTGTTTTATTACTTTTTTCCTGGGGCTCCAACTTTGTGAATAGTGCCTTTGCTTAACTTTGATTTCTACCACTTTTCTGTGACCTCTTTTTTCCTTATGTCATTTTCATTCTCCAGGTTGTTTTTCTACCTTTCTTCAAAGCTAGTCATTATATTTGCATTTGAGTCTATTCTCTTTTGTGACTTTGTGGTTCTGTTTTTCTTTAGGAGATGACTTTGTCTTTCTTTCCTTCATTTCTCTTCCGGCTTTAATTAACTGTATTTTCATTTCCTTATGTTTTTGCCCATTTTTATTCTTATTTTTTAGATATCTGACTCAATTGGCTTTTCATATCCACAAATGCTTATTTGAATAAATTTTATTCTATTTGAAGTGTCAGCTTAGAATTTTATCCCGATTCATAGTTATTTTATTTGGGGAGATTTGAATTAGTCAAAGTATATTGGATCTGTTTTTTTTATAGTAACCTCTAAAACATGGAGTTTTCTTCTTTTCATTTTTTTGTGGATTTCTTGTGAGTTTTCCAGATTCCCAGTGCAGTGGCACCCTATTCTGCCAGGATAGCGAATTCCAGCTATGTAGCAAATTTGTTCAGGGTTTATGAGCAGTGTATGTCCTCTAGTTGGTTTTCTTTAGAATCTTAGGGTGTTAAAATGTCCCCCCCCCTTTTTTTTTAAGACAGAGTCTTGCTCTGTCCCATTTTTTTTTTCAGGAGATTTAAATCATTTATTAATTACACATGATAATGTATGATACACAAACTTCATTCCCATCTACAGTTTTATCTGATACCATCATTTAATTTAGATATATCGCATAGGATGTGCCAATGACCATTTTTATAACCAATAATTTCACGATTTTGCTTGGGTGATCCCTTTTAATGGTGAACTTCAGGTCACGACAGTACCTATCAGTTCAACTACACCAAGGTTTCTGAAGACAATGGTGTCTCCACCCAAGCAGGTTGTAAATAAATTCCAGATAGAATCTGGCATCACCCTGGAGGAATTCTAACTTCACACTCTTGGGGAAATTTACCAAGATGGCTTCAGAGTAAACCAGCTTTACATAGCACATTTGAAAAAAAAAAAAAGACGTATTATTCAAGGTCATGATCAGACTATTACATTTAGCAACCAACAGCGTGGGTGCAAAAAAAAATCTACATTAAAACCCTGTGTTGGAATGTTTTACACTTTCCACAGAATAGAAACTAAAATAACCTGTTTTGCAATTAGTTGAAAATACAGTCCTGGAGTTTTTCGCCCATACACATGAGTATTTGTCTAAAACATGTCTTAACATGTCTTAACATGGACATAAAACGTGTCTTAACATGGTCAGCTTAACCTAAAAGCCTGAGTCAAAAGGTGAAAGTTACAGAAGACTCGGGGAGGGAAACATGCAAAAATAGGTGCAAAATGCCTTTTAAGGTAGGTCAGTGGGGAAAACAAGGGCTTAGGTAACAGGGCGGCTAATGGGCCCAGTGGATTAAAATGTTCACTTTATTCCTGAAACCCAGGCTGGCTGCTCTAAGTTGATCTGGTGCCTTGGTCACTCGTGGCTTCTTTCTTCTATGCCAGCTCTGTCTTCTCTACACTTCCTCTGGAGGAGTAGGCCTTGACACAATTACAAGTGAGTTGATTTTTTTTTTAACTTCTGAAATTCTATCTAAATTAGTTAGCTGATTTGTGCTCCTTTTTAGAAAAGGGAAAATGGATTAGCATTTGATAAGCACCTACTGTTAGGTACTTCTAGACACTTCATCAATTCCTGTATTTATGTCTTAGGGGAACTGTAAAAAGTGGTTAATTATTTCTGTTTTGAAGGTTAGGGAAAATTTAGAGATATTAAGTACTCATGGTCATAAGATGTTAAGTTGTAATTAATATGTAATTTGTGGGAAAATGTTTTGAGGATATTTAAATGTCTTTTTATCAAAATGTTAACCACTACCTATATCATTCCTATATAATGATTCCTATATAAGCCGGTTATTACAATGAAGACTGGAAAATGTTGACTTTTAAAATACTATTCTTTCTACATTTTTAATTGTTTCTTCTATGAGTAAGAACTTTCCTTCTACTTCATTATTTTTTTTTTATCAGTAGGAACTCATGGATCTTTATTTTATTCAATAGGTTATGACATGTTACTATTATTATTGATTTTAATGCGGAAATTACCCAGATTTCTTCCATGGAAGTCCATTCAAATTGGCTTCTGTATCCTTTTGACATATACCTATCACTTATTTTTATTGTTTCCTTTTTTTTTTTTTTTTTTTTTTAGCACAACAAGATATTTTAGGCTTATTTTGTTCTTTCCCTATCCCAGCCCTGGAATCCGCCATTTCTCCAAGGAGCTTTGATTCGTTTTTATGGTGAATGGAATTGTTGAAACCAAATCTGGATGCTAGGTGTACACATTGTTACTAGGGTATCATTGCTTATAGACTCTCCCAGGGGGCAAATCTGTACAAACATGCATACACACATACATATGTATACACACATATGTATGCCTGTCTATAAAAAACATTCATTCATACTGAGACTAGTCTAGTACCATGGAGTTCATTCCTCTCCTTCCTGGTTGCATGTGTTAGTCCTTTCTTCAAAATGAAGAACCTGGCTCCCATTATCCTAAATATATTTACTCATTTGCTCAATCGTAGAATCCTAGTTTTTTTCCCCCCCATAAGCCTGGTCTATGGAAAGCAAACCTACTAACTATAATTTAGTACTTGTGTATGATTCTTATCATTTTTTTTTGAGACGGAGTCTCGCTGGGTCATCCAGGCTGGAGTGCAGTGGCGCGATCTCGGCTCACTGCAAGCTCCGCCTCCCGGGTTCACGCCATTCTCCTGCCTCAGCCTCCTGAGTAGCTGGGACTACAGGCGCCCGCCACCACGCCCGACTAATTTTTTTTTTTTTTTTGTATTTTTAGTAGAGATGTGGTTTCACCGTGTTAGCCAGGATCATCTCGATCTCCTGACCTCGTAATCCACCCACCTCAGCCTCCCAAAGTGCTGGGGTTACAGGCGTGAGCCACTGCACCCGGCAGATTCTTATCATCTTAAGATTGAAGGTTTATGGTCAAAATGCTATTTCAGAAGTTACTGGGCTAAGTTATTTTCTTCTCCTTTGCTGTGTATATGTAATTCATTTGAAATATAGTGTTGTTGTTGTTGTTGTTGTTGTTGTTGTTGGAGACAGAGTCTCGCTCTGTTACCAGGCTGGAGTGCAGTGGTGTGATCTCAGCTCACTGCAGCCTACAGCTCCTAGGTTCAAGTGATTCTCCTGCCTCAGCCTCCTGGGTAGCTGGGATTACAGGTGCCCGCTACCTCGCTCGGCTAGTTTTTGTATTTTTAGTAGACACAGAGTTTCACCATGTTGGCCAGGCTGGTCTTCAACTCCTGACCTCAGGTGATCCACCCGCCTAGGCCTCCCAAAGTGGTAGAATTACAGGTGTGAGCCACGGCACCTGGCCTGTAATATAGTTTTGTTCGTATTCTGGTTATGGGCTGGATTGTATCCCCCCAAAATTCATATGTTGAAGCCCTAAATGCTAGTACCTCAAAATGTGACTGTATCTGGAGATAGGATTTTTAATGAGGTAAGTAAATTAAAAGGAAGATGACAGGGTGGGCCCTAATCCAGTCTGACTAGTATCCTTATAAGAGGAAATTTGGACACAAGACACATACAGAGGGAAGACCATCTGCAAGCCAAGGAGAGACCCCTTAGAAGAAACCAAACCTGCCAACACCCTAGCTGGTACTTCCAGCTTCCAGAACTGTGACACAACTGGGTAGCTGTTATTTAAGCTACCCAGGCTGTGGTGTTCTGTTACAGCAGCAATAGCCCAGGCCAACTAATACAATTCTATTTAGAAATTTCCCTCCGTTTTTCATGATTTTTTAAAATTATATGTGACCTTAATAAGAATCCACAATTCAGAATTATTCAAAAATAATTCATATGGAATTATCATTCCCCCTTTCTCCTTCCATTTCTTCAACATCCAATCTGCTCCTATAGGTAATTAGTTTCATTAGATTCAGTTTCATTTTTTTATTTTTCCTTGCAAAAATTAGCTAATACATGTAAATTTTGTTATTGCTTCTTTGTTTCATACAACAGGTAACATACTGTATTTTTTTTTTTTGGCATTTTACTTATTTCACCTAACCATATCCTAGAAATCACTGCATATCAATTCCATGAAATTTTCTTTGCTTATTCATTTTTATAGTATCATAGTATGCACTGATTATGATATTAGTTTGCTAGGGCTGCCATAATTAAGTACCACAAACCGGGTTGCTTAGCAGAAATTTATTCTCTCATAATTCTGGAGCTAGAAGTCTGAGACCAGGGTGTTAGCAGGGTTGGTTCCTTCTGAGGTCCTTCTGAGAGAGAATGTGTTCTGTGCCTCTGTCCTAGCTTATGGTAGTTTGCTGACAGTACCATTCTTTGGGTTGTAGACACATCACTCCAGTCTTTGCCTTTATCTTCACGTGACATTTTTTTCTGTGTGCATGGCTGTCTGTGTGCCCAGTTTTCCCTTTCTTATAAAGATACCAGTCATACTGGATTAGGGCTCTCCCTGATCACTTCATCTTAACTTAACCATCTGCAAAGACCTTGTTTCCAAACAAGGTCACATTTACAGGTACTGGGTGTAGGACTTCAACATCCTTTTGGAAGACACAGTCTACCCATAACAAGTATGTACCATACCTTATTCAGCCATTCTATAGAAGAGCATTTAGGTTATTTTCAATATTCTGAAATTCTAAACACATTGCATGTTGTCCATATGTATTTTCATATTATTCAATGTGTGCCTTTCTGCTTCTGTACCTTTCAGAAGTGTGTTTAAGTTTTCATCATATAGTTTTTGTGCATTTCTAATTAACATTTTTCCTAAATTATTTTTTGCTACTGTAATGGGATTTTTTTGTAGTGTTATTTTTTCTAACTTATTAATTATATGTTTGAAGACTCTTGATTTTTGTTGGTTAACTCTATATCATTTTACCTTACTGAATTTATTGTTTGAGCTAGTTTTATCTTTTGATTGTTAGGGCTTCTAGATATGCTGTCACATCACTTGCAAAAAGGAATTGCTTTATGTTATATTTTTCTTTTCTTTTCTTCTCTCTTTTTTTTTTTTTTTTTTTGAGATGGAGTCTTGCTCTGTTGCCCAGGCTAGAGTGCAGTGGCTTGATCTCGGCTCACTGCAAACTCCACCTCCTGGGTTCACGCCATTCTCCGGCCTCAGCCTCCCATGTAGCTGGGACTACAGGTGCCCACCACCACGCCTGGCTTACTTTTTGTATTTTTATTAGAGATGGGGTTTCACAGTGTTAGCCAGGATGGTCTCCATCTCCTGACCTCGTGATCTGCCTGCCTTGGCTTCCCAAAGTTCTGGGATTACAGGCATGAGCCACCACGCCCGGCCTTATGTTGTATTTCTCAATTCATATATGCCTCTAATTGATTTCTCGAATCTGAGTTTATTTCCATGTTGATCTTGTATGCTCGTATTGGTGAAATCACTTATTAGTTGAAGGAATTATTTTGAAGATCCTTTGGGATTTTCCCCATAGTTCCTTATATTATTTCCAAATAGGGACAGTTTTACATCTTCCTTTATAATCTATATGTTTTTTCTCGACTTACCATGCTTGCTAGAAATTCCAGTACCATATTGAATAATAGTGGTGAAAGGTGGACATCCTTGTGTTTTCCTTACCTTAGGGGAAAGGCATACATTCTTTCTTTAAATATTATGTTACCTGTAGGTTTGGAGTAGATGTTCTTTATCAAGTTGTGGAAGTTCTACACTGTTGATAATTTTCTGAGTGTTTTTATCATGAATAAGTATTGAGTTTTATTGAATGCTTTCTCTACGTCAATGAGTATGATCATGTGATTTTTCTTTTTTGACATGTTTGTATAGTTAATTACATTGATTTTTAAAATATTGAACCAGCTTTGAATCTATGGAAGGGATCCCCCTTGGTCATGCCATTCGATTCTTTTATACAGTGTTGAACAATATATATTTGCTTGCATTTTGCTAAGAGATTTTGCATCTAAATATAGAGAGATATTGGTCTGTAGCTTTGTGGGGGTTTTTTGTTTTTTTTTTCTGGTCTTCACTTAATTTTGGTATTAAGGTTGCTGGCCTCATTAAATACATGGGAAGCAGTCTCCTTTTCTATTTCCAGGAAGGCATTGTGTAGAATTGGCATTAGTTCTTTAAGCATTTGGTAGGGTTTGGCAGTAAATATGTCTGTGACTGGAGATTTCCTTTTGGGACTTTTTGAATTAAGAATTTGATCTGCTTTTTTATTTTATTTTTTATTTTTTTGAGATGGAGTCTCACTCTGTCACCCAGGCTGGAGTGCAGTGGCACGATCTCAGCTCACTGCAACCTCTGCCTCCCAGGTTCAAGTGATTCTCCTGCCTCAGCCTCCCCAGTAGCTGGGACTACAGGCATGTGTCACCACGCCCAGCTAATTTTTGTATTTTTCATAGAGATGGGATTTCCCCATATTGGCCAGGTGGGTCAAGAACTCCTGACCTCAAGTGATCCACCTGCCTCGGCCTCCTAAAGTGCTGGGATTACAGGCGTGAGCCACCGCACCTGGCCTGGTGTGTTTTTTAGAAACAGGGTCTTGCTCTGTGGCCTAGGCTGCAGTGCAATGGTGTGATTATAGCTCATGGCAGCCTCAAACTCCTGGGCTCAAACAACCCTCTCACCTCAGCCTCTCAAAGTGCTGGGATTACAGGCATGAGCCACTGCGCCTGGCCTTGATTTTCTTAATAATTATTTGAGTAGTGCTATTTAAGTTGTTTATTTCCTAATAATAGATGTTGTGGTTATTTGTGTTTTTTTGAAATTAGCCATTTCATCTTACTTGTCAGGTTTATTATATCTGGAGAATTATTTGTAATATTTCCTTAATATAATTTTTATATCTTCAGGATCTGGGATTATATCCCCTGGTGCATTCCTAATGTTGGTGATTTGTGTCTTCTCTCTTATTATTTCTATTAGTCATATTAGAGGTTAATCAGTTTTACTGGTCTTTTAAAAAATGCTTTTTGTTTCATTTTTCTCTATTTTTCTGTTTTCAATTTCATGATCTCATTTGTATTATTTTTTGCTTGCTTTGGTGTTGCAGGAAGTCAGGGACCCTGAACAGAGGGACCAGCTGAAGTCACAGCAGAAGAACATAAATTGTGAAGATTTCATGGACATTTATTAGTTCCCCAAATTAATACTTTTATAATTTCTTATGCCTGTCTTTACTGCAATCTCTGAACATAAATTGTGAAGATTTCATGGACATTTATCACTTCCCCAATCAATACTCTTATAATTTCCTATGCCTGTCTTTAATCTCTTAATCCCATCATCTTCCTAAACTGAGGATGTATGTCGCCTCAGGACCCTGTGATGATTGCATTATCTGCACAAGTTGTTTGTAAAGCGTGTGTGTTTGAACAATATGAAATCTGGGCACCTTGAAAGGAACAGGATAACAGTGATTTTCAGAGAACAAGGGAGATAACCATAAGGTCTGACTGCCTGCAGGACCGGGCAGAACAGAGTCGTATTTCTCTTCTTACAGAAAGCGAATAGGAGAAATATTGCGAATTCTTTTCTCAGCAAGGAATAGCCCTGGGAAAGGAAAGCATTCCCAGGGGGAGGTCTCTAAAATGGCTGCTCTGGGAGTGTCTGTCTTATGTGGTTGAAGATAAGGGATGAAATACACCCTGGTCTCCTGCAGCGCCCTCAGGCTTGCTAGGATTAGGAAATTCCAGCCTGGCGAATTCTAATCAGACCAGTTGTCTGCTCTCGAACCCTATTTCCTGCTAAGATGTTTATCAAGACAATGCGTGCCCAGTGGGACATGGAACCTCATCAGTAATTCTAATTTCACCCTGGCCCTGTGATCTCGCTCTGCCCTTCTGCGCTTGTAATCTTTTATTGCCTCTTGAAGCATGTGATCTGTGTGATTTACTCCCTGTTCATACCCCCTTCCCCTTTTCAAATCCCTAATAAAAACTTGTTGGTTTTGCGGCTCAAGGGGCATCACGGAACCTGCCGACATGTGATGTCACCCCTGGAGGCCCAGATGTAGAATTTCTCTCTTTGTACTCTTTCTCTTTATTTCTCAGACTGGCCGACACTTAGGGAAAATAGAAAAGAACCTACATTGAAATATTGGGGGCTGGTTCCCCCAATACTTTGGTTTTGTTTTTCTTTTTGTTTTATTTTCTGTATGCGAAAGCTTCAAGTATTGATCCAACATGTTTTCTAATATAAGCATTTAGTGCTATAAATTTCCCTCACAGCTCTTGGGTATTGGTATACCACACATTTTTATATGCTGTATTTTCATTTGATTCTGGGTAGATACTTTTGTTATTCTTTGTTTGTTTGTTTCTATTTCCCATGAGATGAGACTTCTTCTTTGACCCATGGATTATTTAGAAGGGAGTTGTTTAGTTTCTAAGTGTTTGGAAATTTTCCTGTTACCTTTTTCCTGTTGATTTCTAATTTGATTCTATTTTGGTTAGAAAGCATATTCTGTATGATTTCAGTTTTTTTAATGTCACAGGACATAATTCCAAAAGTCCCTGTGGACCTTTCTCTTCTGTTTTTGTCTCCCTTCTCTCTGTTGGTCAGGGTAGTTTCTCTTTCCAGGTTCACTGGTTCTCTCCTCTCTCCTTTCCACTCTGTTGTAGAGCCTGTCTACTGAGCTATTTATTTCAATTCTTTCATTTTGTTTGAAATTTTATTTGAGATGGAATCTGACTCTGTCACCCAGGCTGGAGTGCAGTGGCATGATCTCTGCTCACTGCAGCCTCCACCTCCCAGGCTCAAGTGATTCTCCTGCCTCAGCCTCCTGAGTAGCTGGGATTGTAGGTGCCTACCACCACACCTGGCTAATTTTTATATTTTTAGTAGAGACAAGGCTTCATTATGTTGGCTAGGCTGGTCTCAAACTCCTGACCTCAGGTGATCTGCCCACCTTGGCCTCTCAAATTGCTGGGATTACAGGCGCAATTATTCCATGTTTTTATTCTTTTCTTTTCTTTTTTTTTTTTTTTTAGACAGAGTCTCGCACTGTCACCCAGGCTGGAATGCAGTGGCGCGGTCTCGGCTCACTGCAAGCTCTGCCTCCCGGGTTCACACCATTCTCCTGCCTCAGCCTCCTGAGCAGCCAGGACTACAGGCACTGGCCACCACGCCCGGCTAATTTTTTTGTATTTTTAGTAGAGACAGGGTTTCACTGTATTAGCCAGAATGGTCTCGATCTCCTGAACTTGTGATCCCCCCGCCTCGGCCTCTGAAAGTACTGGGATTACAGGCATGAGCCACTGTGCCCGGCCTCATGTTTTTATTCTTAAAATTTTTATTTGATTTTTCTGTGTGTCTTCTATTTTACTTCTATTTTTCTACCTTTTCTTTTGATTCAAGCATTTATGTAATTGCTCACTGGGGCCTTTTCATGGGATGTGCTTTAAAAATCTCTTTTTAGAGAGCCCTGGGTGGTGGGGTGAGCATGGAAGTCTGCCTCCCTGCCCCCTCCTTAGCTGAAGGTGGTGGGGATGGAGCCACATTTTTTTCCTGTGGTGTTTTCCTAGAGTTGGGTGGTTACTGTCTAAAAGTTTTCTGGCTTGTTAGGCTGATCCTTTAGTGGGGCTTTTTTTTTTTTCCTCTATTTCCATTACCATTTCCAGGTTGATTCTTCTTCAGCTCCAACTATAGAATACATGAGATGACAAAACCACCCAAGTCCCAGGGGCCTTAGCCAGCCTGCTTTTCTCTACCTTTCATATTCATCTTATGTTTGTTTTAAATATAACTTCCAGCATTGTTATCTACACTTAATAGGAGAAGCAGAGAAAGGTGTTTACTCCATTTTGTCTGGAAGTGGAAGTCCATTGTTTTTATTTTTTAAAGTATTTTATTTTACTTAGCAATCAGCAGTACATAGTAGTTTGACAAAGCAGAAAGTGCATGCATTTCCCTTTCAGTGTTAACTGTGAACACCTGGCTGTCTCTCTTCATGAATATTTATGGAGATAAGTGTTGGGCATTGTAGTAAGGCGAAAAGAGAGATGAAAAGATGAATGGATGAAGAGACAGAAAGAAAACTGGCATTGTTTAGTAATAAATAGGTTTAATAACAAAAAAATTAATGTTACTCAAATTTAAAAAGAAAAAGTAACTAGAGAACTAAAGAAATTGCTGTTCTTCAAGAGAACTATATTGAACAAGAGGAAATCCTTGTTTTGTAATATTTCTCTATGAGTGAAAGAAAGAAGGTAAGACAGTTATGAGAGACTCAGTATGTTTGTGTCCACATGATTAGACATTCAACCTTGCTTACATTTCTTCTCCCTCTCTTTTGTCCTCTATGGACTGTTTTTTAAATTGTTGTAAAATTATTTTTACTTTGTCAAGATTTACTTATTTAAATTTTTGTTCCGGACCCATATTTATTCCTGTAACTGTTTTTCTCAATTTAACATTTAAATTCTCATTATACCATGTGTTCTACATTGATCAATTAAATGGTTCCAACCACCCTCTTACAAGGACAAAAAAGAAAAAAATATGTCTGGTCTTAACAACAATGTAGTAAGCCAAGAAAGAAAAATAAAATGTATAAAGATTGGGGTAAAAAAACAGCCCTCATTACCATTCATTCTGTAGTAATTTTATTCCCTAGTTCTTCATTGTGATCCTCCCTTTTTTCTTGGGTAGGGGGGTGGATTTAAGTATCAAGTAGTTAAAATGTTCTCCTCTCAACCTGTATCTTGAATAATGAGAAGAAAAATGTTCTTCTCTTTGTCTTTGCACGTTTGAGAATCCCTACTAAATTTATTAGCTCCATAATACATTTTTGTTCTCAGAGTAATTCATAGCTTTTCATCTCTCTTTTTAAAAAAATCATGTTGGGTGGTGTGTATTTCATTAAATTCATGTCCTTATTGAATTACTCTATAGCACAAGCATTTTTAGAAGATTTCTTGTATTCCTTGGATCTTAGTTTTCCCAGAATGTGTTCTTCCTTGGATGTTTTTCATACCATGTTCTTTCTCTCCTGTATTGGTGTTATTTCTGTGCATAATGATAATGACAGGATCCTTTTTAAAAAATATTATTGATCCTAACGTGGCTGGTTTTAGCCAGACCTCTAATTGGCTGTGATTAGTACAGATGGGTTCTTGTAGACACTCCTCCAAAAATATTTGTGACATCTGTCTTCTAAGCTGCATCTAATGCATTTGATGTTGCATTCTCTGTTCCTTTTTAATAGCAGAGGCCTTGGGGTAGGGGATGGGAGAACCTGTCTAAGAAAACCTTTAGCTCTTTGTTGTAGGCCTGAAGACTGTTCTTTCCCCTCTCAACTTTGAATAAATACTCCTGGGGTCTCATTCTCCCAACTCTACATATTGCCTCAAAAATTGGCAAGCCCCTGGCAGCCCCTCCCAGTGTCTGCAGAAGAGTAGTGTATAAGGGCTTCTGCTCTTGATGGTGTATTTCCTTGATTTTTCCTCTCAAGCTGCCTACTCTACCTGCATCTCCCCATCTTTTAACAGTGCCTATTAAATGATGGCCCATCAATATTGTTACTGTAATTCCTAAACTGATTTTCAAAGCATTCTTATTTTTTTCTATCAGAGATAAATAAATCATTTAGGAAGAGATTCATTTGAACATTCTTGTTTATAAGCCAAAGGGTTTCCAAAGAGGAATAGTTTGAAGATTGACAAAAATGGGGATAATTTGTGAGAGTGAATGCCTGGAGAGTATCAGGGAACATCTAGAACATACAATAAGAGGATACATGGAAGGGCAACTTTTCCTTTGAGACAGGAAGGGAAAGACATATGGATGAAATGAGTGAAATTATACAGAGTTGGGATTTCCTCTTGATGGCTTCTTCTTCAGGTAACCACAGAGTCTGAGCACTATCAAAAATTCTTCCTGGGCCAGGCATGGACTCCTAGTGGATTGCCTGAGCTCAGGAGTTCAAGACCAGCCTGGGTAACATGGTGAAACCCCATCTCTACTAAAAATACAAAAAAATTAGCCAGGCCTGGTGGCATGTGCCTGTAATCCCATCTACTTGGGAGGCTGAGGCACAAGAACCACTTGAACCTGGGCGGCGGAGGCTGCAGTGAACTGAGATCGTGCCACTGCACTCTAGCCTGCGTGACAGAGCAAGACTCTGTCTCCAGAAAAAAAAAAAGGGGGGGCATGGTGGCCGGTGCCTGTAATTCCAGCACTTTGGGAGGCCGAGGCAGGTGGATCACCTGAGGTTAGGAGTTCAAGACCATACTGGCCAACATGGTGAAAAGTTGTCTCTACTAAAAATACAAAAAAGTTAGCTGGGTGTGGTGGTGGGCACCTGTAATCCCAGCTACTCAGGAGGCTGAGGCAGGAGAATCACTTGAACCCAGGAGGTGGAGGTGGCAGTGAGCCGAGATTGCGCCACTGCACACCAGCCTAGGCAACGAGAGTGAAACTCCATCTCAA
Organism: Homo sapiens; assembly: GCF_000001405.40. NCBI lineage: Eukaryota > Metazoa > Chordata > Mammalia > Primates > Hominidae > Homo > Homo sapiens. Next base: position 53,389,552 of record NC_000016.10, read on the forward strand.
AAACAAAACAAAACAAAACAAAACAAAACAAAACAAAACAAAACAAAACAAAAAAACTTTCTGTACATCTCCTCCACCTTTCCTGTGACTATCAGCTTTACACATTATGTCAGGAACATTTTCTGGATAGCTAAAAGGGGGTGAATATGCTTATATTTTAGGAGCCAGTGACATTCAAGAATGTTGTTGTAGACTTTACTGAGGGGGAGTGGAGATAACTGAGCCCTCCACAGAGGAATCTGTACAGAGAAGTGACACTGGAGAACTGTAGGAATCTAATCTATGTGCGTAAGAGCCGTTTTCTTTTGTTACTGAAAATCTTCCTATTTGAGGGTCTTTGCGTCCTCAGTTATTAACAGCCATGAGTCTTCATAGCATTTTACTCTGCTGGGCTTATATGGTCCTCAAAACCAAAGGTTATAAAATCTAGTTGGCCCCCAAGACACAAGATGTTCCTAATACATTTTCCCCAGGTAAATTGCCTTTATTTTTAAAGAGTTGATGTTAGGAGCTTTCTATACTACTCCTCCCTTAAACCTCACAGTAGCCATCATTCAGTGAGCCAAACTTTAAGGGGTTAGGGCTGAATTTTCAGATATTTGTTATATCTTTCTTTCCCCATGGGTGGGCTGTCATCCCTTCAAAGCCAGTGTTATCTCCCAGCTGGAGCTAGAAGAGTTGTGGATGATGGGCTGGGCACCCCTAACAGCCACTTGTCCAGCTGAGAAATAGAAGCATGATGTTCTTGGAATTGGTCAATGAAGAAGACATTTCTTACAGTGTTGTCTGAGGAATTCATCTCATAGTCATATCTATTTTCACTTATTCTTTATCTTTCTATCCTATTAGTTTCTCCTTCATATTTCTGAGAGGAAGATGTGTTCTTCCTTAACTAAGTTCACATTTCCTTTTGTTTTCAAACTTCCTTCCCTTCTTTTCTCACTCATCTCTTCCCACTCGTCTCTTTACTGTGGCTTGCAAGCATGATGACTCCTTCTCACTCCAGCATTCTCAGCTTTGTCTTTCACAGCCTCCTTTCTTTAGTCATTTAGCTTTTCATGACTCTTTCACCCAATAAATAGAAATTCACGTACTGTACATTGTCAGATCTCACTGCTTCAGAGCAAGATTTGGTTAAAACTTCCTAGAAAGGAGTTTAGCCACATGTATCAAGAGTTTTAATAATACCCTTTTAGTCATTCTTCTGACAGGACCCCTGTCTAGTAGATATCATAGAGGTCAACAATGAGTCATGAACAGTTCTGTTCCCTTGGCATTGTAAGTAACTGATTTCAATATCATGGCATTGTTTATGCAAATTATGAAATATCTACACATTGAAAAATTATAATGTTATTAGAAACATATTCACAGAAATTTTCAATGATGCGGATAGTGCATTATGTAAAGAAAGTAAACTATGAAATTTTAACTACACTTAAATTTAGCAATAGAAATACTTAAATCAAATAACACTTATTACATGTTGACTCTCCTCCCACCTTTAAATGCAGTTATTATGATATGCTATTAAGTGTAATTTTTCTCCTTATTTTATACCCAGGCATTTCCTAAGACTTGCTATTTCTGTCCCTCCTTCCTACTTCAGTGTACTGACATCCCTGTGTATTTTGGTTCTTTTGCCCCCATTTGTTCAGCAAACATTTATTGGGCACCATGCAGGAAAGGATCTAAAGGGAGCACTCCAGGATGTTGAGGGTAGAGATTGCTGGTGTTGAAGTTGCAAGTCATTTTTCTTTCCTTCTTTATTCTCTTTCATTTCTTCTAAACTTTCCACAATGGGCATATTTTCATTTAAAAATCTAACAGAAAGAAACACTCTGTATGATATATACTGTTACCATGTGCATTTTTCCATAATTCCTTGCTGATTAAATTTCTTTTTGCTTCTCAACCATCATTTTGGTTTCTAAATACTGTCCTTCTACTGAAATTACTTATTCAGAGGCAACCATTAGATTTCTTCTAAAAAATAGGCTAGGCTTTTTCCAGTTTTCTTCATCTTCAGTTTTTCTGACATACTTTGCCATTTTGATTATTGACTTTGGGTGTAATAAAAATGTATTGTGGAAATTTTAGAAAATACAAATAAGCAAAAAATAAAATTTGAAATCAGTGATCTCATGTCTTGGAGAGAGATAGCTCATGGGCATATGTTATGTTGTATTTATTATCTACTATCTAGAATAATCATTACTCATCATATAAAATAACTGATAGGCATTTAATTTTATGGATTTGCCATTACTGATGAAATTAGGTACCTGGGATTGAACATTTAGGTTATTGCCAATTTCTTTCCTTTATAAATGATACAGATTTAAACATCCTTGTAAATGTCTTGCACATTTGTTCCGTCAGAGCTTAGTATAAAATTCTTAGAAAATGAACTTTTTTGCAGCGAAGATTATGAATAACAATCACTTAAAGCTTTTGTTAACATGTTGTTGTTTTTTTTTCAGAAGGGCAATACTAGTTTGTTTACCTATCCCTCAGTTATACCTGCATGTGACCTGGAACACGTGGCAGTTCATGGTTTTTCATTATATTTTTATTACTGCTGAATTTTTACATTTTTCAATGTAGTTACTGACCCTTTACTTTTTATATTTTATAAGCTGTCTGATCTTCTCATTAGCCCATTTTTTTCATTAATGTGAAAATATGTTTTCAGGATACAGAGCTGCACTGTACAGTACTAATGCATTTGGCTCGTAAGGCAACTGAAACATGGCCAGTTCTCACTGGGACATGCTATGAGTATAAAATATACCCCAGATTTTGTAGACTTAGTAAGAAAAGAAAGACTGTAAAATATCTCAATACCTGTTATGCTGAATCCCTGTTTAAATGATAATATTTTGGATATATTGGGTTGAATAAAATATATTCTTTAATTTTACCTGTATTCTCTTACCTTTTTAAATGTGGCTACTGGAAAACTTAAAAATAAATATGCGCATCACAGCACTTGTGGCTCTCATTATATTTCTGTTGAAAAGCACTGATACAAATAGTCAATTCCTGTATATTTTGACTACTTTTGTCTTTTAGCTTTTTTTGAGTTCATTATTATTACAAAAATAAAACATGCTTGATTAAAACATTCAAACCATATAGAAATTCAAAAAAATACAAATCTGCTATAAAAAATCTTTCATCCCTCTGCAGTTCCAATGATAGCCAGTATTAAGCCATTGAGTACAGAATCTGGGATATGTTTTGCTTATCATAAGGTTTATGTGTGAAGTCACATTATCCCTAATTTTCTACCCTCCAGAGGACTAAAAACCCAGCCCTATCTTCTGAATTATTCCTTCCCTCCACCTAAGTTGTATAGGCCACTTAGCACCATGAGGATTTCTAAACTTTGAAAAGTAATGGCCTTGTTTTTTTCAGAAGAAAGCGATTTTATTATGATAGACCATTTTTTTCTAATACAATAATGAAACACTACTTATTTGTGTTAATGATACCAAGTTGAGTCTTCTACTCATCTGGGGCTTTGCTGATGCTAAGCACTGTTATGTATTGTTAAAAATGAAGCTTCTGTCTTTCCAAGAATTTGTCCTAGGCTCTAGCTAACTGCTAACTCAGTTGAAGTGGTATTGTATTTGGTGGTGACTATATCTTGTGCATTGGTTTGTATATTTAGTTTATTTATTCAACAGGGATCTGTTGTTCAATGTGGTTGATTTAAATTCCAAGCTTTAATTTTGTAATTTAAACAACATACATACACATGTGTGCTTGTAAAGACAGAAGTCTGCTATTGGTCAGAATCATATAGACTGTGTCACAGATAAGGAAGCACCTGCTACTGGTTGCTTCATTACTATGGAGAAGACCTTGCCAAGTAAGTGAAACAAGTAACGGATGGGTTTAGGATGCAGATTTGCCACTATTGCACAGGAGAAATCCCAGGTTCTATGTGGACGATGGGAATTTGGATTGAGCTGATAAGGGTCAGTCTAGGAAAAGTTCCCCTAACATTCTTCAGATTTTTCTTATTGCATACTTCACAACTTGTCTCAATTATTGGTCGAATCTATTTTTTTCTTCCTGATTTGAGATCCCATCTTTATCAAGTGCTGTATTTCCATTAATTCATTCAATAAATGTGTAGTGAGTCTTGCATCTGGAGATATAACAGTGAAGAAGACCTAAAAAGTGCTTTCTTTCAAAGAGCTTACATTTGATCTGGGGTAAAGGGGTGCAAAAATATGGAGGAGACAAACAATAAATAGAACTTTAGGTAATGATGACTGCCTTAGTGAAAACAAAATGGGATATTGTGAGAAAGTAACTACAGTGAGTGACTACTTAAGACTGGGTGGTAAGGGGGGGCTTTCTCAGATGGTATCATTTAAGGTGAAACATGAATGACAGAAGGGACCCGGCCTTTCAAAAACCTGGTATAAGAGTATTTCAGATGCTAAGGCAAGAGTAAGCTTGGTGAGGGTGGTACTAGAGTGCTAAGAAGTGAGATCCGGCCAGGCGCGGTGACTCACGCCTGTAATCCCAGCACTTTGGGAGGCTGAGACAGGCAGATCATGAGGTCAGGAGATCGAGACCATCTGGCTAACACGGTGAAACCCCGTCTCTACTAAAAATACAAAAAAAAATTAGCTGGGCGTGGTGGCGGGCGCCTGTAGTCCCAGCTACTGCGGGGTGGGGGCTGAGGCAGGAGAATGGCGTGAACCTGGGAGGCGGAGCTTGCAGTGAGTGGAGATCGCACCACTGCACTCCAGCCTGGGCGACAGAGCGAGACTCTGTCTCAAAAAAAAAAAAAAAGAATTGAGATCCAAGAGATAGAGAGGGATTGGGTCTCATAGAGCTATGGGAATTCAGGTGAGGATTTGAGATAGAAGGGAGACATCTGGATTATGGGGAGGCAAGAAGATCCTCAGGAGACCTTTTGGGGTAGTCTAAGTGAAAGATGATGAGGGCCAGGGAAGTGAAGACAGAGATAAATAGATTTAAGACACAACAGGGCAGGATTTGATAAAGTTGACAGGAATCTTCAATTATTAAATGTAGAAGGTAAGTTAAGAAAGGGATATAATACTTCTAAGGTTTTGGTTTGAGTAACTGTGGGGATAGTAGTGAAATTGACAGAAATGGGGAAGAACATAAGAACATGTTTTTGGGAGCTGCAAATCAAGAATTCTGTTTTGCACATGTTAAGTGTGAGATGTTCATTGTACATCTATATGAGTGTGTCAGATAAACAGTCGGGTAAAGGGCCAGAGTTCAGGAAAGGAGCAGGCATGGCGATGAATTTGGAAGTCCTAGTGATATAGATGGTAATTACAGCCACAGTACTGGATGCTGAATGAAATAGATAAGAGGGATTCCAGGACACACCTGTGGGTCAGCCCATTTGTCTGGGCCTTCTGTTATTCTGGGTTACCTCTAATCACTAGCTAAATTTCTTGACATTATTTCTTTTGGATCTTTATGCGTATATTTACCTTTCACCTGATTAAAAAACCTGCAGAAGCTTTGCATGGCACGTCAACATCTCCTGCAATTTCAGGGCTCTTTATAACCTGGCCTTCCATAATCTAGCCCTTTTCCATCTTAGCCAATCATCCTGACATCCTCTGTGGATACACTTCCTTGTGTTTGAGCCTGTTACGTGTCTTTCATCTTTTTCTGTTGTCTTAGAGTTGAATTTAGATTCCACTTTCCTCATGAAACATTTGACTTCTTCAGTCTAAACAGACCACTCACATCTCTAAACTATTACTGTAGTTACAGTCTTACATTTAAATACTTATTATTTTTTATTTTCACAGATTATAATAAACATGCTTTCTTTTCAGTCCAAAAGAAAAGTTATTTGAATAAAATATACATGTGGCTTACAATCATACATAGAAAAGCTCAATATCACTGATCATTAGAGAAATGCAAATCAAAATAACAATGAAAAACTCTATATCTAAATGGCCTAAGCATCCTTTAAAAAGGCAGAAATGGTTGGAATAGGTTAAAAACAACAAAACTACATGCTGCTTTTAAGAAATGAATTTTAAACATAAATTCACAAATAGTATAGACAAACATGAAAAAGATATGGCATGCTCATCTTAAAAGGAAGCTGGAGCAGCTATGTTAATAACAGGCAAAGTAGATTTCAGAGCAAAGAATATTGCTAGAGGTAAAGAAAGAAAAATGATATAATCATCTCAATCGATGCAGAAAGGCATTTGATAACATTTAACATCAATTCCTGCAAACAGTATTAGAAAGCATCTTCCTGAATCTAATCAAGGACATATACAGATAAAAGCTACAGTTAACAGCAGCTGACATTATTCTTAATAGTCAAAGAATGAATGCATTCCCCCTATGGTTAAAAAAAATGGATGCCTCTGTTCTATTCAATAGTATTGGAGTTTCTAGCCAATGCAATAAGGAAAGCAGAAGAAATAAAATACATGGAGAATGGCAGGAAGAAGTAAAACTGTCTTTATTTGCAGATTATGTGATTGTTTACATAGAAAATCCCATGGAATTTACAAACAGGCTGCCTGGCTTAGTGTTAAAGGCGTGCCCAACACATACCCAGAGGCCCTTGGCAAAAACTGGGAAACTTCGCTTCCCAGTGCTAAGGGAAATCTCTCCAGTCATTTGCTGACCACTAAGCGAACTGACCCAGGACTTCATTACAACAAAAAATACAGACTTTACAGATTTAGTTCAGAAATATTACTAAAACGATGCTAAATAATCACAGTAACAAAACCTGGGGCAGGTGGGCAAATCTGATTTCCAGAGTTGCCATGTAATTTAAAGTGTCCAGTTTCCAACAAAAATATATTAAGAAGCATGCAAGTAAATAAGAATATATGGCCCAAAAGGGGAAAAGCAGTCAGTAGAGAACTATTCTTGAGGAAATGCAGACATTGGACTGACTAGACAAAGACTAAGTTGGCTATTTTAAATCAGTTATTTCAAAGAGTTAAAGGAAACCATGTCAGAAGAACTATAGGAAAGTATGAGGGCAGTGTCTCACAAAATAGTAAATATTGGATCAGGAAAAATAATTAATCAGTACTAGGCCTAATACCTGGGTGATGAAATAATCTGTACAACAAACCCCCATGACATAAATTTACCTATGTAACAAATCTGCACATGTACCCCTGAATTTAAAGTTTAAAAAAAAGAAATAGAAAATATTTTTTAAAAAGAATAAAATAGAAAATCTGGAATGGACAAGCACAATAAATGAAATTAAAAATTCACTAGATGGGCTAAATAGCAGAGTTGAACAGTCAGAAAAAGAATTAGGGAACTTAAAGTTAGCTCAGTTAAGATTATATAATTAGAGATGATGGCCAAATAGGAACAGCTCCAGTCTACAGCTCCCAGCAGGAGCGACGCAGAAGACGGGTGATTTCTGCATTTCCATCTGAGGTACCGGGTTCATCTCACTAGGGAGTGCCAGACAGTGGGTGCGCGCACCATGCGCGAGCCAAAGCAGGGCAAGGCATTGCCTCACTCGGGAAGTGCAAGGGGTCAGGGAATTCCCTTTCCTACTCAAAGAAAGGGGTGACAGATGGCACCTGGAAAATCGGGTCACTCCCACCCGAATACTGCGCTTTTCCGAAGGGCTTAAAAAACTGCACACCAGGAGATTATATCCCGCACCTGGCTCGGAGGGTCCTACGCCCACGGAGTCTCCCTGATTGCTAGCACAGCAGTCTGAAATCAAACTGCAAGGTGACAGCGAGGCTGGGGGAGGGGTGCCCGCCATTGCCCAGGCTTGCTTAGGTAAACAAAGCAGCCGGGAAGCTCGAACTGGGTGGAGCCCACCACAGCTCAAGGAGGCCTGCCTGCCTCTGTAGGCTCCACCTCTGGGGGCAGGGCACAGACAAACAAAAAGACAACTGTAACCTCTGCAGACTTAAATGTTCCTGTCTGACAGCTTTGAAGAGAGCAGTGGTTCTCCCAGCACGCAGCTGGAGATCTGAGAACGGGCAGACTGCCTCCTCAAGTGGGTCCCTGACCCCTGACCCCCGAGCAGCCTAACTGGGAGGCACCCCCCAGCAGAGGCAGACTGGCACCTCACACGGCCGGGTACTCCAACAGACCTGCAGCTGAGGGTCCTGTCTGTTAGAAGGAAAACTAACAAACAGAAAGGACATCCACACCAAAAACCCATCTGTACATCACCATCATCAAAGACCAAAAGTAGATAAAACCACAAAGATGGGGAAAAAACAGAGCAGAAAAACTGGAAACTCTAAAAAGCAGAGCGCCTCTCCTCCTCCAAAGGAACGCAGTTCCTCACCAGCAACGGAACAAAGCTGGACAGAGAATGACTTTGACGAGCTGAGAGAAGAAGGCTTCAGACGATCAAATTACTCCGAGCTATGGGAGGACATTCAAACCAAAGGCAAAGAAGTTGAAAACTTTGAAAAAAATTTAGAAGAATGTATAACTAGAATAACCAATACAGAGAAGTGCTTAAAGGAGCTGATGGAGCTGAAAACCAAGGCTCGAGAACTACGTGAAGAATGCAGAAGCCTCAGGAGCTGATACGATCAACTGGAAGAAAGGGTATCAGCGATGGAAGATGAAATGAATGAAATGAAGTGAGAAGGGAAGTTTAGAGAAAGAAGAATAAAAAGAAATGAGCAAATCCTCCAAGAAATATGGGACTATGTGAAAAGACCAAATCTACGTCTGATTGGTGTACCTGAAAGTGACGGGGAGAATGCAACCAAGTTGGAAAACACTCTTCAGGATATTATTCAGGAGAACTTCCCCAATCTAGCAAGGCAGGCCAACATTCAGATTCAGGAAACACAGAGAACGCCACAAAGATACTCCTCGAGAAGAACAACTCCAAGACACATAGTTGTCAGATTCACCAAAGTTGAAATGAATGAAAAAATGTTAAGGGCAGCCAGAGAGAAAGGTCGGGTTACCCTCAAAGGGAAGCCCATCAGACTAACAGCGGATCTCTCAGCAGAAACTCTACAAGCCAGAAGAGAGTGGGGGCCAATATTCAACATTCTTAAAGAAAAGAATTTTCAACCCAGATTTTCATATCCAGCCAAACTAAGCTTCATAAGTGAAGGAGAAATAAAATACTTTACAGACAAGCAAATGCTGAGAGATTTTGTCACCACCAGGCCTGCCCTAAAAGAGCTCCTGAAGGAAGCGCTAAACATGGAAAGGAACAACCGGTACCAGCCGCTGCAAAATCATGCCAAAATGTAAAGACCATCGAGACTAGGAAGAAACTGCATCAACTAACGAGCAAAATAACCAGCTAACATCATAATGACATGATCAGATTCACACATAACAATATTAACTTTAAATGTAAATGGACTAAATGCTCCAATTAAAAGACACAGACTGGCAAATTGGATAAAGTCAAGACCCATCAGTGTGCTGTATTCAGGAGACCCATCTCACGTGCAGAGACACACATAGGCTCAAAATAAAAGGATGGAGGAAGATCTACCAAGCAAATGGAAAACAAAAAAAGGCAGGGGTTGCAATCCTAGTCTCTGATAAAACAGACTTTAAACCAACAAAGATCAAAAGAGACAAAGAAGGCCATTACATAATGGTAAAGGGATCAATTCAACAAGAAGAGCTAACTATCCTAAATATATATGCACCTGATACAGGAGCACCCAGATTCATAAAGCAAGTCCTTAGAGACCTACAAAGAGACTTAGACTCCCACACATTAATAATGGGAGACTTTAACACCCCACTGTCAACATTAGACAGATCAATGAGACAGAAAGTCAACAAGGATACCCAGGAATTGAACTCAGCTCTGCACCAAGCAGACCTAATAGACATCTACAGAACTCTCCATGCCAAATCAACAGAATATACATTTTTTTCAGCACCACACCACACCTATTCCAAAATTGACCACATACTTGGAAGTAAAGCTCTCCTCAGCAAATGTAAAAGAACAGAAATTATAACAAACTATCTCTCAGACCACAGTGCAATCAAACTAGAACTCAGGATTAAGAATCTCACTCAAAACCGCTCAACTACATGGAAAGTGAACAACCTGCTCCTGAATGACTACTGGGTACATAACGAAATGAAGGCAGAAATAAAGATGTTCTTTGAAACCAACAAGAACAAAGACACAACATACCAGAATCTCTGGGACACATTCAAAGCAGTGTGTAGAGGGAAATTTATAGCACTAAATGCCCACAAGAGAAAGCAGGAAAGATCCAAAATTGACACCCTAACATCACAATTAAAAGAACCAGAAAAGCAAGAGCAAACACATTTAAAAGCTAGCAGAAGGCAAGAAATAACTAAAATCAGAGCAGAACTGAAGGAAATAGAGTCACAAAAAACCCTTCAAAAAATTAATGAATCTAGGAGCTGGTTTTTTGAAAGGATCAACAAAATTGATAGACCGCTAGCAAGACTAATAAAGAAAAAAAGAGAGAAGAATCAAATAGACGCAATAAAAAATGATAAAGGGGATATCACCACCGATCCCACAGAAATACAAACTACCATCAGAGAATACTACAAACACCTCTACGCAAATAAACTAGAAAATCTAGAAGAAATGGATAAATTCCTTGACACATACACCCTCCCAAGACTAAACCAGGAAGAAGTTGAATCTCTGAATAGACCAATAACAGGCTCTGAAATTGTGGCAATAATCAATAGCTTACCAACCAAAAAGAGTCCAGGACCACATGGATTCACAGCCGAATTCTACTAGAGGTACAAGGAGGAACTGGTACCATTCCTTCTGAAACTATTCCAATCAATAGAAAAAGAGGGAATCCTCCCTAACTCATTTTATGAGGCCAGCATCATCCTGATACCAAAGCCGGGCAGAGACACAACCAAAAAAGAGAATTTTAGACCAATATCCTTGATGAACATTGATGCAAAAATCCTCAATAAAATACTGGCAGACCGAATCCAGCAGCACATCAAAAAGCTTGTCCACCATGATCAAGTGGGCTTCATCCCTGGGATGCAAGGCTGGTTCAATATACACAAATCAATAAATGTAATCCAGCATATAAACAGAACCAAAGACAAAAACCACATGATTATCTCAATAGATGCAGAAAAGGCCTTTGACAAAATTCAACAACGCTTCATGCTAAAAACTCTCAATAAATTAGGTATTGATGGGACGTATTTCAAAATAATAAGAGCTATCTATGACAAACCCACAGCCAATATCATACTGAATGGGCAAAAACTGGAAGCATTCCCTTTGAAAACTGGCACAAGACAGGACTCTTCTCACCACTCCTATTCAACATAGTATTGGAAGTTCTGGCCAGGGCGATTGGGCAGGAGAAGGAAATAAAGGGTATTCAAATAGGAAAAGAGGAAGTCAAATTTTCCCTGTTTGCAGACGACATGATTGTATATCTAGAAAACCCCATCGTCTCAGCCCAAAATCTCCTTAAGCTGATAAGCAACTTCAGCAAAGTCTCAGGATACAAAATCAATGTACAAAAATCACAAGCATTCTTATACACCAACAACAGACAAACAGAGAGCCAAATCATGAGTGAACTCCCATTCACAATTGCTTCAAAGAGAATAAAATACCTAGGAATCCAACTTACAAGGGATGTGAAGGACCTCTTCAAGGAGAACTACAAACCACTGCTCAACGAAATAAAAGAGGATACAAACAAATGGAAGAACATTCCATGCTCATGGATAGGAAGAATCAATATAGTGAAAATGGCCATACTGCCCAAGGTAATTTATAGATTCAATGCCATCCCCATCAAGCTACCAATGACTTTCTTCACAGAATTGGAAAAAACTACTTTAAAGTTCATATGGAACCAAAAAAGAGCCCGCATCACCAAGTCAATCCTAAGCCAAAAGAACAAAGCTGGAGGCATCACACTACCTGACTTCAAACTATAGTACAAGGCTACAGTAACCAAAACAGCATAGTACTGGTAGCAAAACAGAGATATAGATCAATGGAACAGAACAGAGCCCTCAGAAATAATGCCGCATATCTACAACTATCTGATCTTTGACAAACCTGAGAAAAACAAGCAATGGGGAAAGGATTCCCTATTTAATAAATGGTGCTGGGAAAACTGGCTAGCCATATGTAGAAAGCTGAAACTGGATCCTTTCCTTACACCTTATACAAAAATCAATTCAAGATGGATTAAAGACTTAAACATTAGACCTAAAACCATAAAAACCCTAGAAGAAAACCTAGGCATTACCATTCAGGACATAGGCATGGGCAAGGACTTCATGTCTAAAACACCAAAAGCAATGGCAACAAAAGCCAAAATTGACAAATGGGATCTAATTAAACTAAAGAGCTTCTGCACAGCAAAAGAAACTACCATCAGAGTGAACAGGCAACCTACAAAATGGGAGAAAATTTTCGCAACCTACTCATCTGACAAAGGGCTAATATCCAGAATCTACAATGAACTCAAACAAATTTACAAGAAAAAAGCAAACAACCCCATCAAAAAGTGGGTGAAGGACATGAACAGACACTTCTCAAAAGAAGACATTTATGCAGCCAAAAAACACATGAAAAAATGCTCACCATCACTGGCCATCAGAGAAATGCAAATCAAAACTACAATGAGATACCATCTCACACCAGTTAGAATGGCAATCATTAAAAAGTCAGGAAACAACAGGTGCTGGAGAGGATGTGGAGAAATAGGAACACTTTTACACTGTTGGTGGGACTGTAAACTAGTTCAACCATTGTGGAAGTCAGTGTGGCGATTCCTCAGGGATCTAGAACTAGAAATACCATTTGACCCAGCCATCCCATTACTGGGTATATACCCAAAGGACTATAAATCATGCTGCTACAAAGACACATGCACACATATGTTTATTGCGGCATTATTCACAATAGCAAAGACTTGGAACCAACCCAAATGTCCAACAATGATAGACTGGATTAAGAAAATGTGGCACATATACACCATGGAATACTATGCAGCCATAAAAAATGATGAGTTCATGTCCTTTGTAGGGACATGGATGAAACTGGAAATCATCATTCTCAGTAAACTATCGCAAGAACAAAAAACCAAACACCACATATTCTCACTCATAGGTGGGAATTGAACAATGAGAACACATGGACACAGGAAGGGGAACATCACACTCTGGGGACTGTTGTGGGGTGGGGGGAGGGGCGGAGGGATGGCATTGGGAGATATACCTAATGCTAGATGACGAGTTAGTGGGTGCAGGGCACCAGCATGGCACATGTATACATATGTAACTAACCTGCACATTGTGCACATGTACCCTAAAACTTAAAGTATAATAATAATAATAAAAAGATTATATAATTAGAGTAACAGAAAGAAAAAGATAATGATTGAAAACTTCCAAAATTTGATTTTTTAAAAACACAAAAAGCTGAACAAATTCCAGAGAGGATAAACTCAGAGGTACCTCATGATAAAAAATTTGATAGACGTAACATCATACAAAGTATGGTTGAAAACACCAAAAGCTCAACAAATTCCAGAGCGGATAAACTCAGAGATACCTCATGATAAAAAATTTGATAGACCTAACATCATACAAAGTATGTTCTCCAACCACAGTGGAATAAAATTAGGAAACAATGACAGAAGAAAAGTAGAGAAATTCATAAATATGTAGAAATTAACCAACACACTATTCAAAGGACAGTAGGTCAAAAAAAAATTAACAAAGGAAATTAGAAAATACCTAGAGATGAAGAAAAAGAAAACACAGCAAAACCTATGGGATGCAGCTAAAGCAGTGCTTAGCATGAAACACACAGCTGTAAGCACCTATGTGAGGAATAAATCACCAAAATCTCACTACAAGAAAGTAAAAAAGAAAGGTCAACTAAACTCAAAGCAAATAGAAGGAAATAGTAAAGATTAGCGTGGAAGTAAATACATTGGAGAATGGGAAAATGTAGAGAAAATCAACAAAGTAGTACTTTGTACTTTGTAAAGATTAGGAGAATTGAGAAACTTATAGTTAGACTCCAAGAAAAGTAGAGAGAGCAAAAAAAGAGAGAGAAGGAAGGGAGACAGAGATGGAGAGAGAGGGAGAAAATATTCAATTACTACAACTGGGAATAAAAGGACATTACTGCTGACCTCAGATAAATAAAAGGGTTATGAGGAAATAAAATTAACAGTTGTATTACAACAAATTAGATAACATAGATGAAATGGAAAAACTGCTAGAAACACAAACTACCAAAGCTGACTAAAGAAGTAATAGAAATTTGATTCGTACATCTATTTTGAAAAAGTTTGGCAGTTTTTCTAAAGAAATATGATCTAATCATTCCATTCTTAAGGATTTAGCTAAGAACAATATATGTTCATACAAAGATTTATATATTAATGTTCATTGCAACTTTATTGTAATAGCCAGAAAGTGAAAACAACCCAAATTTCTATCAACAATTGAATGGATGTGTTATATTCATACTTAATACTAAGCAATAAAAAAGGAATGAATCAATGCTACAATATAGATGAATCTGAAAATAATTATGCTGGATGACAGAAGGCAGAAAAAAGTACACATAATGCATGATTTCATTTATATACATTTTAAAGAATGCACAATTTCACAGAAAGCAGATCAGCGATTATCTGGAGTTAAAGAGTGGGACAGGGATGAGTGGGAAGAAAGAATTACAAAGATGCACAAGGAAAGTTTTTGGGGTGATTGAAATGTTTTTATTGTCCTGATGGTTTCATAGATATATACATAGACCAACCTATCAAACTGTACACTTTAATTAGTTCACTTTATTGTATTTCTCTTGTGCTTCAATAAAGCTGTTTAAAAATGACATATGCATGATTCAATCAGTAGCTGTAGAAATGCTCATTTTTAACTGACCTTTTAGAAACCATCAAATGTATGTTGGGTATGGCTGTCTGTGCCTGTTTTAAGGTTTTTCGTTTCTCTCTCTCTCTCTCTTTTTTTTTTTTTTTTAAGAGGCAGTCTTGCTCTATCGCTCAGACTGTAGTGCAGTGGTGTGATCTCAGCTCACTGCAACCTCCTCCTCCCAGGTTCAAGGGATTCTCCTGTATCAGCCTCCCAAGCAGCTGGGATTACAGGCGCCCGCCACCATGACAGCTAATTTTTGTATTTTTAAGTAGAGACGCGGTTTCACCATGTTGGCCAGGCTGGTCTTGAACTCCTGACCTCAGGTGATCCACCAGCCTTGGCCTCCCAAAGTGCTGGGATTACAGGTGTGAGCCACCACGCCCGGCCTCATTTCTCTTCTTAATAAAGCATTGCTCAAGTAAAATCTCTGTATCATAATATCCGCCTATCAGACACTGCCTTCATCCTTTGAATCTTGGAACTTTTATCCTCAATTGGCCTAGATTATTGTACCAATTTCTCAGCCACTTTTCCTGTGTTCCTTTGCTTTAGTTTCATATGTGTTTTATTTTGGCACTAGAAATGATAAGAAAGCTAGGGCCTCCTGAGGGCAGGATTATATGAGACTTCAAATAACTTCAATAGAGTTAATGATAAAGGAAAATATAGAAAATAAAGAATTGATAACAAGTAGGGGAATACTGCCACCTTTGGACTAGAGAGAATAGTTATCTTTATTTTTCTTTTGTCGTGCCTTTTTGTGAATCTTGAACGTAATAAAAATATTTCTCATGGGCTGATATGCCTTTTTAATATACACTTTTATTTTAAGTTCAGGGGTACATGTGGAGGTTTGTTACATGCCTATGTAACATGTGTCATGGGGGTTTGTTGTACAGATTATCTCGCCATCCAGGTATTAAGTCTAGTACCCATTAGTTATTTTTTTTTATTCTCTCCATGTATTCTCATCATTTAGCTCCCACCTATAAGTGAGAACATGCAGTGTTTCATTTTCTGTTCCTGTGTTAGTTTGCTAAAGATAATGGGAAGACAACCTAGGCAATACCATTCAGGACGTAGGCACGGGCAAAGATTCATGAAGAAGATGTCAAAAACAATTGCAACAAAAGTACACATTGACAAATGGGATCTAATTAAACTGAAGAGCTTCTGCACAGCAAAAGAAACTATCAACAGAGTAAATAGATAACCTACAGAATGGGAGACAATTTTTGCAAACTATGCATCTAGTGAAGGCCTAATATCCAGCATCTATACGGAACTTCAAACTTACAAAAAAAAAAAAAAACCATCCCATTAAAAAGTGGACAAAGGACATGAACAGATACTTCTCAAAAGAAGAGATGTCTTATGAATTATAAGTGAAAATTCTTTGAGGTACTTCATTTTTTTACTTTCATTCCAAAGCTTGACAGATTTACCACTATAATATCTTGCTTTAGAATAACTTGTGTAATTGCCCATGAAATTCCCAATTTTTTAGTTAACTATATTTAAAAATCCACATAAATATGCATGTAGCAAATGACTTTTTTAGTTATTCAGAAATTCTACAATAATTTTAAATATAACACCATCTCATGGATGTATCGATATAGGATCAGAAATATTTTTGTGTATGTTTCATACATGGTTGAATAAGACTTCATATATCTGAGTACTCCAGGACTTTAATAATTTAATAAGAATGTATAGACATTGTGGCTGTAGGCCATACTTCCCTTTTGTCCACAGTCACTGACACATTTTCTTATAACTTGGGTACAACAGGTTCCCCACCTTTCCTTAAGAACTCTTATCTTTTAGGGGGGTACACAATGATTATTTACTAATTTCTACACTCTTTATAACTTGTTTTTGCTGTTTTGTTGTTTTTACAAGTAGTGTCAGTATGTTTTAAAAACACTAGAGAATGGGAACACACCTGTGTCTCTTGCCCCTCCTTTGATTCATTCATTTAGTCATGCAGTAAATATCTGAGTGCCATCTGTATGACAGGAACCCTTCAGGAAATATAGTTATGAAGCTACACAGGTAAAGCCACCGTCCAGATGAAGCATATTTTCTAATGAGAGACAATAGACAGTAAGCAAGTAAATAAGTGGATATGTGATAGAATTTTTGGTAGTAATAAGTGCAAAGGAGAAAAAGCAGAGTGAAGAGACTGGGTATGGCCAGAGGGGCTTTTTTTTTTTTTTTTGCTAGAGTGTTCTAGGAAGTGCTTTTTAAAGAGATACTTCAGCATAGACCAGAATTAAGTAAATGAAGGAGCCAAGGGAAAATCTAGGAGAAGAGTAAGCAACGTCAGAAGGCCAGAATAGAGGAGAGTGAGCAGCACAAGAGGAAATGAGCATCAAAGTGCATAGACACCGGATCCCTGCAAGCATTTGCATTTTGTTCCAAGTGGTATAGAAATTTTGCCATTACATCTGAGCTCTACATTAAATGATCACATTAGCTGCTGTATGAATAGGCTGCAGGGAGGCAAGAACAGAAGTAAATAAAAACCAATTAAGAAACTATTCTAATTATTCCAGGCAAGTGGTAATTATAGCTTGGTTAAGGATGCGAGTGTCAGAAATAATGAAAAGTGGCAAGATTGGGAATATATATTAAAGTTAGAGCAGATAAGAGTTTTTCATGGCTTGGCTATGCAGGGGTATGGGAAAGTGGAAAGAATTGTAATTTTTAAGTATTTTTGTCTCAGCAGCTAGAAGCTGACATCAACTGAGATGGATAGGACTAAAGGAGGGGAATGTTAGTGAAAATGGATTGCTGTAATCAAGAATTTGTTTGGGAGCATATTAAGCATAAGGTTCCAATTAGAGATTTCAGTGGACATTTTGAGTTTTGGTGGGAATTCAACAATGGAATACAGAGAAGGAATGATAAATTTGGGGTGTGTTCTGTTCATATGCATGCTATCTAACTAATGCCTGTGACTAGATAGAATCACTTATTAACACGAATATGAATAGCAGAAAGATCATTAACAGGAACTAAAGATTAATGTTTTCTTATGTTAGGAGGTTGGGTGAAAGAAGAAGAACAAGCCCAGCAAAGTGCCTGAGAAGGAAGGTATGAAAACTTGGAGAGTATTATATCTGCATCCTGTTTCCCCTGTCCTCTTTCCTTCAAATGAAGGATAAAGACACAGGGATGTCTTTGGCCTATGGATGTCCAGTTGCACCATCACCATTTACTGAAAAGGCTATACTTCTTCTATTGAGTTGCTTTTGCAACTTTGCCATGTCAAGTACTGTCAACAAATTTAAGAGGAAAAGAATTGTCCATTAGATTTCTCAAGGTGGAGGTCACTTGTGACCTTGGCAAAAATGATTTCAGATGAGTTGTGGGGACAAAAATCTTAGAGTAGACTCAAGAGAATTGAGAGATGAGTCATATAATTTTTTCTACAAAGGAAAGTAGGGTAAAAAATTGATAACTTGGATTAATACAGAGAGGTGCATATGTATGTGTGTGTTTGTGCATGCACACCTGTGTGTTTTGGTGGAGATAGTACATATGGCATGCTTGTGAGGTGATTGGAATGGTGCAGGAAGAGAAAAAAATGAAGATGCCAGAGAAAGGGAAACTATTATAGAAACAAAGTATTTGAGTGAGTGGAAGGGGATGAGATCTAGTGCACAAGGAATTATCAAAGGCCTTTAATACATTGTAGCAGCAAAGGTGGCTGAGAATATACATACATACACACAAATAAATATGGATATATATACACACACATATATACGTATATTCCTCATAAAAGACTAAGAAAAGCTGGATGATCTTATCAACAGATGCAGAAAAAGCTTTGAACAAAATTCAACACCACTTGTAATTAAAATATCTAAAGAAACCCACTCAACTACAAATAGACAGGAACTTCCTGAATAAAGTATGTGTATGATGTCTGTGGCTAATGTTAGAATTAATAGCAAGAGACTTAAGTATTTGCCTTCTAAGATTATTAAGAAGTCAAGGCCGGGCGCGGTGGCTGAAGCCTGTAAGCCCAGCACTTTGGGAGGCCGAGGTGGGCGGATCACAAGGTCAGGAGTTCGAGACCAGCCTGACCAACATGGTGAAACCCCGTCTCTACTAAAAAGTACAAAAAATTAGCTGGGTGTGGTGGCAGGTGCCCGTAACCCCAGCTACTCAGGAGGCTGAGGCAGGAGAATCCCTTGAATCTGGGAGGCGGAAGTTGCTGTGAGCTGAGATCGCGCCACTGCACCCCAGCCTGGGCGACAGAGTGAGACTCCGTCTCAAAAAAAAAAAAGAAGTCAAATATGTCCTCTCTAACTCCTCATACTCAACATCATACTGGAAGTCTTAGCCAGGGAAATAAGACAAGAAGAAAAATTATATAGATTGGAAAGGAAGAAGCCAATTTTTATTCACAAATGAAATGATGGTCTATGTAGGAAATTGAAATGAATGTAACTTCTGGACCTAAGTGGGTATATCAAGGTCACTAGATACAAGTATAACATACAAAAGTCAATTGTTGTCATATATAACAAAGAACAATTAAAATTTGAAATTTAATTTAGAAAACATTATTTAAAACAGTACACACACACACAAAAATGAAGTATTGAGGTATAAAGCTGAAACGTTCGTTTACAGTGTCTGTATGCGAAATACTACAAAACACTGATGATGGAAATCAAAGAAGATCCGATTAAATGGAAATGTAGTCAATATTCGTATACTGGAGGAATTGATATTGTTAAAATACCAATTCTTTCAAACTTGTTCTATAGATTCAACACAATCCTAATCAAAATTCAGGAAAGCTATTTTGAAGATATTGGCAAACTTACTCTGAATTTTTTTATAGAAAGGCAAAAGACCAATGCAACATTAGAGAAGAACAAAGTTATAAGACTTGCATTACCTGACATTAAATACATCACAATGTTCTATAAATCTAAAGCAATCAAGGCAGCATGGTATTGGTGAAAGAACAGACACACAGATCAGTGGGACAGAATAGAGAGACCAGAGACAGACTCACAAATATAGTCAAATGAGATATATATGTCTATATATATATATATATATAACAAAGGCAATTCAATGAAGAGAAGATAGTCTTCTCAACAAGTGGTGCTAAAACAATTAGATATACATACGTCCTCTCCCCTAAAAAATGAACCTAGACACACATCTTATACCTTACACAAAATTAACTCAAAATGTATTATAAATTAAATGTAAAATGCACAGCTATACCACTTGTAGAAGAAAACACAGGAGAAAATCTATGTGACCTTGTTGGATATTTGTACCTTGATGAAATTTTAAGTACAACCCCATGAAACAAAAAATTGACAAAAGCTTTATTAAAAGAAAAAAAGCCCTTTTACTTTGTGAAATATTATGTTAAGAAGGTCAAATGGCAAGTCATAGACTGAGAATATATTTTCAAATCACAAAAGACTTGGGTTCAAAATATACAAATGACTCTTAAAATTCAACAATAAGAAATTAAGCAACCTAATTATAAATGAGCAAAAACCAGTTGATCTTTGACAAAGTTGCAAAAGCAGCTCAATAGAGGAAGGATAGCTTTTTCAGTAAATGGTGATGGTGCAACTGGACATCCATAGGCCAAAAATTGAACCTCAGCCTGAACTTCACATTTTTACAAAAATTAACTAAAAAATGGATTATGTACTTAAATGCAAAACTAAAACTACCAAACTTCAGAAAAAACAGGAGAAAAACTGCATCTAGGGCTAAGTAAATAGCCCTCTTATTTTACACCAAAAGCATGAACCATTGAAGGGAAAATGGCAAGTTGGACTCCATCAAAATTAAAAGTGTTTGCTCTGTGAAAGACTATGAATAGGAATAAAAATAATTACAGACCACTAAAAGTATTTGCAAGCCAATATTCACAAAAGAACTCATGTATAGAACATATAACAAATTCTAAAACCTCAGCAGAAAAATAAATAATCCAATTAGAAAATGTGAAAAAGACATGAAGAGATATTTCACTTAAGAGGATATTCCGATGGCAGGTAACCATGTGAAAAGATGTTTCACATCATTAGCCTTTAGGTAAATGCATTAAAGTGACAATTAGATATCATTACCTATCACAATAAAAAATAGCAACAATAAAATGTTGGCGAGGATGTGGAGAAACTGGATCACCCATACATTATTGATGAGTTTGGCAATTCCCTACAAAGACAAAATGTTCTGTACCTTGACTGCATCAACTTAAATATCAAGTTGTGGTATTGTACCATAGTTTTACAAGTGTTACCATTGGGGGAAACTCAATAAAGGCTACAGAGGATCTCACTGTACTATTTCCTACAACTTCATGTGAATCTACAAAATTTTATCTCAAAATAAAAATTTTATTTTTAAAATGGGCAAAATATCTGAAGAGACACTTCATCAAAAAAGATATACAGGCTGGGCGCGGTGGCTCATGCCTGGTAATCCCAGTACTTTGGGAGGCCGAGGCGGGCGGATCACGAAGTCAGGAGATCGAGACCATCCTGGCTAACACGTTGAAACTCCGTCTCTACTAAAAATACAAAAAATTAGCCGGGCGTGGTGGCGGGCGCCTGTAGTCCCAGCTACTTGGGAGGCTGAGGCAGGAGAATGGCGTGAACCTGGGAGGCGGAGCTTGCAGTGAGCCGAGATCGCACCACTGCACTCCAGCCTGGGCCACAGAGAGAGACTCTGTCTCAAAAAAAAAAAAAAAATACAGACAACAAATCAGTATATAGAAATTTGCTAAATATCATTTTTTTGGGAAATTCAAATTAAATCAACAATGAAGATACTACTACACACCTATCAAAATTGCTAAAATCCAAAATCAGGAAAATTGCAATTGCTATTATTAATAGTTAATCTGTGGGGTGCTGGAAACTCTCATGTATTGCTTGTGGGAAAGCAAAATAGTACAACCACTTAGGATAGCAGTTTGGCAGCTTCTTACAAAGTAAAACATAGTCTCATCACATGATCCAACAGTAGAGTGTTCCTAGGTATTTGCATACTGATTTGAAAACTTACCAGCGCACAAAACCTGTACACAAATGCTTATAGCAGCCATATTCATATTCACCCAAAACTGGAAGCAAATAAGATGTTCTTCAATAAGTGAATGTGTAAACTAACTGCAGTACATTTCTACAAAAGAATACTAGTCATTAACAAAAAGGAGCATCATGCAAAACATGGATGAATCTCAAATGCATATTTCTAGGTGAAACAAGGAAGTTTGAAAAACCTACATACATCAATTGGAATGACTGATTCCATTTATATGATATTCTGGAAAAGGCAAACTATAAAGATCATTGTTGCCAGAGATTTGGAGGAGAAAAGAAAGATAAAGACTGGGTGCGGTGGCTCTCAGTAATCCCAGCACTTTGGGAGGCTGAGGCGGGTGAGTTGTCTGAGGTCGGGAATTCGAGAGCAGCCTTGCCAATATGGCGAAACCCCATCTCTACTGGAAAAAAAAAGAAAAAATTGGCCAGGCATGGTGGCACACACCTGCAGTCCCAGCTACTCGGGAGGCTGAGGCAAGAGAATCGCTTGAACCCAGGAGGCAGAGGTTGCTGTGAGCCGAGATGGCACCATTGCCCTCCAGCCTGGGCGACAGAGCAAGACTCCATCTGGCCTGGGCAACATGGTGAAACCCGGTCTCTCTCGTGTGTGTGTGTGTGTGTGTGTGTGTGTGTGTGTGTGTGTGTGTCGCGGAGTTTCACTCTTGTTGCCCAGGCTAGAGTGCAGTAGTGGCGTGGTCTCCACTTGCCACAGCCTCTTCCTCCCGGGTTTGGGTGGTTCTCCTGCCTCAGCCTCCCGAGTGGCTGGGATTGCAGGCATGAGTCACCATTCCTGGCTAATTTTGTATTTCTTTTTTTTTTTTTTTTTTTTTTTTTTTTTTGGTAGAGACGAGGTTTCTCCATGTTGGTCAGGCTGGTCTCAAACTGCCGACCTCAGGTGATCCGCCCGCCTCGGCCTCCCAGGGTGCTTGGATTGCAGGCGTGAGCCACCATGCCCTGCTAATTTTTTGTTGTTGTTGTTAGAGACGGGGTTTCTCCATGTTGGTCAGGCTGGTCTCAAACTCCCGACTTCAGGTGATCCGCCCGCCTCGACCTCCCCGGGGTGCTGGTGAGAGGTGACAATGTGCTAGTAGCCCTCGCTCACTCTCAGTGCTTCCTCAGCCTGGGTGCCCGCTCTGGCCGAGCTCGAGGAGCCCTTCAGTCCGCCACTGTGCTGTGGGGGCCCCTCTCTGGGGCTGGCCGAGGCCCCAGCCGGCTCCCTCTGCTAGGGAGGAGATGTGGAGGGAAGGGCACTGGCGGGAGCCTGGGCTGCGCTCCGCTGGGCTTGATCCTGGACAAGCTCCCTCTGAGCTGCTGGAGTGCCGGGCTAGGTGCCACAAAGTCCTGTAGCGAGTGCCATTGAGAGGTGAAGCGGCTGGGCTTCTGGGTCTGGTGGGGACCTGGATAACTTTTCTGTCGAGCTAAAGGTTTGTAAACGCACCAATCAGCACTCTGTGTCTAGCTAAAGGTTTGTAAATGCACCAATCAGCACTCTGTGTCTAGGTAATGGCTTGGAGAACTTTTGTGTCTAGCTAAAGGTTTGTAAATGCACCAATCAGCGCTCTGCCAAAACAGACCAATCAGCTATCTGTAAAACGGACCAATCAGCTCTCTGTAAAATGGACTAATCAGTAGGATGTGGGTGGGGCCAGATAAAGGAATAAAAGCAGTTCACGGAGGCAGCAGCGGCAACCCGCTTGGGTCCCCTTCCAGGATGTGGAAGCTCTCTTCTTTTGTGCTCTTTGTCATAAATCTTGCTGCTGCTCACTCTTTGGGTCCGCACAGCCTGTATGAGCTGTGATAATCACCGCGAAGGTCTGCGGCTTAACTCCTGAAGTCAGTGAGCCCACGAACCCACCAGAAGGAAGAAACTCTGGACACATCTGAACATCTGAAAGAACAAACTCAGGACACACCATCTTTAAGAACTGGTAACACTCACCGCGAGGGTCGGTGGCTTCATTCTTGAAGTCAGTGAGACCAAGAACCCACCAATTCCGGACACACTGGGATTGCAGGTGTGAGCCACTGTGTCAGGCCTAATTTATTAATCAGAAAGGAATAAATCGGCCTGGCCTGGTGGCTCACGCTTGTGATCCCAGGACTTTGGACGACCAGGCATGGAGGATCACTGGAGCCTAGGAGTTCCAGACCAGCCTGGGCAACATGGTGAAACCCGGTCTCTCTTTTTTTTTTTTTTTTTTTTTGAGGTGGAGTTTTGCGCTTGTTGCCCAACATGGAGTGCAGTGGCGCGGTCTCGGCTCGCCATGGCCTCCGCCTCCCGGGTTTGGGTGGTTCTCCCGCCTCACCTTCTCCAGTGGCTGGGATTAAAGGCCTGAGCCACCATGCCCGGCTAATTTTGTATTTTATTTTATTTTATTTTTTGGTAGAGACGAGGGTTCTCCATGTTGGTCGGGCTGGTCTCTAGCTCTCGACCTCAGGTGATCCGCCCGCCTCGGCCTCCCGGGGTGCTGTGATTGCAGGCGTGAGCCACCGCGCCCGGCCCATTTATTAGTAGGAAAGGAATAGATCGGCCTGGCATGGTGGCTCATGCTTGTGATCCCAAGACTGGATGGCCGAGCGCGATGGATTGCTTGAGCCTAGGAGTTCCAGACTGGCCTGGGAAACATAGTGAAACTCGGTCTCTTTTTACTTTTCTTTCTTTCTTTCTTTTTTTTTTTTTTTTTTTGGTTTGTTTGTTTGAGACGGAGTTTCGCTTTTGTTGCACAGGCTAGAGTGCAGTGGCGCGATCTCGGGTCACCTCAACCTCTGCTTCCCGGGTTTAGGTGATTCTCCTGGCTCAGCCTCCCAAGTAGCTGGGATTACAGGCATGAGCCACCATGACCGGCTAACTTTGTATTTTTTTTTTTTTTTTAGTAGAGACGGGGTTTCTCCATGTTGGTTGGGCTGGTCTGGAGCTCCCTACCTCAGGTGATCCGCCCGCCTCAGCCTCCCAAAGTGCTGGGATTGCAGGCGTGAGTCACCGGGCCTGGCCCGAAACCGGGTCTCTTAAGGGAAAAACAAAAACCACAAAGATTAGCCGGGCGTGGTGGGCCGCACAGGTAGTCCCAGCTACTCTGAAGGCTGATTGAGGAGGATTGCTTGAGCCCCGGGGGTCGAGGTGGCAGTGAGCTATGATGGCGCTGCTGCAGTCCAGACTGGGCGACAGAGCGGGACTCTGTCTCAGGAAAAGGGAAAGGAAAAAAAGAAAGTGAATGAAATTGCTAAGTCAAGGAAAAGCTTGACAGTATATTATTGAGAGAAATACAGGCAAAGGTTAGCAGACACCAATGTTCACTTAGTGGGAACTGCAGGTGTTCCCCGGACAGGAGGCTGCTACTTTTCCAAAAGAAATCTATTACTGACTATCAATAAAAAAAAATAGGTTTGTTACAGTATACAAATAGCTAAACTTTATATAGCCATGACCCTATTCTAGCACTGCTCTAAGCTTTTTCCTGCTCTGAAATAGCTACTATTGTTACCTCTTGTAGGGAAAACAGATCCCAGAGGTTGTTGTGGAAGGACCAAGGAAACTATGAAATTGACTTATTGTAAGTTTCAGACTTAAAGGTTCTTCCTGCTCTGCTCCTTAGTTGCCACATTTCAGTTAACATACCTCTTAAAATACTGGTACTTTCTATATTTGGAGGGATT
Organism: Homo sapiens; assembly: GCF_000001405.40. Classification (NCBI taxonomy): domain Eukaryota; kingdom Metazoa; phylum Chordata; class Mammalia; order Primates; family Hominidae; genus Homo; species Homo sapiens. Next base: position 53,415,237 of record NC_000016.10, read on the forward strand.
CGTCTTGCAATTCGAAGTTTGTTTTGTTTTGTTTTGTTTTTTGTTTTTTGCACTAAGCATTTGGTCATAAGATCACCTGGATTTTATGTCAGTTTAAGTACCTCTTTAGACATTATTCAGTTAGGAATGTAAGTAGGAGCTAGCATTGTGTGTAAAAGGAAAGAACAGCTGTTTACAAACCACTTTTGTTTCATGATACAAATATAAATCAGTATGTTACTGGAAATGCAGGCTGGGCGGGGAGGGAAAATACGCAGAGAGAAAAGCCCCATCTCTGCTTGGAGTTCAGCACCGGATCTCTTTTCCCTTCCACTTTCCTTGACAAGGCTGCCACAGTGACAGAAGCACACGGGGCTGCCTTTTAGTGACACCTGCTGGGACAGACCTGGAAGAAGGGATTGCTGATTTGCATGTTTCCTGGCTGCCTCTGCTAGCCCCTGAGTCAGCAGCCCACTCCAATTCATGCTGAGCTTGGACAGCTGAGGTTTGAAAAATTCCCCCTTCCCTTGGAGCAACCGTTTTCCAGCCTCCTCATCATTCCTGAAGGAGAGTGACCTACATGACAGATACCCAGAAATTTATAGAAGCTTCATAGTGAGGCTAAATCCTAAACAGGGGCTCAAACTGCCAACACCGAATGAAGAGAGAGGTTTTGCAGTAAAGCAGGAAGTCATTAAAATAATGAATCACCCGGCTGGGTTTTGAGCTCCTTTCCCACTAATTTATTGGAAAGATTTATTGTCTTTACAATGTACAATGCCCATCATCAGTTGAAAATAGAAGCTGAAAATGCATTTAAGGCTGGGTGCAGTGGCTCACACCTGTAATCCCAACTCTTTGGGAGGTTGAAGCGGGTGGTTCACCTGAGGTCGGGAGTTCGAGACCAGCCTGGCCAACATGATGAAACCCCATCTCTACTAAAAATACAAAAATTAGCCGGGCATGGTGGTGCACACCTGTAATCCCAGCTACTGGGGAGGCTGAAATAAGTTCATAAATTCAGCAGCTGTGAGGTAATTGGCCCAATTGCTATGCTACTTTCACCCCTTGAGGATGAACAGTGCACAGGAGAGTGCAGGTTTACAGGTCTCTGAATAGTGCCATCCAAAAATGGTGAACAACCACCCTGAAAAACAGCTTGGTGTTTTGTTTTGTTTTATTTTGTTTTCACAAATTAGAAACGTGCTTAACTATGTACCCACTAACTGCACTCCTGGCCACTTGCCCTAGAGAAATAAAAGTTGATATTCATGCAAAAACTTGTGCATGAGTTTTCACAGAAGCTTTATTTTTAACAACCAAACTATAAACCCAAATGTCCTTCAACAGGTGGATGGCTAAGCAAACCGTGGTACAGCCATACAATGGAATAGTACTTAGTAATAAGGAATGAACTATTGAATGATTTGCAATGACCTCAAAGGAATTAAACTTTAAAAATTTAATCTCAGGCCGGGTGCGGTGGCTCACACCTGAAATCCCAGTACTTTGGGAGGCTGAGGTGGGCGGATCACGAGGTCTGGAGTTCGAGATCATCCTGGCCAACATGGCAAAACCTCGCCTCTACTAAAAATACAAAAATTAGCCGGGTGTGGTGGCACCCGCCTGTAGTTCCAGTACTTGGGAGGCTGAGGCAGGAGAATTGCTTGAACCTGGGAGGCGGAGGTTGCAGTGAGCCAAGATCGTGCCACTGCACTCCAGCCTGGGCGATAGAGCCGAGACTCTGTCTCAAAAAAAGGAAAAAAAAAAAAAGGAGCTGAGAGTGCCTCCTGGGGGCACAAGGAAGGGACTGGCTGATAGCAAGGAGAGAAAGATTTCATCCTGGCTCAGGTAGAAGACTTTACATTTTGAATGATGACTGAGGAATCCGTCCTACCAGCTGTGGCCTGGAAGTCAGTCAAGCCCGGTGTTTAGCTTCATCAGTTGAGCAACTATTTAGTTGCTCAACTGTTCTCAGTTCTTGGGAGAGAAGAATGTTACTGCCCTCCTTAGCCTAAAACCTTAAGTGGCTTCTAATCATCTTTGGAATCAAGGCCGATATTTTCCCCAGGCCTTTGACTTCATCTCTACCCACATCTTGTGCCTTTTTCCTTTCACTTTTTACACTTAAACCACGTTCACATTCTTTTAACTCCCTGAACCAGCCATGCTTTTCCCTGATTCAGGCTCTTTGCATAATAAGCATGTTCCTCTACCCGAAACAAATCCTCCTCCCCTTCCTTTAGCTATAACTTCCAGATTCCTCCCCAGGGAAATGAAGGGCAAGAAAGAAAAACCTTTGTCCCCTCCTACCTACCCAATCACCCCCACCTCACTCCTCTCTCCTCCTCTCTCTCCTTTCTCTCCCTCTTTCTGTCTCTCCAACACACACACGGTTAAGGTCTTCTGTGATGCACTCCTATAGCTCCTATAGCTCCCTGAAGTTTCGCTTTTATGATATGTCGTATTCACATTTGCCAATTCTTGTTCTAGGTCTGTTTTCCCCATGAGATCACAGCTGTATAAGGGCAGGGACCATGCTTGTCTCATTTACTACTATATCCTGTGTCTGGCAAAGTATTTGACATATAGTAGGCACTTACTAAACATTTGTTGAATGTTTTAATGGATGGACAGCAGGCTTTCCGGCTAAATGAATGAATAAATGACTAATCAGACTCCAAGAACCAAACCTGTTAAACTCAATCATTAATGTTCATGCCCTCTACTCAAGGCGATGCCCTCACCCATGGCCTTTTTTTTTTTTTAAGTCAGGGTCTCCCTCTGTTGCCCAGGCTGGAGTGCAGTGGTGCGATCATAGCTCACTGCAGACTTGAACCCCTGGGCTCAAGCAGTCCTCTTGCCTCAGCCTCGCAAGTACCTGGGACCGCAAGCACGCACCAGAACGCTTGGCAAATTTTTAAAATTTTTTGTAGAGACGGGGTCTTGCAATATCGCCCAGACTGGTTTCAACCTCCTGGACTTGGGTGATCCTCCCACCTCAGCCTCCCAATGTTTTGAGAGTACAGGCATGAGCCACTGCACTGGCTACTCATGTCCTATTCATCCTTAACTTAATACATATTCCCAGACACTACTTTACTTACTCTGTTTGCAAGTAGCCCTCCCCACAATAAGAGACAGAAAAAAGAGTGTTACCAAGAGATCATATGGTGAGCCCAGGGAAAAGAAACATCTTACAGCTTGAATGCAAGAAGGAAGACAACAATAGGTAAAAGTGTCTGTGTTAGGCCATTTGTGTGTTGCTGTAAAAACAAACACCTGAGGCTGGGCACAGTGGCTCACGCCTGTAATCCCAGCCCTTTGGGAAGCCAAGGTGGTGGATCACTTGAAGTCAGGAGTTCGAGACCAGTCTGGCCAACATGGTGAAACCCCATCTCTACTAAAAATACAAAAAAAATTAGCCAGGCGTGGTGGTGCATGCCTGTAATCCCAGCTACTTGGGAGGCTGAGGCAGGAGAATCGCTTGAATCCAGGAAGCAGAGGTTGCAGTGTGCCAAGATCGCACCACTGAACTCCAGCCTGGGTGACAGAGCGAGATTCTGTCTCAAAAAAAAAAAAAAACAAAAAAACAACAAAAAAACCCGAGACTGAATAATTTGTAAAAACAGGTTTAGGGCAGGGTACAGTGACTCACACCTGTAATCCCAGCACTTTGGGAGGCCTAGGCGGGTGGATCACCTGAGGTCAGGAGTTTGAGATCAGCCTGACTAACATGGTGAAACCCAGTCTGTACTAAAAAAAAATACGAAAAAAAAATTAGCCAGCCTGGTGGCAGGCACCTGTAATCCCAGCTACTTGGGAGGCTGAGGCAGGAGAATCGCTTGAACCCAGGAGGTGGAGGTTGCAGTGAGCTGAGATCATGCCATTGCACTCCAGCCTGGGCAACAAAGCAAGACTCTGTCTCAAAAAAAAAAAAAAAAGAGGTTTAATTGGCTCACAGTTCTGCAGGCTGTACGAGTGCCAGAGGCGTTACAACCAGAGCAACTCCATCTTGAATAGGGGTTGGGTAAAATAAGGCTGAAACCTACTGGGCTGCATTCCCAGGAGGTGAGGCATTCTAAGTCACAGGATGAGATAGGTCAGCAGAAGATACAGGTCACAGAGACCTTGCTAATAAAACATGTTGCAGTAAAGAAGCCAGCCAAAACCCAACAAAACCAAGATGGCTATGAAAATAACCTTTAGTCGTCCTCACTGCTCATTATATGCTAATTATAATTTATTAGCATGCTAAAGATACTCCCACCAGTGCCACGGCAGTTTACAAATGCCACAGCAATGTCAGGAAGTTACCCTATATGGTCTAAAAGGGGGAGGAACCCTCAGTTCTGGGAATTGCCCACCCCTTTCCCAGAAAACTCATGAATAATCCACCCTTTGTTTAGCATATAATCTGGAAGTAACAATAAGTATAAGTAGCTAAACAGCCTGTGCTGTTTTTCTGCCTGTGGAGAAGCCATTCTTTTCTTTTATTCCTTTACTTTCTTTTTTTCTTTTTTCTGCAGGGGACAGAGTCCCGCTCTGTCACCCAGGCTGGAGTGCAGTGGCCCCATCTTGGCTCACTGCAACCTCCACCTCCCAGGTTCAAGTGATTCTCCTGCCTCAGCCACCAGAGTAGCTGGGAGTACAGGCACCCACCACCACACCTGGCTAATTTTTGTATTTTTAGTAGAGGTGGGGTTTCACCATGTTGGCCAGGCTGGTCTCAAACTCCTGACCTCAGGTGATCTGCCCGCCTCAGCCTCCCAAAGTGCTGGGATTACAGGTGTGAGCTACAGTGCCCAGCCTATTCCTTTACCTTCTTAATAAACCTACTTTCACTTTACTCCATGGACTCTCCCCAAATTCTTTCTTGTGAGAGATCCTGACAATGGGTTATTTTACGTAATTTGACTTAGAGTGTGAAGTTTAAATTGTATGTCTAAAGGGATCGGAATCCCTTTCCTGTAACACAAGCATGGCAGTGTCTGCTAGGATTCCGGGGAGGCCTCCAGGAACTGTTAAGCATGGCAGAGGTGAAGTGCAAGCAGGAACATCACATTGCTAGAACAGGAGCAAGAGAGAGGGGGTGAGGAGCCACGTGCTTTTAATTGACCAGATCTCATGACAACACACTCACCATCTGCAGGACAGCACCAAGCCATGAGGGCTCCGACCCGATCAGACTTCACCTCCCACCAGGTCCCACCCCTAACATTGGGGATTACATTAGACATGAGATTTGGGTGGGGACAAATATTCAGCTATATCAATGTCTAAAACCTCAGTGCTACAAAGCAGTTGAGGGTAGATAATACCATACCGTAATACCACACCACTCCAACATCCTTGTAGGCACCATAAGGCAATAATTGTTTTTTGTTTTTGTGTTTGTTTGAGATGGAGTCTTGGTCTGTCACCAGGCTGGAATGCAGTGGCCCGATCTTGGCTCACTGTAACCTCCACCTTCCGGGTTCAAGCGATTCTCATGCCTCAGCCTCCTGAGTAGCTCAGACTACAGGCGCGGGCCACCATGCCCAGCTAATTTTTGTATTTTTGGTAGAGACGGGGTTTCACCATGTTGGCCAGGATGGTCTCTAACTTGACCTCGTGATCTGCCCGCCTCGGCCTCCCAAAGTGCTAGGATTACAGGCGTGAGCCACCTCACCTGGCCATAATTGTTGTGTTTGTTTGTTTGAGACAGAGTCTCGCTCTGTCTCCCAGGCTGGAGTGCAGTGACGTGATCTTGGCTCACTGCAACCTCCGCCTCCTGGGTTCAAGCGATTCTCCTTTCTCAGCCTCCAGAGTAGCTGGGATTACAGGCATGCGCCACCACACCCAGCTAATTTTTGTATTTTTAGTAGAGATGGGGTTTTGCCATGTTAGCCAGGCTGGTCTTGAACTCCTGACCTCAAGTGATCCACCCGCTTTGACCTCCCAAAGTGTAGGATTATAGGTGTGAGCCACCGCACCCAGCCACAATAATTGTTTATAATGACACAAGGGCTAAGAAGGCAGTTTTTATGTACTTATTTATTTATTTTATTTATTTATTTATTTTTTATTCCCGATTGCCTGCATTTCCCTGTGTATGAAATTAGCAGGCGCTGGCTTGATCAGAGTGTGGGAGCCTGCCGAGCCTGCCCCCACCGGGAACCCGCGCTGGCCTACGAACCCCGCGCGCAGCCCCGGCTCCCGCCCATGCCTCTCCCTCCACACCTCCCGGCCAGCAGAGGGAGCCGGCTCTGGCCTCAGCCAGCCCCAGAGAGGGGCGCCCACAGGGCAGCGACAGGCTGAAGGGCTCCTCGAGTGTGGCCAGAGCGGACGCCGAGGCCAAGGAGGCGCCGAGAGTGAGCGAGGGCTGCTAGCATGTTGTCACCTCTCATTATGATAGTGGCAGTCTGGATCCGTGACCTTGGGAAAAGCTGTTCACATCAAGCATGACATCTTCCTTTGGGGAGAAATTTTCCTGGTTAGTTTTACCTTAAGGGTTCCAATGGGTGTGTACTTCTAAGAGTGTCGACGGACTCTTCTCAGTTGTAAGATTATGAACCCAGGTTTCAAGGTGTCAAAATTTTGTTGCAATGTGGATGGCAAGGACAGCCTTTCTCTGATGTCCTCAGAAGATCCAGTCTTCAAGTTCTAGATTGTGAAGGGGTTGATTGTCCTCAGTGAACCATAAAAAATCTTTCTTTACCTGATTAAAATATACTGTGGCATAATAATTTTTATAACCTAAAACATGCATTAAAAATGACAACTGAATGAAACTCCTTAATAAATGTTTAAGTGACCCATCAGGTAGCCAAATGTACCAGGTGGTTTTATTGTCTTCCCAGGAATATGGAACCAAACATTGGTTTTAAACTATTTTTGCATTTTATAAGTCACCACATTAATATATTTAACTGGGATTATTTTATTTTTTCCATCATGAGTCATGGAATGCAGAACCCTCAATAACAAAAAGCTTTAAGGACTCAGGAAGGACAAGGCAGCCACCCTGGTTCTCCATGAATCCATGCTTAACATTCAACTTATGTCCTCTTGAATACCAGTTGTTTCCCCAAATTAGGTGCATAGCACTAATAACTAATGAGTTATTATAGGTAATTTGACTTAGACTGTGAAGTTTAAATTGTATGTCTAAACAATTTCAATATCAGCTGGTTTAACATGAAAATTTGGCAAAGTATTTTCTTGGTATTTAATTAATTTTTTTGTTCTATTTAGGTTAGCAGTTTTATACAAGGAAATTTGGTTATTTCTGTGGTGTACAATAACTTTACATAATAACAATAATTATAATTGATAGCATATGCTTAGACATACTAGAATTTTATAAATTTCATACAATTTTGGAACATATATTAATATCATTTACTAAAATATAACCTGAAGATTAAACATTATTTTTATTTTGACAAAGCTTCCCATGTAATCTAACATGTCAAATAATTCTGTTTACCTGTCTTTTGGATGCTTCAGGGGCCCTCTGTAGCATTCCAAAGTTAAAGGTTAGAAAAGACCGTTTTGAAGCTGAAACTTGATTTTGGGAAGCATATTAAATATGATAAAAGTTTAAAACACTTGATATTATGAACAAGAATTCCAGGTCACCATAAGTCATTCATTTAGCCAAACTAATGACTCAAAAATTTTTAAAAGGCAAAAACTTTTACTCATTAATAAAGGGAAGGATTAGTTTTGCAAACAATCTGTCCTTTGTCTTTCCCTTCCTTTTTTTTTTTTTTTGGTGGAGCATTTAAAAGACAAACAAAAAAAATTGATTATCTTACTTTTAATATAACATGAAAATCTTGTTCAAGAGAGAAAGACGAATTTCACATTTGCATTAGTGGACTATTAATGTCAACCCCAATTTTTAGTAAAATTGTATAGACAAATCTATCCAATCTTAATCAGTTTGACCATAAGGCAAGATTTTCATAAACCTTTTATAACTCTTTACAAATTTTTGTTAAAGAGCAGATTAGTGCTTTAAGAAAACCTTGTTGTACTTTTATTTGGATGTTCAGTTTATGGAAAAATCTAATAATACCATTTTAAATTTAGTCAATATTTTCACACATAGAATTTCTTTTCTTTCCTTCTGTTTTTTTGGAGGCAGAGTTTCACTCTTGTCACCCAGGCTGGAGTACAGTGGTGCGATCTCAGCTCAACAACCTCTGCCTCCTGGGTCCAAGTGATTCTCCTGCCTCAGCCTCCTGAGTAGTTTGGACAACAGGTGTGCACCACCATGCCTAGCTAATTTTTGTATTTTTAGTAGAGACAGGGTTTCACCATGTTGGCCAGGCTGTTTGTAAACTCCTGACCTCAAGTGATATGCCTGCCTTGGCCTCCCAAAGTGCTGGGATTACAGGCATGAGCCACCACACTCAGCCAGAATTTCCTTTACAAGGTTAATTTTTACAAACCTTCCACAACTTGTTTAAGCCTATAGCTTTATTTTATTTAAAGCAATCCTTTAACCCTCTAAACTAGGAAACAATTTACATTCCCATGCCTTTGAATAATCTCTTACGAAAAACATTTTATTCTCCTCACACACCTTGCATGTAAACCTATTTTTTTTTTTTTTTTGAGATAAGGTCTCGCTCTTTCACCCAGGCCAGAGTGCAGTGGTGCGATCTTGACTCACTGCAACCTCCACCTCCTGGGTTCAAGTGATCCTCCTGCCTCAGCCTCCAGAGTGGCTGGGATTACAGGAGCCCATCACCACACTGGCTAATTTTTGTACTTTTAGTAGAGAGGGGGTTTCACCACGTTGGCCAGGCTGGTCTTGAACTCCTGAACTCAAGTGATCCTCCCACCTCAGCCTCCCAAAGTGCTTGGATTACAGATGTGAGCCACTGCACCTGGCCAACCTATACCTTTAGTAGTCTTAATTACATGTTATAATGGTAATTCTTAGCAACTTTCACTTTTGGTGCATAAATTTTTCTTCTATGAATCCTTTCATGACTTATACAGAACATCTATGACATGCTTGGACTTTCTTATTTGTCCTAAATATCCCTCTTTTTAAACAACCAGTCATTTTACTTTAGGACAAGAATTTACCATACCAGATCCTTTCTTCTATAAAATTTATTTTCTTTATAACCTTCTTTGCATAGTTAGGAGGTATGGCTAATTTCATATATCCCCAGGCCTTATTTAGAATTTAATATCTCCAAAATAAATTGAATGATTTTTTAAACTTAAAGCAGTTTATGACCTTAAAGCATTTAGCACACCTAATATCTGATCTGCATAATTTAGATTAATGTTCTTATTTTATTAATAATCTTTAAAGCTATTTTTATTTCCTAAAGATTGCTAAAGTTACATGAACTAAAAGGCATTAACATTTTAATTTTTCTTTTAAAACATTTAAGTGCTTATTTTTGCTTAAGCCAATTAGCTTTTATATAAACATTACACACACAACACATATATAACTACACAGACAGAAGAAGATTGCTACGGTAGTTGTAAGATTTTTCTTTGCCAGTTTTTAAGTTTTTTAATTGGTTATTGGCTTTAGGGTGGAGTCCTTGGAAGAACAGAGCCCAGAAAGGGTCTCTAGTGCCTCCTGTTTTTCCCAAGGTGTCCCAAGCTGTTAGATCTTGAATATCTACTTTTAATTAAGCTGACTTTTAACCACAGCACTATTTAGTAAAGTTCTTTTAAAATTTCTTATTACCTGACTTTAGCCAGACAAAATGGCCAGTATTTCTGGCTTTTAAACTTTACCAAAAGTAACCTCATAGGTGCTCTGAGAAAGGAAAAATCAAGACAGTTTATGGAGGGGAAGAGAACTAAAAAATGGCAAAGGTCACCCAAATATGAATCAGAAAGGCTTATCCCATAAGCTAGGGATTGAACCAGGCCACTAATGTGAAAAGAGCCCTCCTGGGGGTCCCTAGAAACTCTACTTCAGATCCCACTTCTGGCACCATCCGATGAAAGAAAAACTTCAGCCAAATTAAATTTAAAAGAGTTTAATTCAGCAATGAATGCTTCATGAATCAGGCAGCCCCCGGAATCACAGCAGATTCAGAGACTCCAGCGAAGCCACATGGGGGAAGAAGATTGATTTATAGGTAAAAAAAGGAAAATGATGCACGGAAATGGGAAGTGAGGTACAGAACAGCTGGATTGGTTACAGCTCAGCATTTGCCTTATTTAAACACAGTTTGGACCGGGCGCAATGGCTCATGCCTGTAATACCAGCACTTTGGGAGGCTGAGGCGGGTGGATCATGAGGACAGGAGATAGAGACCATCCTGGCTAACATGGTGAAACCCCATCTCTAATAAAAATACAAAAAATTAGCCGGGCTTGGTGGTGGGTGCCTGTAGTCCCAGCTACTCAGAAGGCTGAGGCAGGAGAATGGTGTAAACCCGGGAGGTGGAGCTTGCAGTGAGCCGAGATCGTGCCACTGCACTCGCAGTTTGAACACTCAGCAGTGTATGAATGATTGAAGTAGAGCTGCTGGGATTAGCCAAGACTCAGCTGTTGTTCCAGGCACATACTCCTAAATTAGGTTTTCAGTCTTGTCTATCTATTAGTCTAGTTTGCAGTTTGTCCACAACAACTCAAATATAGGAGTACGGAGTCCTTTTCAGGCCATATTTGGTTCGCTTTAACAAACTACAGTTTATGCTGGTAGCAACCCATCTTTTAAAAAATATGTCTGTGGGAGACACATAAAAAATTGCAAACACAGTTGAAGGCATAGTTTTAATAATAGTTATCTGATAACTCAGTCTGAGAGAGAATAACACATACAGTTTCATGGTCACAGGGAATGAATTTAAATTTCATGTTGAGTGGGAATGCCAAAAGGTAGAGCCACTTTGAAAAAAAAAAAAGACTGGGGCCGAGCGTGTGATGTCTCATGCCTGTAGTCCCAGTGCTTTGGGAGGCTGAGGTGGGCAGATCACTTGAGGTCAGGAGTTTAAGACCAGCCTAGCCAACATGGTGAAACCCCATCTCTACTAAAAATACAAAAAATTAGCCAGGTTTGGTGGCACACACCTGTACTCCCAGCTACTTGGGAGGCTGAGGCATGGGAATCACTTGAACCTGGAAGGTGGAGGTTGCAGTGACCCGAGATCATGCCACTGCACTCCAGCCTGGGTGACAGAGCGAGACTCTGTCTCAAAGAAAAGTTTGGCAGTTTTTAAAAAAAGTTTGACATACACTTACCATACAATATGGCAATACTACTGTGTTTTAGTCTTGTTGGCCTGCCACAATAAAATACCATAGACTGGGTGGCTTAAAAAACACATTATTTTTTCACAGATCTGGAGGTTGGAAAGTCCAAGATTAAGGTGCCAGCCTGGTTTGGTTTCTGGGGAGGCCTCTCTTCTTGCCTTCTCACTGTGCCCTCACATGGCCCTTTCTCTGCACACGTGTGGAGAAAGAACGAGTTATCACTCTCTTCTTCTTAAAAACCCACCAATCGGCCAGGTGCAGTGGCTCACACCTGTAATCCCAGAACTTTGGGAGGCCACGGTGGGCGGATCACCTGAGGTCCAGAGTTCAAGACCAGCCCAACATGGTGAAACTCCGTTTCTACTAAAAATATAAAAATTAGCCAGACGTGGTGGCACATGCCTGTAATCCCAGCTACTCAGGAAGCTGAGTATTAAGAGACAGGGTTTCACAGGTTAGCCAGGATGGTTTTGATCGCCTGACCGCGTGATCCGCCCGCCTCAGCCTCCCAAAGTGTTGGGATTACAGGCGTGAGCCACTGCACCCAGCCAGAAGAGGTTTACTATTAAGGAGCACTAGAAAACTCTTAGGGTGATGAAAATGTTCAATATGTTGATTGTGGTGGTTGTTCCATGACTATCAACATTCATAAAACTTTGGGTGAATTTTGCTGCATATGAACAATATCTCAAGCTGAAAGAAAAGATAAACAGAAGGAGACTTGAAAAAATTAATTTGAACATACATTTTTGCTGAAGGGAAATCTGAAAGAAGTCAATAAATAACTTTGAAACCCAAAATATGTTAAAATTTTGCTGAAATAGAATGAAAATATGAATTAAAGGAGAAAAAGGAATGACATAAAATTTCTAATTATTAAATAAAAGTTTTGTTGATGTATCTTAAAATGGATAATAGTATTAAACTGTTGTGATATTTAGAGTCCATTAGATATATTTAAAGTTTAGGATCAGTTTTGTTTTAGGTTTATAGTTACAATGCTGGATATTGCATCCTTTGCACCTAATTAAACCTTTAATGAAAAATTTTAGATGTTAAAATATGCCAGGAGGTAATTCCATTAGGGAAACATGACCAAAAAGTTTGTAGACCACTTGTTTTATTATATAAAATGTTTATGCGAGGTTTCACAATTATGCCATATATTTTAAGGTGATATATACAGTCAGCCCTCCATATCTGTGGGTTGCACAACCATAGATTCAACCAATCATGGACCAAAAATATTTGGAAAAAAAATTAAATACAATTAAAATATAAAATACAAGCCAGGTGTGGTGGTTCATGCCTGTAATCCTAGCACTTTGGGAGGCCGAGGCAGGCAATCACTTGAGCTCAGGAGTTTCAGACCATCCTGGGCAACATGGTGAAACCCTATCACTACTAAAAATACACTGGGCATGGTGGTGGGTGCCTGTAGTCCCAGCTATTTGGGAGGCTGAGGCAGGATAATCGCTTGAACCCAGGAGGCGAAAGTTGCAGTGAGCGGAGATCGCACCATTGCACTCCAGCCTGGGTGACAGAGTAAGACTCTGTCTCAAAAAAAATAAAATACAAATAAAAAAATACAGCATAACAACTATTTACACAGCATTTACATTGTATTAGGTATTACAAGTAATCTAGAAATGATTTAAAGTACATGGGAGGATGTGAGTAGGTTATATGCAAATACTATGCTATTTTATATAAGACTTGAGCAACCTTGGATTTTGGTATCCTTAGGGTCCTGGGACCAATCCCCCACAGATACCAGGGATGTCTTTATAATGTAAAGGAAAAATTTATTTTTAGATGACTGACACATACGTTCTTTGACATTCTGCTGTGCTATCAGATCACAACATGAGTAAGAATTTTACATCCACAAAATCTGAGGCTTCAATAAGAACAAGATATATCTTGATTATAATCAGTCACTTACTCGACAAGTATTATGGAGAGTCAACTCCATGTTCGGCCCCATATTTGGCACTGAAGTTATAGCCCAGAACCAAACAGCCACTTCTCATAATTTCATAGCACTTAAAGCATAGGGAAGAAAATAGACATGAAACAGTCAAACATGTAAATAATTTATTATGGTTATAATAAGTGTCATGAGAATATTCAATAGAAATAACAGACATTTAAGGTTGTACCTGACTGTTGGAAAAGGGTGACTGAAAAAGGGGTGGGGGAAGTGCGGGAGGGCAATTTTCAGTGAGGATGAAGGGGCAAGAGGGAGGGAACTCATGGTATGGAAGGGGTAGACTCTGCCAAGAGCAGCAAGGAAACCAGCTAAGTAGGGGAAGACATGGTGAGATTTGTGTATTAAGATAGCCATTTCTGCTTCTGGGAGGACAAGGAGGTAAGATAAGGGAAAGAAGTGTTGGGTAAGCATAGTCTAGGATTCTTATTTTGAAACCATCTTGCAAAAATTATGACAGTGAGAAAATGACGACAGTGAAAGAGATCTGACCTAACGATCTCATCTTGTCTTTAAACTCCAAACTGCCCTTGTTCATTCCTAGGCATAGGCCGAGCTAACTATAAGAGGGATTTAGTTTATAGTTTAATTTGAAACAAAAATAATAACAGCTCTTTCCTGAAACAAACCCCCTCCTTGCCTGGAAACAAGACTACCTTTATAGAACTAACAAATTAGCCACAGGATTAGAAATTTCAATTTAGGGGTCTTGCAGCCAGAGGCTACAAGATTCCTAACCTCCCCAATTGCTCTTAGGGATAACATCACTATTGTAAAACGTAAGATTGGTGTTTGAGATATTTTTAGACCCTGCATTCTGATGGAGCAGCTGGCACTATCCAGATGGGTAATCTGGCTCAACCAGTTCTGCAATCCCAGCCAGGAACAGAAGACAGCAGAAGGAACCTGCTTAGACTCCCTGTGATTTCATCCCCAACTCCACCAGTGTTCCCACTCCCTAGACCCCTCCCCTGCCCAGCAAATTATCCTTAAAAAACCCTGGTCTCCAAATTTTCAGGGAGACTGATTTGAGTCATACAAGTCCGGTCTCCTGTTTAGCTGGCTGTGAGTGTATTAAACTCTTTCTCTAATGCAATTCCCCTATCTTGATAAATCTACTCAGTCTGGGCAGCAGGCCAGAAAAACTCACTGGACAGTTACAATTTCAACTCCTAGCATCTTGCTCAAGAACTAAGACAGAATCAGTTAACCTCCACGATCAAAAATGGCTGTGACTTAAAATCTCTTTCTTTGAAGGAACGTTAATGTCAAACATCATTTTTTTGTCCCACAGATTTCAGTTGGGCAGGGCTCAGTGGGAAGGTTCATCTCTGTTGTATACAACATCAGCTAGGACAATTTGACTGAAGGCTGGAGGATCTGCTTCGGCTTCCAAACTGGCTTATTCAACACAGCTGAGGGCCAGAGGCCTTGGGTCCTATCCACATGGTGATAACTGCAGAATTCTTGGCACATAAAGGCTCCTTCCAAACCTCTGCACTTAAGAGATGACCATATCTCATGAGCAAAAGAAAAGAGAGAGAGAGAGAGGATCAAATTTTTGCATTGCTTCTGGGAGCTTAGGGTCAATTCTCTGGAATGATCCTGGGCTCCCTGCCCCCACCCTCCCATTGAAATCATCAGGAAGAATAGGGGTTCTGTCTTCCAGTCTGTGTAGGGGACAGTAGCCTGACTTTGATAGTTGCTGGCTAGTAGACACAACTAGCCTAATGACATTAACATTGACCCACCTTTTGTAATTTTTTACTCAAGCTCTGCTCTCTCCCCCTCCTCCTTTACTCTTTCTTTAAAAGGCCAAGTCACATCTAAAAAAGTTGGAATGAAGCTCAGCTCTTTCCCTGCTGTCTGTCAGTAGTTACTCAGTAAAATCCGTTTTTCACACTTTAACTAATGTTCGGCTTTGTTTATCTTTGACAATAGGTGACCTGGTCTTTCCCACAGTATGTTGGCTGGGTACAAAGAGTGAATGAAGAATGACTGAGAGAATGAGAGACAGAGAGAGCACATGTGCCAGTCAGGTGAAAGACCTCTTGCATTTTATGACTAAGCTTCATAAGTCAAATAATAACCTCAAGGAAATTTAACTTCTCCATATCAGAGGCATCCAAACCAGAGTGACTCCATCTTGAGTGATGGCTAGGAAAAATGGGGCTGGGACTGGCTGGGCTGCATTCCTAGAAAGTTAGGTATTCCTAGCCCCTAGATGTTTATAGTTAAGGGAACACATTGATAACATTTACTAAACAGACCCAGACTTAGGAGTGTCCTGATATCCCGATATCTTGAGAACAGAAGCATTCCTAATTTTGCTTTAAAGATAATATCAATTCTTGCAAAATATAGTAATTAGGAAGATTAATCCTTTATCACAAACCCTTGTGGCAGAGCACATCTCCTCATGATCTTTCTAAATCCTATTTATAAACAAGTATTGTACCTAGGGTGGATGCATTCCTCCTCCTACTTTCGGGAACGTCCTACTCTCTATGGAGTAACTGTTCTCTCATCACTTTACTTTCTTAATAAACTTTCTTTTGCTTTGCACTGTGGACTCGCCCTGAATTCTTTCTTACATGAGATCCAAGAACCCTCTCTTGGGGTCTGGATCGGGACTCCTTTCAGGTAACACTCACACCCCCATTCCACCCCACCCCCATCCCAAAAGGCTTTGAAAACATTGGTATTAACAAGCAAAGGATATTTTAATAAATACATATTTGATGGTTTATTGCCACCAATTTTGCTTACATTGCAATAATTATTTAAATTACATTAACTTTTACTAAAAATAGTAAAGATAATTTCACATCGTTTGTTTAAGTTAAACAGTTTGAAGTTAAACTTTAATTGTTAAAACAATTTAAGTTTTTCTCTTAGTTGCTAAAAGAAAAACTTTGGACAAGTTAACAGTTTAAGCAAACAACAATTCATGAATTGGGCACCACTTAAAACAAGAAGATATTCAGAGCGCTTCTGCAGGTGAGCAGTAAGCTTTAATAGAAAAGTAAAACAGTTACTTGATTGGCTACAGCTGGGTGTTTGCCTTATTTGGGTGTGAGGGCTGGGCCCGGTGGCTCATGCCTGTAATCCCAGCACTTTGGAAGGCCGAGGTGGTTGGATCATTTGAGGTCAGGAGTTCAAGACCAGCCTGGCCAATGTGCTTAAACCCCGTCTCTACTAAAAATACAAAAATTAGCCGGTGTGGTGGTTGGCTCCTGTAATCCCAGCCACTCTGGAGGCTGAGGCAGGAGAATCGCTTGAACCTGGGAGGCAGAGGTTGCAGTAAGCCGAGATTGCATCATTGCACTCCAGCCTGCGTGACAAGGCAAGACTCTGTCACCAAAAAAAAAAAAAAAAAAAAAAAAGGAAAATCCCTAATTAGAGGCTAGTTGGCAGTTTCTGATTGGTTAAGCTTATGTTTTGTTTTACTGTTGTCTTACTGTTTACACTGAATTCTGGTTTGCTTACATATAAGCTCCAGCTACAGAGACAGATGATATCAGGCTCATGGCCTCTTTATTTGCTTTGACATAGTAAAGTGTTGATAATGATTTCCAAAGGAAGAAATATCATTATTTTAAAATCAATATTCCCAGTGTATATACAGGTAAAATACTAAGATTTTAATACACTTATTATTTATTAATTTATTTATTTATTGAGATGGAGTTGCTCTGTCGCCCAGGCTGGAGTGCAGTGGCATGATCCCAGCTAACTGCAGTCTTTGCCTCCTGGGTTCCAGCAATTCTCCTGCCTCAGCCTCCTGAGTAGCTGGGATTACTGGCACCAGCCACCACTCCTGGCTAATTTTTTGTATTTTTAGTAGAAATGGGGTTTCACAATGTTTGCCAGGCTGGTCTTAAACTCCTAACCTTAAGTGATCTGCCCGCCTTGGCCTCCCAAAGTGTAGGGATTACAGGCGTGAGCCACCGCGCCTTGCCAAATTATTTATTATTATTTTTTTGAGACAGGGTCTCTGTTGCCCAAGCTGTAGTGGCATGGTCACAGTTCACTGCAGACTCCCCAGGCTTAGGCGTTCCTCCCACCTCAGTCTCCCAAGTAGCTAGGATTACAGGCGTGTACCACCACTCTGGGTTAATTTTTCTATTTTTTGTAGAGACAGGGTTTCACTATGTCGCCCAGGCTGGTCTCGAACTCCTGTACTCAAGCAGTCCTCCCACCTTGACCTCCCAAAGTGCTGGATTTACAGGTGTGATCCACAACGTCCAGCCTATATACTTAAGATACTTCTAAACCATTTGTGTTCAACTTCTGTTCTTGCCCCATAGTCACCTTGAGACTCATCACTTAGCCAACTCCAAAAGCATTGCTGATTACTGTGAATTTTACTAAGGTTTTCTTAAGAGGGTTCCATTGTCTCAAAATTGTTCCTGAAATATCCTGTTACCTGTCTACCTGATTTTCTCCTATCTTCAGAGTTCCATTTCCTGTCCTCCCGCCTGTCATTATACCTTCCATAAGCCCCTACTTTTGTCCCAGCACTTTTCCCTCTGTCAGTTTACATATCCCACCAAGCAAAACAAAAATAGCAAAACAGTAATGCCTTCTGAATCCTCAAATTGCTCAATCCTCAGATTGCTCCTCAATCTGGAAAATGTTTTATATCAAGCCCATTTATAAATCAAGGATTGGCAATTTAAAAAATTAAAATAAAGAAAGGAGAATTGGAAATAAAATGAATTGGCTGGGCACGGTGGCTCACGCCTGTAATCCCAGAACTTTGGGAGGCCGAGGTGGGTGGATCACTTGAGGTCAGGAGTTCGAGACCAGCCTGGCCAACATGGTGAAACCCTGCCTGTACTGAAAATACAAAAATTAGCTGGGTGCGGTGGCGCACACCTGTAATCCCAGATACTCAGGAGGCTGAGGCAGGAGAATCGCTTGAACCCAGGAGGCGGAGGTTGCAGTGAGCCGAGATCGTGCCACTACACTCCAGCCTGGGCAACAGAGCCAGACTCTGTCTCAAAAAAAAAAAAAAAGTTTAATTCACGCAGAGCCAGCTGAACGGCAGACAGGAGTTTGGTTATTCAAATCAGCCTACCAGAAAATTCGGAGACTGGGGTTTTTAAAGAATGACTTGGCGGGTAGGGGGCCAGGGATTGGCGAATGCTAATTTGTCAGGTGGGAGGTGAAATCACAGGGGGTTGAAGTGGGCTCTTGCTGTCTTCTGTTACTGAGTGGAATTGCAGAACTTGTTGAGCCAGATTATGGTCTGAGTGGCGCCAGCTAGTGCATCGGAATGCGCGGTCTGAAAAGTATCTCCAGCACCAATCTTAGGTTTTACAATAGTGATGTTATCCCTGAGAGCAATTGGGGAGGTCAGGAATCTTATAGCCTCTGGCTGCAAGCCTCCTAAATCATAATTTCTAATCTTGTGGCTAATTTGTTAGTTCTACAAAGGCAGACTGATCCCCAGGCAAGAATGGGGTTTGTTTTTGGAAAGGACTGTTACAATCTTTGTTTCAAAGTGAAATTAGAAATTAAATTCCTCCTGTAGTTAGTTAGGTCTTCGCCCAGGAATGAACAAGGGCAGCTCGGAAGTGAGAAGCGTGGAGTCATTTAGGTCAGATCCCTTGCACTGTCATAACTTTCTCACTGTTAGGATTTTTGCAAAGGCAGTTTCGTGAACGTACAGAGACAGGCCCTTGCTATTATCCCTATTTTTTAGATAAGGATATCCAGGCGATGAGGAAGTTTTACTTCTGGGAACAGCCTGGATACGAAACCTTCACACGTCAGTGTCTTTTGGACATTTTCTCGTCAGTACAGCCCTGTTGAATGTTCTCACGGTGGGGAGGTACGTGTTTAAAATGCGGGGAAGGTGCTTTTATTTCACCCCTGGTGAAACTAGGGGAGCTAATTTTTTTAAACATGATTTTTGGCCCCCTTGAACCGCCGGCCTGGACTACGTTTCCCAGCAGCCCGTGCTCAAGACTACGGGTGCCTGCAGGCGGTCAGCGTCGTTTGCGGCGGCGCAGGCGCGGTGCGGGCGGCGGACGGGCGGGCGCTTCGCCGTTTGAATGGCTGCGGGCCCGGGCCCTCACCTCACCTGAGGTCCGGCCGCCCAGGGGTGCGCTATGCCGTCGGGAGGTGACCAGTCGCCACCGCCCCCGCCTCCCCCTCCGGCGGCGGCAGCCTCGGATGAGGAGGAGGAGGACGACGGCGAGGCGGAAGACGCCGCGCCGCCTGCCGAGTCGCCCACCCCTCAGATCCAGCAGCGGTTCGACGAGCTGTGCAGCCGCCTCAACATGGACGAGGCGGCGCGGGCCGAGGCCTGGGACAGCTACCGCAGCATGAGCGAAAGCTACACGCTGGAGGTGCGCTCGCGGGCGGAGGGGCGCTTCCGGCCTAGTTGGCGTGAACCGGTGCCTTCCGAGCCGCGTCGCGCGCCTCGAGAGACTCTCGGGCGGGTTGCGGGCTCCCAGCCCCGAGAGGGGTGGGGACTTCCTCTGCGCTATTCCGAGGCTCTTAGCCGCTCCGAGGGCTAACCCGCTCTCGCCGCGCTTTCCTGCGGCTTCCGAATGGGGAACGCGTCTTGCCCTAAAGTAGCACAGCAAGGCTGAGATCGCGCTGGGGTCCCGTTGAGGAAAATGGGTGTGTGTGGCCCATCTGACCCCCCGCCCGCCTTGTTAGTAGAATGAACTAGTGTCGTTGTCAAGACCACACGGACAAGGGGAGGGGACTTGCCCTTATTTGCACCGCGATTAACCGGGTTGTGGCACCTGGGTCTCCAGGCGTCTCCGTCTGTTCGCTTCCCCCTGTTAACCAAATTGCCTTTGCCCTGGCGTTGCGGGCGTTTGAGTCAACGTGCTGATGCGTTTTGGGCTGTGTTTACGTCTGTGTAAACAAATTAATACTCATTTCCCCCCAGGCCAGATGAAATGAGCCCTCCGCCGACCCGGATGTAGACACATGCCCCCATTTGTCACTAGGATCAGGACTGTGGCTACCTCGAGGGCTTTTTGGTCACCCCGGGCATTGCACAGGACTCCTGTTGTTGTTGCGATCCGGGTGTGTTAGGTCGCAGCCTTCGGACAGGGCTTGCAGATGAGAAAAATGGCCATTCTAGCCAGTGAGTGTCAGCTTTGTATGCACCTCCCCTTCATGGGCCAATGGGAAGTGACACGGAAGTACGGATTGTTTATCAGCTGTTTGACTGTGTGTGTGGCATTTAAACCTGAGGCCATTTGATTTCTCAAGTCGTTTTATAATTAATTTGTAGAAAGAGTCGGGCAAATAGGTCCAGGATGCAAAGCCTAACCAAGGTATTATTTAAATATGATGTTTTTGGCTATGTGTACTGATGAGTGAGGTTATTTTTAATTTGTATTTGCATTAATAGAATTTTAATTCAATTACTAGTTCCCTCTTTGAATTGTTAGGTCTGCAGAAGATAGTGTATGGTGGCTTTAGAACCCGACAGACCTGAAACCGCTGGAAAAGTTCAGTATGGTGATCTCTAAACTGGAGATATTTGTGTTTACCTCACAGAGCTGTTCTGAAGATTAAATAAGGCAATAATGTAGTTTCTGGCACATAAAGCACCCATATGGACAGTGTTTTCAAGTTTACTAAGCTCTTTGTATATTTACATGATCTGGCTGAGTAAGCTATGTTCCTATTCATCTCTCAGTGCCTTTCTGTAGTCTGGCAAAGAGAAGGACTGGTTGGCTTTTTATGTTGTTTTTTGTTTTTTGGGTTTTTTTTTGGTAAATGGCCTTAAAGGCTTCCAAACAAGCTCTTATTTTACCCTCAAGATAATCCTGTAAATCAGATAGAACAAGCATTATCGCCATTTATTTGAGGTATTTCAACTCATAGCAGTTAAGTTGTATGAAGTCTAGTGATACATGAGCAAGTATCACGTAATAGCTGGTTAGTAAATTATTTTTGAAAACATGTTTGATTACTCAATTCTTTTGATTACTGAGACTTTAGTTTCAGCTTCTTAGCCCAGTTTATTCAGTAAATGATTTACTCAGTAAAATATTCATCAAATATTTCTTGAGCACCTATTACTTGCTACACATTGTTCTAGGTGCTGGATATAGAGCAGCAAACCTGCTCTTGTGGGGCTTACAGTGAGGTACGCTGTGACAATATGGGATGTCATTCTCATGGGAGTGCAAGGGAAAATAAAGCTCTTATGATGTTTAATACAGAATACTGGTTATGGAATTTTAACTTGATTTCTTGTATTTTCTGTGCATTTTTAACCTGTAACTCATTCTCACAGTCCTCAGCCAAGAAAATGCAGCCTCTGAGACTGTTAAGTAATTTCCCCACTGTGTTATAGCTACTGTATGGCAGAGCCGGAATTTGAAACCAGATCTATTTGACCCTAGAAGATGTGACCATGAGATGTTAATTTTGAGGATAACTTTTTTAGTATTATGGAATTTTCAACATATATTTTTTAGGACCAAAGATAAACTAGGCACAGAGTCTACTCTTTGCATAAATTATTTAAAAGAGCTTCGCGCTCCATTTTGTCATCTAAGCACTGTAAAATTCTCACAAGACTAATTCTTCTTTTTAGGAACGATATAGTTGTAAACTTTCTATTTTTTTTCTTTTTTTTTTTCTCCCTCCACCATCCAAGTAGTTGTGAATTTTCTAGAGCCAAAATAGAACATTATAGATTATCTTTTAAACCCTTTATTGAAGCAGAGGATAATGCTGTGACCGACTTAACTTTATGCTTTCTAAGAGATATTGATATAGTAGAGAAATGCAGTAGTTATGCATCTAAATTTGCTTTTACATCATAAATCAAGAATATTATGAAACCATCTCCCAGAGATATATGTGATACACAGATCTTGGCTGTTTTTTTTTTTTTTACAAAAGAACATCTATGCTATTGATACATATAAGTGGGTTTGTAAGACAGTCTATGTGTAAATGTGAAAAAAGGAAGAATTTCCAGTTCTTCTCATTTTCATTTAGACCAGTAATGAATACATTGAAGCTAAAGGACATCTTCCATCCTTCCTCGCTTTTATAGGGAGAGGAAAGTTGTATCACTTCTTGAGTAAAAAGAATTGTGACGATCTTTTACAAACAATGCCTTAAAAATTATTATTTTTGAATGATATCTGGTAGTGGATCCACAATAGTCTCATTTGGTTATACAAATAAATTTTATGTATTCATGTATGTGTTTTGATTAGGTATAAAATTAGTGGCTGAATATCCATTCAAGCTTAATTTTGTATTTCTATCACTTTTCTAGATTTTGAGCAAGATTAAAAATATAAACAATAGGCCAGGCGCAGGGGCTCACGCCTGTAATCCCAGCACTTTGGGAGGTCTAGGTGGGCGAGTCACGAGGTCAGGAGATCAAGACCATCCTGGCTAACACATTGAAACCCAGTCTCTACTAAAAATACAAAAAATTAGCTGAGCGTGGTGGTGGGCACCTGTAGTCCCAGCTACTCAGGAGGCTGAGGCAGGAGAATGGTGTGAACCTGGGAGGCAGAGCTTGGAGTGAGCCAAGATGGAGCCACTGTACTCCAGCCTGGGTGACACAGTGAGACTCCATCTCAAAAAAAATAAAAAATAAATAAAAATAAACAATAATATTGTTTGCATTACTATGGCTATATAGCAAATTGCCTTAAAACTTAGGGGCAGAAAGCAATTTGTTTTGGTCACAGGTTCTGTGAGTAAGGAATTCAGGCTGGGGACAGTGTGGATGTCATGTTTCTGCGTCAAAATGACTGGTACCTCACCTGGAAGACTTGAGCAACTAGGTACTGGCACAGCTGGAGCTCGTTGGGCATCTCTGTATGTTTGTTCCATGTGGTCTCACCAGCATGGTGATCCAGGGTAGCTAAATTCTTACATGTTGGTTCAGGACTCCGAAGGCACATGTCCTAAGAGAGAGAACCAAGTGGAATCTATACTGCCTTGTATAATCTTTTAGAATTACATAGTTTCACTTCTACCTCTGCAATTATTGATAGAGACAGTTAATCAGTGTGAGGGAACGCAGACCCTTGCCCAGGTCCAAGGTGAGGGAACCCTCTCTACCTCTCAGTGGAATAATGTTAATGTCACATTATAAGAAGAGCCTACGGGGCTGGGTACAGTGGCTCACACCTGTAATCCCAGCACTTTGGAAGGCCAAGGCGGATGGATCACTTGAGGCCAGGAGTTCAAGACCAGCCTGGGCAACATGACAAAACCCTGTCTCTACAAAAAATACAAAAATTAGCCAGGTATGGTGGCGCACTTCTGTAGTCCCAGCTACTTGGGAGGCTGAGGTAGGAGGAGTGCTTGAACCTGGGAGGTGGAGGTTGCAGTGAGCCAAGATTGCGCCACTGCACTCCAGCCTGGGTGACAGAGCAAGATTCCATCTCAAAAAAAAAAAAAAAAAAAAAAAAAAAAAGAGCGTATGAGATAGGGTCATCATTGAAACTAAGTTTCCCACAAAAATATAAACAACACTTTCAATTTAAACATACTTTTAAAAATATTGAAATATTTATATGTAGCTTTTTAACTAAAAATCAATTTTCTTTTCTTTTACAGGGAAATGATCTTCATTGGTTAGCATGTGCCTTATATGTGGCTTGCAGAAAATCTGTTCCAACTGTAAGCAAAGGGACAGTGGAAGGAAACTATGTATCTTTAACTAGAATCCTGAAATGTTCAGAGCAGAGGTAACTATGTTAGAGTTTGACAAGTAGAGTATGGCTAATGTAAGCTCATAAATCATAGTGATAGTAAGAATTATCTCTGTTTATCATTTTCTGAGCATTTGTACCTGTGGACTGGTGAAATTAGATGCTAAAACTAGCATCTAATGATTTTCCTTTCTTTATATCACAGTTAATATCCATTATATTTTACTTCTTTGGTGAAAATATTTAAATTTTAATGTTTTAGGCACTTGTATGGCAGAATTTATTTTTAAAGTTTAGGACATTGTGTAATATTGGGAGAAATGAAGGATATTGAGAAACTTTAGGAGATACTCCAAGTTGAAAAGGTAAATAAAATATTATTTGCTATTATACTTAGAAATATGTGCACAGGACTTGTGGTCTTAATATAAATGGAACATGTAAGTATTTCTCAGTTTCCTGTTTGGAGGATAAATGACATGATTATAATCCATTTTAGAAAGGGTCAAATATGTTTAAAAGAAGAGGCAGAAATTGCTTTATCTGTTGTGTAATTAAATTGATTACATTTATTTTTTGTGCCTTTTAGGTGAATTTTCTTACATGGCTTATTAAAGATAAGTGGAAAAATGATGTTTAGCATTTTGGGGGAAATTACCACTGTCAAAATTTATGGAGTTAATGGTTAAAAAATCACTTACTAAATAAAAAAATTAACTGGGTGTGGTTGTGCATACCTGCAGGCCTAGCTACTTGGGAGGCTGAGATGGGAGGATCACTTGAGCCCTGAATGATGGAGCAGCACTGCACTCCAGCCTGGGCCACAGAGCAAGACCTTGTCTCCAAAAAAAAAAAAAAAAAAAAAAAAGAAGGTTACTATTAAAATAATTAGCAGGCTGGGGGCGGTGGCTCACACCTGTAATCCCAGTAATCCCAGCACTTTTGGAGGCCAAGGTGTGTGGATCACTTGAGGTCAAGAATTGGAGATCAGCCTGGCCAATATGGTGAAACCCCGTCTCAACTAAAAATACAAAAATTAGCCGAGTGTGGTGACATGCGCCTGTAATCTTAGCTACTCAGGAAGCCGAGTCAGGAAAATCACTTGAGCCCAGGAGGCAGAGGTTGCAGTGAGCACTATTGCACTCCAGCCTGGGTGACAAGAGCGAGACTCCATCTCAAAACAAATAAATAAAATAAAATAATTCACAATGTCATGTTTTAGCTGACGTTGTGAATTTTAGTAATCTTTTTTTAACCTTTAACTCCATCCTGAGTTACATTGACCAAAGAATCAGTATCTAGAATTATATCAGGAACTACTAACAGGGTTAATAAAATGAATAAAGAACATGACTTCACAAAGGTTATAATTCACATAGCTAATAGATACAGGAAGAGATATTCACTGTCACTAATAAAGACTTTCAAAGTAGAAAGATAACATTTCATTCTGTTTTTTTTGAGATGGAGTCTTGCTGTTTCACCCAGGCCAGGGTGCAGGGGCGTGATCTCAGCTCATTGCAGCCTCTGCCTCCCAGGTTCAAACGATTCTCCCGCTGTGGCCTCCCAAGTAGCTGGGATTACAGATGCGCACCACCACACCTGGCTAATTTTTTGTATTTTTAGTAGAGACGGGTTTCACCATGTTGGCCAGGCTGGTTTCCAACTCCCGACCTCAGGTGATCCACCCGCCTTGGACTCCCAAAGTGCTGGCATTACAGGTGTGAGCCACCATGCCTGGCCAACATTTTATTCTTATCATTGGGAAAATTTGAAGTCTGGTATACCAAGTTTGGTCACTGTACAGGGAAACAGGAACTCTATTTTTTTTATTTTTCAGTTCTTTTTTTTTTTTTTTTTTTTTTTTGAGATGGAGTCTCACTCTGCTGCCCAGGCTGGAGTGCAGTAGCTCAATCTCTACTCACTGCAACCTCCACTTCCCAGGTTCAGGTGATTCTCATGCTTCAGCCTCCCGGAGTAGCTGGGATAAAGGCACATACCACTATACCTGACTAATTTTTGTATTTTTTGTGGAGACCAGGTTTCACCGTGTTGACCAGGCTAGTCTCGAACTCCTGACCTCAAGTGATCTACCTGCCTCGGTCTCCCAAAGTGCTGGGATTACAGGCATGAGCCACTGCGCTCAGGCAGGAACTCTATATTGCTGGTGTACATTGGTGAGAGTCAAAATTGACACAACTACTTTACTAGCAAATTTGGTGGTATCTAGTAATATTGAAGGTGCACATTCTCTTACTGTACTTCTTGGAGTAGTCCCCAAAGAAACTCCTGCACACATGTATAAGGATGTTTTCATTACAACATGTTTTGTTATCATGGAATATTAGAAACAACCTAAATTTCCATTGGTTGGGGAGTGAATGCAAAAAGTCATTGTATGTTCATATGAAAGAATGTTTTTAGCAATTAAAATGAATATATCTTACATATCAACATTAATGTCAGAAACATTATTGAGTGTGAAAAAGCAAGTTGCAGAATACCACTGAAGTATGATAGCATTTATATAAAATGTAAAAACACGTAATAAGATATTGCTTATTGTTTACACATACATGTGTATGTGTAGTAAGTGTGAAAACATAGGAAGGATTAAGACCAACTTTAGAATGGTTTTTATCTTTGGGGTAGAAGGGTAAGGATGGGATTAGGGAGGAGTATAAAATGGTAATTTTGACTGTTTCTTTTTCTTTTTCTTTTTCTTTTTTGAGACAGAGTCTCGCATTGTCGCCAGGCTGGAGTGCAGTGGCGTGATCTCGGCTCACTGCAACCTCCGCCTCCCAGGTTTAAGTGATTTTCCTGCCTCAGCCTCCTGAGTAGCTGGGATTACAGGTGCCCGCCACCACGCCCAGCTAATTTTTTGTATTTTTAGTAGAGATCGGGTTTTACCATGTTGGCCATGCTGGTTTCAAACTCCTGACCTTGTGAATCTCCCACCTCGGCCTCCCAAAGTGCTGGGATTACAGGTGTGAGCTACTGCGCCTAGCCTTGACTGCTTCTATAGTGTTGCTAGTTTAAAAAAAAATCTGAAGTGGCAGGAGGAGGTGGCTCACACCTGTAATCACAGTGTTCTAGGAAGCCAAAGTAGGAGGATCACTCAAGCCCAGGAGTCTGCAGTGAGCTGTGATCTTGCCACTGAACTCCAACATGGGTGATAGAACGAAACCCTATCTCTTACAAAAACAAAAACGACAAAATTTATTTAATATATTAACATTTAAAAAATCTGGCAGTGAACCAACGTGAATGTTGGTTAGGTTACTCTTGTTAATTTTGGTTTGTATTTTCAAATATTTCATAGTTAACAAATACTTTAGGTAACCTAAACAAAATGGATTAGGAGGATCAGAGGAATATACCAATCTGTAAGAAATTAAGCTAGTCAGAGACATGAGTTGTGATTTTATTTCACTGTCTAAAAGTAATATAATTTAATGCGATAATATTGATTTACTTTTGAATACTTACTTTTGTATACTTTAGCCTTATGTTAATTATGAAATATCTTGTTTGTCTTTAATACCAGCTTAATCGAATTTTTTAATAAGATGAAGAAGTGGGAAGACATGGCAAATCTACCCCCACATTTCAGAGAACGTACTGAGAGATTAGAAAGAAACTTCACTGTTTCTGCTGTAATTTTTAAGAAATATGAACCCATTTTTCAGGACATCTTTAAATACCCTCAAGAGGAGCAACCTCGTCAGCAGCGAGGAAGGAAACAGCGGTAGGTTTTCTTGTTGGTTCATCAGGAATACACGTTAGTCTGTGCTGCAGTGTTGATATTCTGCTAGGTTTTTTTTTTCTGGTTTTAAAAAAGAAATAAGATTTAAAAAATCTTTTTCCTCAGTCGTTTTCTTTTAATGATGCTTTTTTTGCTTTTCATTGTGGGTTAGCCATGAAGAGTGGCTTTTTTCATATTGCTAAATGTATACAGGTCTTTGTTTCTATAAACTTTCATTTGTCTTATTTTATTTTATTATTATTTTTTCCTCAGTGATCCTTGTTCTGAAACCTTCCTTTTTCATTTAAGCAACAAAAAATGCAGACTGTACAAGTCAGACTTAGGGATTTTCACCCTTTCGCCGCCTTGGAGATGTATCTGTATCTGTATCTGGATATATATATTTTTTATTGCGCAGGGGCCATGCTAATCAATGTATTGTTCCAATTTTAGTATATGTGCTGCCGAAGGGAGCACTGCCCTAGATATAGATCACTATATTAACCACTATATTTTCTACTAGTGATTATATAGACTATTTTATGTCAAACTGAGTAATAAATAATCCCCTTGAAATGACTTCTCTATGTATTTTGATGTTTATAATGAATTCAGAATAGAGAGACTGGATTGGGAAAAGACAGGAGAACTGAAACTATTATGAATTTGTGCTTTCTGATCACTTCTGCAAAGTCTATAAGCATGCTCTGACTCAGTGTTTTCTACCTTTCCTGATAGATAAAGGCAGTTATGGAATACACATTTTCCTTCTTTATCATTGAAAGTTTTTTCATAAAGTAGAAATGAAAATTCTAACAATTAGAAAAATGTTGACAAGAAAAGTAAAGGGAAAGGAGTTAAAATTATTTGGCTAGAATAAATAATGTTTGCTTCTCTTTAAATATAAAAGTTTTCCCAGACTGTGAAGGATGTTTACATTAAGTGTAACCTTTTAAAAATAAAATGGGGGAATGACAAACCAGGAGGAAAAAAAATTTAAAAAAACTAGAACTATTTACATTTTAATATAGATGGCACCACTGATACAGAAGCATCTGGTCTAGCTCACTTACAGTTTTGGGGAATTGACTATTTAAAATGAAGCATTCTGAGCCAGGCGGGTTGGCTCACGCCTGTAATCCCAGCACTTTAGGAGGCTGAGGCAGGCGAATCACCTGAGTTCAGGAGTTCAAGACCAGCCTGGCCAACGTGGCAAAACCCCGTCTCTACTAAAAATACAAAAATTAGCTGTGCGTGGTGGTGCATGCCTATAATCCCAGCTACTCGGGAGGCTGAGTCAGTAGAATCCCTTGAACCGAGAGGCAGAAGTTGTGAGCCAAGATCGTACCATTGCATTCGAGCCTGGGCGACAAGAATGAAACTCCATCTCATAAATAAATAAGTAAACAAATAAAAGGAGGTATTCTGGCTGAGTGCCTGTAATCCCAGCACTTTGGGAGGCCAAGGCGGGTGGATCACTCTAGGTCGGGAGTTCGAGACCAGCCTGGCCAACGTGGCGAAACCCCGTCTCTACTAAAAATAAAAAAATTAGCGGGGTGTGGTGGTGGGTGCCTGTAATCCCAGCTACTTGGGAGGGAGAGGTGGAAGAATCACTTGAACCTCAGAGTTGGAGGTTGCAGTGAGCCGAGATCACGCCACTGCACTCCAGCCTGGGCGATAGAGCGAGACTCCATTTTAATAAATAAATAAATAAATAAATAAATAAAATGACATATTCTCCTAGCACTTTGGGAGGCCGAGGCAGGTGGATTGCTTGAGGTCAGGAGTTCAAGACTAGCCTGGCCAATGTGCCAAAACCCCATCTCCACTAAAAATACAAAAATTAGGCAGGTATGGTGGTGTGTGCCTGTTGTCCCAGCTACTTGAGAGGCTGAGGCAGGTGAATCACTTGAACCCAGGAGTCGGAGGTTTCAGTGAGCTGCGATCGCGCCACTGCACTCCAGCCTAGGTGACAGAGTGAGACTTCGTCTCCAAATAAATAAATAAAAAATGAAGTATTCTAAAGTTTGAATAGAAGCTTTGTACTGAGTCTGAGTGAGGCCAATGTGATCATTTATGGGAAGATATCTTCTTTCTTTGGAGTATCTGGAAAATAATTTCAGATTGCACTTGTTTTGCTATTTCTTAGGATATATATACTACCTAATTCTAATTAAGAGAATTTTAAAAGGCCATGTGCAGTGGCTCACACCTGATCCCCAGCACTTTGGGAGGCTGAAGTGGACAGATCACTTGAGCCCAGGAGTTTGAGACCAGCCTGGACAGTATGGCGAAACTTCATCTCCACAAAAAATAGAAAAATTAGCTTGGAGTGGTGGCGCACACCTGTGGTCCCAGCTACTGGGGAGGCTGAGGTGGGGGGATCACTTGAGCCTGGGAGGTTGAGGCTGCAGTGAGCTGTGCTCATACCACTGTACTCCAGTTTGGGTGACAGAGCAAGACCTTGTCTCAAAAAAAAAAAAAAAAAAGTAAATCACTTTATTAGAGATTTTACATTTTAATCACTTTGTATACTTTCTGTTAGCTCTTTCTGTTAACTATAGTCATAATGTATAGCACTTACTGAGCATTTACTTTGGGGCAGGGACTCTTAAGACTTCAATATGTATTACTTCAGTTAATCCCTCTGACAACCTTGTGATACTCATACTATTGTTAGATAGAGAAAATTAGCCGCAGAGAGGTTAAGTAATTTGGCCAGGGTCGCACAACCAAGCGTGGAGTTCTTATTGAAACTGACTGCGGGAACCCATGTGCTTTACTGTGACTATATACTGCATCTCTCACACACTATCTGAAAATGTGTCACTATTTGTTTAGCACTTATCCACAGGAAATACTGTTAGGTATTATGTAGGACACAGGCATTTTTTAAAACACCAAACCCCACAGTCTCTGTCTTCTGAGAGCTTACAGTACAGTCAGCGAGATGAGGCAGGTATGAAGATTCCAGTGCATGCAATGCAGTGTGTTATAAAAGTCCCATGACTACCAGAGGGAATACAGATGTAAAACTTAGGAGGAAAAGAAATCACTCTGGATGAGCCAGTCAGGTAAGTTTACATGGAATAAGTAGAAATGGGTCTTGAAAGATGGGTACGAGTTTGATAGGTGAATTTGAAGATACAGATAGCACCTTCTGTGTAGAGGAAACAAGAAAAGACAAAAGCAGTAAAGCAAGAAGAAATGTGGGAGGTTAGTCAAGTTTTTTTTTCTAGAATTCTCAAGTTGTAGAGCCAGAATTAAGAGTAGCTTAAGTGTTAAGCTAAAAAAAATTGAATTTTATTTTGGTAGGCAACTAAAACTAGAAATAGTTTATCATGCGCCTATGGTAGAGAGGCTACTTTTAAAAGCAGAACACTGACATTTAATCCTTGCCATGGACTGGTGAACTAAGTACAGTATTGTACCCAAGTAGAGTAATCTTTTGACAGATGAAATGACTAAGGCCCAGGTGAGCAAGTACCCTAGCTAATGGCAGTGCTGGAACTAAATCTAATCTAATCTTCTCCACGGAATTTCGTTCTTCTGGGCACCTTGTTAGAATAAGGCTGTTGGGAGGTGGAGACCACAGATTTCTTGTCTAAAAGTTGTCAGAGGTTTTGGTAGAAAAGCCAAGCTTAAAGCAGGTCTGAAACTTGGCAGACTACTTGGCAATATACAACAGGTACTCTTAATGGATGGAAGTATAAGGAATTATAGGAAGCTCATAATTTACATTAAAAAGGCCTTTTGTGATTTGATATAGTCTGGAATATCTTTAAGGAGGGAGGGAGGGATACAGGTCATTAGCTATGATAAAGGAGAAAAAAATAAGGACATATCTGACTGCATATAGTGGTCCTAAAGCAGCATAGCATTGCTGTGTCATCAAAAGAACTATTTTTATTCATTTTATTTTCCACCTCACCTATCTTGCCCTCAAAAAACTTTAAAAAATTCTTTAAGAATTTTCTTTTCTTTGAGATGGGCTCTTTCCCTGGATCCCAGCTATTTCCTACCAATATTTTGTTAAGGCAGAACGTCCACGTTTTCCATGTGAAGCTGAATCTGTTGTCTCTCCCTTTAACTGTGGGTTTTATTTTACACCTGATTTATAATCATTTGGGATTTTTTTTTCTGATTCTTCTGTTGTCTCATGACTTTTTTTTTTCTTCCCCCAAAGGCGACAGCCCTGTACTGTGTCTGAAATTTTCCATTTTTGTTGGGTGCTTTTTATATATGCAAAAGGTAAGAAAATAGTAATATTTATTTAGATTTAATATGTCTATTTACATTTTCAGGTATTAATTTTGTCAACTTCTAATATGTATCAGGAAAAGATTTTCACTGAAAATTTTCTCAAGGGTTTTAATCCTAGATTCTTTTTTAAGTATTGCCTTTTCATCAAAGGATCTATTGGATTTCTTTACAATATCCAAATCTTCTCTTATTAAATGGAAAGTCCATTAACTTTGTTGTATACAACATCTTTTCTACCCAAAGCTACTCTTTTAAATTATGAGCTGAAAACACATTATTCTGTATATGCTTGTATTGTGAACTCTATTTTTCATGAGATGTATCTTATTTAGTTGAGCGCAATTACTGATCAACCTCAGAGCTGTTCAGATTTTTTTTTGTATCTTGTTCAGATAAGTATACTTAGTCAAATGCTTTTATATACTATTTATTTTCTTTCCCTTTTTTCTTGTCTCATTTAACCTACCCAAGGTCTGCATTCAGTGAAATACATGTCTCTATTATTTTTTGTCCTTTTTGTATTTATTTATTTATTTATTTATTTGAGATGGAATCTCATTCTGTCTCCCAGGGTAGATTGTAGTGGCACAATCTCGGCTCACTGCAGCCTACACCTCCCAGGTTCAAGTAATTCTCCTGCCTCAGCCTCCCGAATAGCCGTGATTACAGGCGCCCACCACCATGCCCAGCTAATTTTTGTGTTTTCAGTAGAGATGGGGTTTCACCATGTTGGCCAGGCTGGTCTCAAACTCCTGACCTCAGGTGATCTGCCTGCCCTGGCCTCCCACAGTGCTGGGATTATAGGCACGAGCCACTGCGCCCAGTTCCTTTTTATATTTCTATGTAGAAACAATTCTTTAAAGTAGATAGGAAAGTGCAGTTATATTATTATATAGCTTTCTTCTGTATACTATGTGGAATGCCTTTGCCACTAAGATGGCTCAATAAAATGCAAAGTTAACAAAGAATCTTAGAGCTGGAAGGAGTTTCATAAGTATAAGAGAGACTCTCATTATTAGATTAACTAGCTTAACTTACTTTATTTTATTTTTTTTTTGAGATGGAGTCTCACTCTGTTGCCCAGGCTGGAGTGCAGTGGTGCGATCTCGGCCCACTGCAACCTCTGCTGCCCGGGTTCAAGCAATCTCCTGCCTCAGCCTCCCGAGTAGCTGGGATTACAGGTGCCTGCCACTGTGCCCGGCTAATTTTTTGTAGTTTTTAGTAGAGACGGAGTTTCACCATCTTGGCCAGGCTGGCCTTGAACTCCTGACCTCGTGATCCACCTGCGTCAGCCTCCCAAAGTGCTGGGCTTACAGGCGTGAGCCATCGCACCCGGCCTAGCTTAACTCATTTACTTTATTTTTTATTTTTATTTTTATTTTTGAGACAGGATCTTGCTCTGTTGCCCAGGCTGGAGTGCAGTGGTATGATCTCTGCTCACTGCAACCTCCGCCTCTTGTGTTCAAGTGATTCTTGTGGCTCAGCCTCTTGAGTAGCTGGGATTGCAGGCATGCACCATTATACCTGGCTAATTTTTGTATTTTTAGTAGTGTTGGGGTTTTGCCATGTTGGCCAGGGTGGTCTCGAACTCCTGACCTCAAGTGATCTGCCACCTCGGCCTCCCAAAGTGTTGGGATTACAGGTGTGAGCCACCATGCTCAGTCAGCTTAGTTACTTTAAAGATTAGGCAGCTGAGCCCAGAAACTAGCTGCTGGGAACAAAGCTAAGATTGAACTCAGATCTCCTGGTTCCTGGTTCTTAGTTTCATACTGGCTGTGAAGGCCTCTGGGAAGAATGTGTTACATTGTTGGTCTCCAGGTTTGATTTGTCCTGGTCCCTCTCTGGCTAATTAGGGTGAGAGCCGCCATCCTTCCTTCCCTGAGCTGCATGCTTGATTCAAGAGAAAAATCTTTCTTTTGTCATACATGACACTGGCATGTTTCTTTAGTGATGATAAAGGCGACATGATCAGTGGCATGAAATAAAGGTTTTGGAGTATATAAACCATTTTTACAGCGGCTACAAATTTTAGAATGTGTGACTGCTATTATGTATGATGGTAATCTTTTCATATGATTGTATTGGGCAAGTATGTCTCATTTCTAGGATTTTTATCTGTTTTGTTTGTCTTTTATGGCATATGTGTACTTAGAAGTAAATATAGTTGGTACTATATATAATATGTACAATACAATAAAAAATAATTTCATTGTCCTTATTTTGTTCTCACTGGACCTGTTGGGGTGGTTTTTTCTCTGTAATTAACTCAGTGTTTGACTTTTATCTCATTAATTCAGTTTATAATAATTCCACCTTAAGAACCTTTGTGGATTGGGCATGTTGGCATATGCCTGGAATCCTAGCTACTTGGGAGGTTGAGGTGGGAGAATCGCTTGAACCTGGGAAGCGGAGGCTGCAGTGAGCTGAGATTGCACCTCCAGTCTGGGCGACTTTGAGACCGTGTCTCGAAAAAAAAAAAAAAAAAAAAGAAACTTGGTCCTCTCACAGTCCACCACTGTGATCTTTTATAATACACGATGATCTTTTCTAATAGTCATTTAATTGCTTTAATTCAGTTCTCATTTATTTGGGGGAAAGGTGTACTCTTTTATAGCCACCTTTCTAATGACAAATAAGCCAACTCTGGAGATGAAACATTTCTATTTACTTGTTATCTTTGTTGATTAAAAGATAAAATACCTCACAAAGTCAGATTTATTTGTAAGGTCAGGATTTGAAATAGAAAATACGTCATGTTGAGAGAGTCCTAGAATTTAATTTAAATTAGATTCTGATCTTTAGGGGCATTTCAGCTTTTTATTAGATGTTACAGTACTGCCTTTTTTTTTTTTTTTTTTTGCCTTCTATGGCAAGTGCACACCAGTAACAAGTTTAGGCTTGTTGGTGTGATGGGCTTTGTAGCTTGAAATCAGTAGGTGCTACTTACTTCCTTTTTTACACATGAGGAACCAAGTATATTTTAATATTAAACCTCTTTATAGAAGAACCAAGCAAGTTGGTTTGGCTGTATCAATGCACAGTTTAATGTGTTGATTATCGTTTGCCTCTTTGGCAGA
Organism: Homo sapiens; assembly: GCF_000001405.40. Taxonomy (NCBI): domain Eukaryota; kingdom Metazoa; phylum Chordata; class Mammalia; order Primates; family Hominidae; genus Homo; species Homo sapiens. The sequence continues at coordinate 53,450,196 of NC_000016.10, forward strand.
GAAGAATTTTTTTTTCTCTTTAGTTCATTTAAGTTGATTTGTTGAATGTTTCCATCTATACAAAAAAAGAATTGCTTTGTATACGCTGAGGTAAGTGGTAACTTTCTTTGGAGGAACAGAGAGAAAGGGAAACCTGAAACAAAGCTGCAGGTGTGTGTGTGTGTGTACATGTACACTTGGGTAGGCGTTAAGTGTGAAATGCTGAGGTTTGGAAATAATTCTTCATATGTATGTTAGCTATTTAAATTGAATTTATCTGATGATACAAGAATGTAAAATCACCATGAAGCATACATGTGCAGTGTTTAACTAAAAAAGGATGGGCTTGAAGTTATAAAATAACTAGAAATAATTCTTAATTTCTAGAAAATTAAGATAATAATAAAATGGTTTAACTACACGTAAAAATGTGTTCAGTGTTAGAGTTCAACCAGCACTGCAGAAATTACATGTTTCTGTCAGTTTAGGTTTTTGATTTCTTATTTCCCTGTTACCAAGCATCAGCAATTATTCTTGGGATTATTAGCCCTGGAATTGAAAGATATTTAATGGTACTCCTGTTGCATTAATTTGTCTGAGTTTATGTAGAAAAGTATTAAAAATGTTACTGTTGGAGTCTGATAAAAAGTTCTGGTCTTTTAAAAATATGTGTATGAGAAATAGCATGAACTCAGGAGGCAGAGCTTGCAGTGAGCTGAGATCGTGCCACTGCACTCCAGCCTGGGCGACAGTGAGACTCCATCTCAAAAAAAAAAAATGTATATGAGAATAATTAAGTGAATTATTTTTTCGGCTGTCTCCTAAGTATTTCTAATAATTTTCATGACAGAAAAATGTTTTCATGCAAAACAATTTCTTACAGTTTGAGATAATTTATAAATGTTTTGTGTTCAGAATTTTCAAAGAAAAGACCAATGATAAAGTTTTATTCAGCTACTAGGTATTTAATAAACACTTAATGAATGAATGGCATTTTTAGTAAAGTTATAGTTTTCACTAAGCTGTTAGACATTTATTAATTTATTAAAGGCCAGGCATGGTGGTTTACACCTGTAATCCTAGCACTTTGGGAGGCCAAGGCAGAAGGATCACTTGAGTCCAGGAGTTCAAGACCAGCCTGGGCAACATAGCAAGACTCCATCTCTAAAAAAAGTTTTTAAATTAGCCATGTGTGGTGGCGTGTACCTGTAATTTCAGCTGCCCAGGAGGCTGAGACAGGAAGATCCCTTGAGCCCAAGAGGTTGAGGGTGCAGTGAGCCATGATCATACCACTGTACTCCAGCCTGGGTGACCCACCAAGACTCTGTCTCTTAAAAATAAATAAATAAAGAAATTTATTAAGATATAAGAGTAATATGTCAAAATGTAAATTTGCCAAAACACTTATTGTAATGAGTCAATTTTGTACAATTGTTTTGTAATGTCATAATAAGTAAAGGAAGAAATTTTTTAAAAATGTTACAAAGTCAATGCTAATTTAACTCTGTAACTGCTTATAATCCTGCAGGTAATTTCCCCATGATTAGTGATGATTTGGTCAATTCTTATCACCTGCTGCTGTGTGCTTTGGACTTAGTTTATGGAAATGCACTTCAGTGTTCTAATCGTAAAGAACTTGTGAACCCTAATTTTAAAGGTAGGTTTGTAAATCAAAGATTTTTGGGCAATCTGCGTTTCTGTGTTATGTTTACCCTTGGAGTTGTACAGGTTTCCTAGCATCAGTATTTTGAAGAGCTCCTGTCATTACGGCTATCCAGGGTACTTATAACTAAGAGTCAAGCTGCCTGTAAAAATATTTTTGGATAAACAGTTGCAGATACCACAAAGTTTAAAGTCTTAAATGACAACTTCAGAAGTTTCTGAAATATATACTCAACAAGGAGAAGGCATTTAGAAACTCAGAGTTGCGAAGATGACATTAAAGCCGATGATGTTTTTCTACATTGGCAAACTTTGTGCCTGACACATTGTAGGAGATCAAAAAGAATTTGTTGAAAGAATCTTACTTCAAATTTTGGTACAGAAGAATAGTTATGGTTCTAAAATAAAGAAAATGAACTTTCATCTTTTAAACTAACAGATATATGGAAATGATGATTTTGGCATTGCATTTAATAGAACTTAGGTATATAATTTCTATGAATGATAAACAGTTACAAGCCCAAATTATGATTTACAAAGCAAATATTAAAAAGTATGTATAGAGTTAAAATAAATATTGCTGCTGCTATTTGAGTAATATTGTAATAGGATTCTGGGTGATTCTCAGTTTTGAGGTAATTTCAGTTAAAATTTCAGCTTGTCTATCAAGGTAGATTTTTAAAATTAGTGGAGTTCAGTTGCTCCTGGTATGGTAAATTTAATGTTCCTCATATTCTTTTCTGTTCTTTCTCTCATTTCTATCATAACTCCCTTGTATATTCCCAAAAAGCTGCTTCCTTTCACTTTTATCTTTTTTTTGTTTTAAATTAAAAAGAATTTTTTTTTTTGAGACAGGGTCTCACTCTGTCACCCAGGCTGGGATGCAGTGGTGCAATCACAATTCACTGCAGCCTCAATCTCCTGGGCTCAGATGATCCTCTCATCTCAGCCTCCCAGGTAGCTGGGACTACAGACATACACCACCACACCCAGCTAATTTTTTTGTATTTTTCAGTATAGATGAGGTTTCGCCATGTTTCCTGGGCTGGTCTCAAACTCCTGGACTCAAGCGATGTACCCACCTTGGCCTCCCAAAGTGGATTATAGGAATGGAGCCACTATGCCCAACCTTTACCTCTTTTATTTTTATTTGATTTTTTTTCTTTTGTGCTGAGTCTAGGGCAAGAATAAATTGTAAACTAGTATGAAATACATCTAATACATTCAAATTAAAGTATATAATATCTGAACAGTGTAATTTTTTTAAAGTGGTGTTTTTTGTTTAAAAGTAGACTTACTTGCAAAGTTGTATTTTGTGGTTTTTAGATCTTAGTATCCTAAAATTTGATATCCTAAAATTTAAGTTTTAAGTTTCCCTTAACCATCTCTACATAAATAATTGAATAACTGAAATCTTTCGAGTAATGATACACTTTACTTCTATTTGCCATTTTTTGACAAATTCTTAGCGTTGAAATAGGCCCATATATACTGTTTCCTATACATTTGTATGCTAAGTGGTATACTGATTATACTCTATGTTTTACATTTTAGTTTATTACAAATTGGCTTATTGTGTGCTGATATCTCTGTTTTGTGATTCTATACACCATAGGCTTATCTGAAGATTTTCATGCTAAAGATTCTAAACCTTCCTCTGACCCCCCTTGTATCATTGAGAAACTGTGTTCCTTACATGATGGCCTAGTTTTGGAAGCAAAGGGGATAAAGGAACATTTCTGGAAACCCTATATTAGGAAACTTTATGAAAAAAAGGTTTGTAAGTAGCAAAGAAATAACGTGAAAATGTTTTCTGGAGAAAAACTTGATTTAACATGACGACTTAAGGATCTCTTCTTTCATCATAGCTCCTTAAGGGAAAAGAAGAAAATCTCACTGGGTTTCTAGAACCTGGGAACTTTGGAGAGAGTTTGTGAGTACTTCTGTATAAAATGTTTTAATATTTTAAATTGTATACTTAGGAAACTTCAGAAGTTAGTGTTTTTATTGTTTGTACTCTGGAAACTGAGAATATGTTTTGTGAGAGAATACAGGGAAGCAAAAATTCTGTCACCTAAATATAAGCACACTTTTTAAATGTGTTCAAAATTGTATGGCTGTTTTTGAAGTTTCTTTAAGCTTCTGGATTATAAATTTTGAAATAAATTCTTTTGGAACTATATGGGTGAAAATTGATGATGTGTAAGTGTGGAAGTCTTCAGGGGTGCCTAGAGCAGCTAGACAGATAGTTAAGCTTCTCACCGGAAGTTGCACCTACCAGCAGCTGAAACACTGTCAGCAAAATACTTGTACTGTGTGATGGATGAGCTTGGGGATAGCAGGATTACATGTGATACTATCCAGTTTTTGTTTTGTTTTGTTTTTTGAGATGGAGTCTCGCTGTGTCGCCCAGGCTGGAATGCAGTGGCATGATCTCGGCTCACTGCAACCTCTGCCTCCCAGGTTCAAGCGATTCTTCTGCCTCAGCCTCCTGAGTAGCTGTGAATACAGGCACGTGCCACCATGCCCAGCTAATTTTTGTATTTTTAGTAGAGACAGGGTTTCACCATATTGGCCAGGCTGGTCTCAAACTCCTGACTTCGTGATCCACCTGCCTCAGCCTCCCAAAGTGCTGGGATTACAGACGGGAGCTACTGCACCCAGCTATACTATCCAGTTCTTATAACTACAAGTTACCCTACCAAAGTTTAACTTTCAAAAAACTATTAGAACTTTTAGTAAATAAAAAAATGAAATAATTAATTGAAATGGCAGTTCTGTGAGAGAGTACATTTTGTCTGTATTTGTTTTTCCTATAGTAAAGCCATCAATAAGGCCTATGAGGAGTATGTTTTATCTGTTGGGAATTTAGATGAGCGGATATTTCTTGGAGAGGATGCTGAGGAGGAAATTGGGACTCTCTCAAGGTGTCTGAACGCTGGTTCAGGAACAGAGACTGCTGAAAGGGTGCAGATGAAAAACATCTTACAGCAGCATTTTGACAAGGTGAGTTTAGCCATGCCAGAAGAGTAGAAATACAGGAGCAGGTAAGCCAGGGGTTCTTTTTTATTTTGGTAATTTCATGTTTGTGTTTTACTTGCCTACAGTATGAAGGAGAAAATTCTCATCATACTTCTCTTAATTGAAAAAGGTATCTCTATGATATTTGCTTTGTTAATATCAACTTTCATTCATTTTAGTGAGGTCTGAGAAAAAGAAATTAATATAAATTTAAACAAATGTGTCATGCTGATAATTGTTGGTTTTAAAAAGATGGGCCAGTAATATATGGTCTTATATGTAGTGAACATAGTGTAGGCATTTAGAAAGTGATAATTGACCTGACTGGGGCCTTCATTTAAGAGACTGGAGAAAATGAGGATCTACAGTCTTTAAGAAAATTCTTTTAAACTGAATTTCAGGACCACGTGGTATTATTTCAAACAGACACTTAGAGTGATGCAGGCCAAGAGTTTCCCTTCTGCTATGTGGTGGAACAGAAAACACCAAACTTCTGGCAAGTGCCACCAGGGAAACACTGGGTAATCCAAGGGCCAGTTCACCTGGAAGTGAGCTGCTTCAGACTTGAGACTGGTCTGCTTATTCATTCAACAGATATTCCTAAAGCATTTTATATGTCAGGTTGTGTCCTGGACACTGGAGATAAAGCAGTGAACAAAATAACCACGAGAACCCTGTTCTAAAGAAGCTTATATTCCAGTGTGGGGAGATGGACAGGAGATAAACAAGTAAATATATAGTATGTTGGGTGATGATAGATGAAGAAAATAGAGTAGTAATACAAAATATTGAGGGGAGGGGAGAATGGGATGGGTGGGCTGTGGTAGGTAAGGTGGTTGGGAACGGTGTCACACACCAGAAGTAAGTGAGGAAGCAAGCCATATGAATAGCTGGGTAAATGTATTTGAAGCTGAGAGCATAACAAATGCAAAGCCGTGAGGTTGGAACAGGATTAGCTTTTTGGAGGAACAGTGAGAATGCTAGTGTGGTAGGAATAGAGTGAGGGAAAAAGTGGTAAGAAGTGACGGGAGGCCAGGTGTGATGGCTCATACTTGTAATCCTAGCACATTGGGAGACTGAGGCAGAAGACTGCCTGAGCCCAGGAGTTCAAGACTAGTCTGGGCAACAAAGTGAGACCCCGTCTCTACATAAAATATTAATACAAAAAATAAGCTGGCCATGGTTGTGTCCACCTGTGGGCCCAGCTACTTGCGAGGCTGAGTTAGGAGGATTCGTTGAGCCCAGGAGTTCCAGGCTGCAGTGAGCCGTGATCGCGTCACTGCCCTCCAGCCTGGGTGACAGAGCAAGAGCCTGTCTTTAAAAAAAAAGAAAAGAAGAAGAAAAAGAAATGCAGGGAAGAGGGAACAAGAGAGCCAGACAGACCGTGTAGGCTTTGGAAGCCATCGTAAGGACTTTTGCTTCTGCTCTGATTGAGGTGAAAGCCATTAAGAGGGTTATTAAGAGGAGTGACTGATTTACATTTTTAAAGGTCTTCTGGGAAAGTGGGATTAGAGGCAAGGGTGGAAGTAGGGAGTTAAGAAGCTATTGGAATGATTCTGGCAATAGTTTATGGTGGCTTGCTTCAGAGAATGGTTTGTAGCTGGGCCATATTTTGGAGATGGCACCCACAGGATTTACCGAGGGTTTGTATCTAGGGTATGAGAAAAAGAGAACAGTGATGTCTCCAGTTGGGTGAATGATATAAAAGCTAAAATCCTGACAAGTGCCTGTAATGTTGTAAGTTATCTGGCCCTGGCTCTCTCTGAATTCATCTACTTTCCTCCCTCCTCACCCACTTATGCCACATTAACCTCCTTTTTTGTTCTTCAGATATGCCAGGCATGCCTGCAACACAAAGCCTTTGCCTTTGCAATTCCCTCTGCCTAAACTGTATTGCTTCAAGAGACTCATGTGGCTTCCTTCTCACTTCATTCTGGTCTCTGATAACCCAACTGCTATGTCAATAATAACCACAACATCCTCCCCAACCCTCAGGACTTCTTTTCCCCCTGACTCTGCTTGCTAGTGTTTCTCTTCGTATTTATCACTGTCTGACAGTAAGTAGGGAGGTAGGTAGAAAGAATTGTTTATTACCTGTCTCCTTGCATTAGAATATAAGCTTCACCAAGGCTGTGACCAGTGTTGTATGCAGCGCTTGGCACATAGTAGACATTCGGGGAACATTTACTACTGAAATTTATTAAGAGGGAAGAGCAAGTCTGGGGGAAGGGGAATCAAGAGTTAGGGTTATTAGCATGTTAAATTAGAGATGTCTTTTAAGCATCCTAGTAGAGAAGTTGAATAGACAGTTGAGGTATACAAGACCGGAGTTCACAGTTCACAGTAGAGGTTAGGGGTTGTGTATATATGTCCTGGGGTCATCAGGGTGGGTACAGATAGCTTTTTTTTTTTTTTTTTTTGAGATGGAGTCTCGCTCTGTCACCCAGGCTGGAGTGCAGTGGTGCAATCTCGGCTCACTGTGACCTCTGCCACCTGGGTTCAAGCGATTCTCCTGCCTCAGCCTCCTGAGTAGCTGGGATTACAGGTGCCTGCCACCATGCCCAGCTAATTTTTTGTATTTTTAGTAGAAACGGCATTTCACCATCTTGGCTAGTCTGGTCTTGAACTCCTGACCTCATGATCTTCCCGCCTCGGCTTCCTGAAGTGCTGGGATTATAGGCGTGAGCCACCATGCCCAGCCGTAGATGGCTTTTAAAGCTATAAAATGAGGAGGGATTACTTAGAGGTATGAATTGAGAGAGAATACAAGAGGACTAAGGACAAAGCTCAGGGTCACTCCAAATTTTGTAAGTCTTCATTTGGAGATGGAACATCCTAATATTTTTAAGATACCGACTTAATATTTGCACCCAAGTTAAAGATTCCTCTTGATCAGAATGAACAGGAAGCTTTAAGCTAAGCACAGTGCTACCAAGAAGCACCATGTTGACCTTGAGGACTCTGGCAGGAAGCTGTTTGTGGTTGTCACACCTAGTTTCCTCTGTGAAACTACTGCTGCCTGTGGGTGATGTGGTTATATGCTGCTGGCTGCTGTTGATTCTCCTGTTTGTGTACAAGGTGTTTTTCCCTCCCAGTGCCTCCCAATGTAGGCATCGGTTCATGCACAGTGAAGTAGTTGGCTGCAAGAAACCTTGTAAGGCAGGGAGCAGCCTTTTGAATGCAATAATCTACCCAAATCATTTTATTGACTTAATTATAGAATGAATTTCTTTGAAACAAAGTGAAAGTCTTAGTTGTATTACACTTTAAGACATAGAGAAAACATGTAGGTTTGTTTCTGTATACAGTAAATTTCTGTGCTTTTCTATATCTTATGAAACTTGAATAGTTGGCTCTGTTGCCAGGTGAAAGTTTTGCTAGGTTTTTTAAAAAATTAGAATAAGTACATTTAATACACAGGGAAATTTTATCTTGAATATTAAAAGACATTGTTAAGCTATCTTAACCTTTCAGAGTTTATTTGAAAAATCAGAAAGATGTTTTACTGGCTCCTTTGACACCAAGTCACATCTTCTCCATATTTATTGTCAAGAATGTTGACTTTAACTTATTTCTCTGAAGACCTGTCTACCTTAGGGGGAGAACCTGTGATAGATTCTGGTAACCAAAGGTAGAGGAGGGGCAGGAAGACCAATGAAGGCTGTTCTGCATCAAGTTGCCTTTTTAGGGAATGTTCAACTTATTATCTGTCTCTGAAGCAAATTTGAATATTTGGATGGTGGGTGTATTAATTCATTTTAACGCTGCTGATAAAGACATGCCCAAAACTGGGAACAAAAAGAGGTTTAATTGGACTTACAGTTCCACATGACTGGGGAGTCCTCAGAATCATGGTGTGAGGCGAAAGGCACTTCTTAGGTGGCGGTGGCAAGAGAAAAATGAGGAAGAAGCAAAAGTGGAAACCCCTGATAAGGCCGTCAGATCTCGCGAGACGTATTCACTATCACAAGAATAGAACGGGAAAGACTGGCCTCCATAATTCAATTACCTCCCACTGGGTGCCTCACACAGCACATGGGAATTCTGGGAAATACAATTCAAGTTGAGGCTTCGATGCAGACATAGCCAAACCATATCAGTAGGCTTTTGTTAAATCATGGATTTTTTTTGGAACCAAATTTAATCACAATTTTCTTTTATCTTTGAGTGTCTGCAAAAATAGCAGTAGATGGGAATTGTGAAATTCTGTTTCTCAGAGCTGAGAATAATCTTAATTTTTCAGGTGAGCAGAATGCTTATCTTTGCCTCCGAGCATAAGTTTTACAAGAGGGAATGTAGGGAGCTGTACCTTATTTTAGAGTTTTAACTTTTAAGAGACAAACTTTTAGTTAGCTAAAATACAAATTATTCTTTCACACCTTCGTCTTCACATGGATATTGGCGGCTCTTAATGCTGTTATGTTTAAATTCCAAGAATGGTGACATTTGAGTCACTAAAATTTATTGATATTGTAAAGATAAAGTCTTACTGGCTTGAAGTCCCATTTGTGAAGTGAATTAAAGTCTTTCTGGCCTAAAATAATGTTCTTTAAAAAATGTTTATTAATTCTGTGTAATTTTTTTTTTCTTTAGTCCAAAGCACTTAGAATCTCCACACCACTAACTGGTGTTAGGTACATTAAGGAGAATAGCCCTTGTGTGACTCCAGTTTCTACAGCTACGCATAGCTTGAGTCGTCTTCACACCATGCTGACAGGCCTCAGGAATGCACCAAGTGAGAAACTGGAACAGATTCTCAGGTTAGTTTGAGCCCTGTCTGCTTTCTAAGATTTGGTTATTGACCATTTTCCAATTTCCTATTCTTTCATTATTAATGCCTTAATTCACCCATGAATAATTTTTTATCAATTGTATACTCAGTCCTGTTGTGAGTCTATAGAGGACCTAGCAATAAGATGTATAAGTGGAAGATCTTCTTTCCTTAGATTTCTTTAATATAATACAAGACACAGTAACTAATAACACCAGACAGTGTAGAGTAAAACACAAAAGTGTCTTATTGCCAACTGTTCTTTCAAGATTTCAGGGAGTGGTGAGGTGGGGGCGGGGGGAAGCTCAGTGATGATGGGAATTGTCAAAGGACTTTATGAAGAGGGTTGAACCTGAGGTAAGTTCTGAAGGGTGACTCAGATTTGAAAAGATTAATAGAGTTCCACATGTTCATAAAGCAGGACAAAAACCACTGTAACTTTTGTAAGCTCTATAAAACATCCTTATCCTGGAAAGGAAGTTCACTGCATTTAGTTCCTTTGATCTCCCTGAGACTGGTAGGAATATCATTGAGTTTTAATTAAAAGCCCAGTAGGCTGAATCTCATCATCTTATGCATAACCTTTGGCAAGTTGATTTGAAAAGTTACCTCCAAGGTCCCTCTCAGTCCTAAAACCTTATGATATGATAACGTAGACCCAAAAGGACCCCATTTTATTTCTGATGATGGTATATCAAGAAGACCCTATATGTACACATAAGTAATTTCCCACTCATAGCCAGGCTTCTTAAATGCCAACTACTTTTCCTTTACATTTTAGTGAAGTCTGCTTTATTCATAAACTTGATTGTGATTTATACTCAACAAGTTATATCTCTGTGGCCTCTTCCTGAGTCATGTTTTTCAGATGCACCTTGTTTGCCTTGAATTTAGAAGCATTTCGTAAATACATTTCAGAAGCCATCTTAATCTCTGTGTCTTCCAGATCGCTTTACAGTTTCTAACTAGGCATAACAGCATTTTAAATCTTAGGTACCATTAGTGGGGTTAAATAAATATTACCAGTAAATACTAGGTAAAATAAAGGGTGCTATTTTTGTTGAAAGGTATGTGTGTGTGTGTTCCCAGAAAAATTCTGCTTGTATATGTATTCAGTAGTTATCTCTAGCAGGACTGTAATTGATTTTTATTCTCTTTATAATTTTTTAAACTTGCTTCATTTTCACAAAGAATATGTATATAATTATATATATATTTGTGATCAAGATAAAAACAGTTGTTACAAAAAGCTTACATGGTGATAATTTGTATAATGCTTCTGGATTGAACATATATTGCTTTCTAATAATAGAAAGACTGAAGTAAACCTCGTTGGCGGGAAAAAAATGTAGAATGCCAGGAACAGTTTATGTGAGTCTGTAGTATGGGTTTTACACCCCTTCATTCTATTTTCTTCCAGGTGTTCTTAATGGGAGTTTTACTGTCCTCTAGGGAAATAGTTAAGGGCAAGTTTGGGATAATCAGTGACTGGGGATGTGTAGGACAGGTGGGGGACAGTCATAGATATCGAATGGGCCCAGGCCAAGGTTGCTAAACTTCCTGCACTGAAAGGTGTATCCCCGGCCGGGCGAAGTGGCTCATTCCTGTAATCCTAACACTTTGGGAGCCTGAGGCAAGTGGATCACTTGAGGCCAGGAGTTCGAGACCAGCCTGGCCAACATGGTGAAACCCCATCTCTACTGAAAATACAAAAATTAGCTGGGCGTGGTGGCAGGTGCCTGCAGTTCCAGCTACTTGGAGGCTGAGGCAGGAGAATCACTTGAACCTGGGAGGTGGAGGTTGCAGTGAGCCAAGACTGCATCACTGCATTCCATCCTGGGTGAAAGAGCGAGACTCTGTCTCAAAAAAAATATATATATATAAAATAAAAGGTGTAGCTCCCACAAGAAAAGTTTTTTTTTTTTTCATTCAAACTGGTAATACCACCACCTTTGAAAAGGAAGTATGGGATCTCTTGGATTAATTTGGGAAGTGTATAGTTTCTGTTCAGAGTGTTTTATATTTACATGTTAGTGAAATTATAGAAACATTTTATCCCCTTGTGACTTGACAAGACCTTTAAATTATGTTATTTCTCATTACCTTTTTTAGGACATGTTCCAGAGATCCAACCCAGGCTATTGCTAACAGACTGAAAGAAATGTTTGAAATATATTCTCAGCATTTCCAGCCAGACGAGGATTTCAGTAATTGTGCTAAAGGTAAGGTTTAACATTGTTATTCTGCTTTTATGTTTGAAGTTTAACTAAATGGAGTCATTTCTTACTAACTAAGAAAGATGAGGAAAAGATTTATGACTTTAGACTGAAGGCTAGGATATGGCTGTCCAATTTTTCTGGTCAACCAACTGATTTCTGAGCCCTTCTCAGTAAGATAGAAATTTTAGAATGGTATCTTTATTATATTGGACTTCTGATGCTTTTTTATCTGCAAATCTTTAGGTTTTTTTTGTAAACTGGAAATTAAATAGAAGTGTAGTGATTCTTCAACATATTGAGAATAAGGACAGGAGATATCACTGTTATGGGCCCAAACCTGGCCTAGGAATTGTTTGCTGTCAGGAATTGGAACTAAGTAGGTGTGGACTAGTAAGCCAATTACATACCTCTTAGCATTGGTCTGTTTTGTTCAAACATAGAGGAAAAAAAAGGGTGTTAGTCTTAAATGATATTACAGTTCCTTATGTGCAAATTTCATTTAATAATTTTAGAAAAATGTGACTGTTACCATGAAGAAAATTAAGGTATCTTAGGGATAATTAAAACACCAATCATAAGAAGTGTGCATATCTAAAGTATTGGGTTGGTTTTGAATTTTATTTTGTGAGTAAAGGAGGAGGAATGGGCCTTTATTTTCTTTGTGTGCCATTTTTGTGGGGTTTTTTTTTTTATTATTTCTACAGAAATTGCCAGCAAACATTTTCGTTTTGCGGAGATGCTTTACTATAAAGTATTAGAATCTGTTATTGAGCAGGAACAAAAAAGACTAGGAGACATGGATTTATCTGTGAGTAAAATAACCAATGTATTGATCAGCGCAATGAAACATAATTTCCTTCCTGCCCTATTCTGTGGGTTGTTTTTTTTACTTTATATATAGTCTCCTTTCATACACAAAAGTTTTTAATTTTGATGAAATCCAATATATTTTTTCACTAGTTGCCTGTGCTTTTGTTTTATGTATGTATGTATGTATGTATTTACCTATTTGAGATGGAGTCTTGCGCTGTCGCCAAGGCTGGAGTGTAGTGGCACGATCTCGGCTCAATGCAACCTCCGCCTCCTGGGTTCAAGCAATTCTCCTGCCTCAGTCTCCCAAATAGCTGGGATTATAGGCATGTGCCACCATGCCCAGCTCATTTTTGTATTTTTCGTAGAGATGGGGTTTTGCCATGTTGGCCAGGCTGGTCTTGAACTCCAGACGTCAGGTGGTCCGCATGCCTTGGCCTCCCAAAGTGCTAGGATTACAGGCGTGAGCCACCGCACCTGGCCTGTTGCCTGTGCCTTTGGTGCTTCAGTAGCTTTTAATTAAAAAATAATAATTATTGACAATGTTGGAAAATTATAAGCAAAAAGAACAAAATAAAAATCATCTATGATTAATGTCATCCTATGATAAACATATTCACTTTTGGTACATGGTCATCTAGCCAGTCACCTGCCTGCCTGCCTTTCTGTTTTTTTGGGTTTGTTGTTGAGACAGAGTCTCACTCTCTTGCCCAGGCTAGAGTGCAGTGGTGCAATCTCGGCTCACTGCAACCTCTGCCTCCCAGATTCAAGTGATTCTTGAACAGTGTTGCCTGGGCTGGTCTCAAACTCTGGACCTCAGGTGATCTGCCTGCTTCGGCCTTCCAAAGTGCTGGAATTACAGGTATGAGCCACCTGCCTGGCCCCTTTCAATATTTTTTTTTCCTTTTTTTTTTTTTTTTTTTTTTTTGAGCCAGAGTTTCGCTCTTGTTGCTCAGGCTGGAGTGCAGTGGTGCAACGTCGGCTTACTGCAACCTCTACCTCCTGGGTTCAATTGCTTCTCCTGCCTCAGCCTCTGAGTAGCTGGGACTACAGGTGTGTGCCACCACACCTGGCTAATTTTCTATTTTTAGTAGAGATGGGGTTTCACCATGTTGGTCAGGCTGGTCTCAAACTCCTGACGTCAGGTGATCTGCCCACCTTGGCCTCCCAAAGTGCTGGGATTACAGGCGTGAGCCACTGCGCCCGGTCCCCCTTTCAGTTTTTTATAGCACTTACTGTAAATACTGTTTTGAAACATCTTTCCCTGTCATTGTTCTTCTAAGCATCAGTGTGTGTGTGTATTTTGGTTAGAGATGTAATCTCTTTTAAGATACATTTTATAATAGGTAAGGTTTTAAAATTCTCATACATTCCTTTTATATATTTCCTCTACTAAAAAATGGGCTTTATTTATATAATTAAGAAAGGTTTTGTAAGAAAATAAGGACACACTTTGCACTCACTCAGAAAATGAGACTTTCTTTGGTATTTTCACTTAAGTTCACTGGGTATGAAATGACTTTTTAGACTAAGTAAATGTTTCTAATGCTAATAACTTTATTTTATAGGGTATTCTGGAACAAGATGCGTTCCACAGATCTCTCTTGGCCTGCTGCCTTGAGGTCGTCACTTTTTCTTATAAGCCTCCTGGGAATTTTCCATTTATTACTGAAATATTTGATGTGCCTCTTTATCATTTTTATAAGGTATTTTTAAAAATATGATACTAATGGGGATATTGTAGATGAGACCAACTTCCTGTTGTTAGTCATTTAGTTCAAGTTAACATCTAAGAACATTTATTCTGTTTTTATTTACATAGTTAATCTCTATTTGTGGAGTAGAAAAGAAATAGAATCTTAAGACCTATGTAAATTCTTTTAATATTGTATGAAAGATCTATTTTGGGTAAAAGCTTTGATTCCTCTCTATCTAATAAAAGTTTTTAGAATACTGTGATTTTTATGAGCTGAGAAGGCTTAAAAAAAGTAGCACACATGTCACTAGCTAATCTTGTATAGCAGCCTTTTTTTATTTTATGAAAATTAAATACCATTGAAAATGTCAGAAAAAAAATAAAAAGTTCTCTTTCATGTGTTACAGAGAGGCATAGAGTTAAAGCATTGATTTGGTAGCTAGTTCTTTTTTTTTTTTGAGATGGAGTCTTGCTCTGTCGCCCAGGCTGGAGTGCAGTGGCGCCATCTCAGCTCACAGCAAGCTCCACCTCCTGGGTTCACGCCATTCTCCTGCCTCAGCCTGCCGAGTAGCTGGGACTACAGGCGGCCGCCACCACACCCGGCTAATTTTTTGTATTTTTAGTAGAGACGGGGTTTCACCGTGTTAGCCAGGATGGTCTCGATCTCCTGACCTCGTGATCTGCCCGCCACGGCCCCCCAGAGTGCTGGGATTACAGGCTGGTAGCTATTTCTTGATACTGACTTAGCATATGAGTTTATCTTAACTCTCATAAGATAGTCAAAACTAATTTTTATAGTGGCATAGATTAAATGTTTAGAGATTTTTATATGAAATTTTAAGAGTAATGTTTTTCAACCTCAATGTACAAAACATGTATTTTCATTAAAAAATTTTGAAATACATCACAATGTAAACCATTTTATATAATTCATAGTTTGAACTATAATTATTTACAAAGACAGTAAAAGGAAGAGCGGCTGTTTCAAAATAATACTTCAACTTGTAATTTTGACTAATTTCTTGTCTAAATATTTAAAAATATTTAATAATTATTCAGTGAACCAAGACATTTTTTATTTCAGGTGATAGAAGTATTCATTAGAGCAGAAGATGGCCTTTGTAGAGAGGTGGTAAAACACCTTAATCAGATTGAAGAACAGATCTTAGATCATTTGGCATGGAAACCAGAGTCTCCACTCTGGGAAAAAATTAGAGACAATGAAAACAGAGTTCCTACATGTGAAGAGGTTTGTGAAAATAACATCTTTTTATGAGAAAAATACATCAATATCTAATCTATTAATAATCCTTTTGGGGATGGGAGGGTGGCAATTAGGTTTAATATGTTATAATTACACCTTGTTATGAGAAAAATCTTGGACTGTAACGTCCCTCTCTACCCACAAATTGGGAAGGTGCCAAGAGACCAAAGAATGACTCAGACAAGTCCAGCTTGGTAAGTAGATAACGTTTATTAAGACTTACATATGGAGGAGGCAGAGGTGGTGGGGAAAAATAAAAGACTTATATACAGGGTACTCCTAGGTAGCAGCAGGACAGCTCTAGAGATCCTCGCCACCTCCCATCGCTAAGCTGCTTTTAAGCTAATTTTCTGGCTCTTTGCCTACTATGTGTGTGCACGATGGGACTGTTTTCCTTGGTAGTTTCTCAGATCTTCTCTGGGATGTTGGGGTTCTCAGGGACACCTGTTCCTTGGCTGGGCACCATGGCCTTGGCTCACTGCCTAGCCTTCAGGGTTTAGGCAGCAGACATACACCCTTAAGTAAGGTAGGTGACCTGTCACATTTCACCCCATGTCAAAGAGGAAACGAGTCAGATAATTTGTGGTTGTCCTAAGATTTTGGTGACAGAGTAAAAATTCAGTGTTCTTTCTTGATTTCCTTACCAAGTTTCTTTCCCATAGAGCAGTGGTCCAACCTTTTTGGCACCAAGGACCAGTTTCATGGAAGACAATTTTTCCATGGACAGGGTTGGGGGTTGGAGAGATTTTGGGATGATTCAACTGCCTTACATTTATTGCACACTTTATTTCTATTATTATTACGTGGTAATATATAATGAAATAATTATACAACTCACCAAAATGTAGAGTCAGTGGGAGCCCTGAGCTTGTTTTCCTGCAACTAGATGGTCCCATCTGGGGGCGGTGGGAGACAGTGACAGATCAGCAGGCATTAGATTCTCATAAGGAGCATGCAACCTAGATCCCTTATGTGTGCAGTTCACAATAGGGTTCACACTCCTGTGAGAATCTAATGCCACCACTAATCTGACAGGAGGCCAGCACAGGCGGCAATGTGAGCGATGGGGAGCAGCTTTAAATACAGATGAAGCTTTGCTCGCATGCTCACTTGCCTGCTGCTCACCTCCTGCTATGTTGCCCAGTTCCTAACAGGGTCCATGGCCCAGGGGTTGGGGACTCCTGCTTTAGAGTGGTTGATATTCAAACTCTCCAAACCAGTAATGAAGTTTGACTCATATTTAGTATCCAATTACAAGGTTTTGAATTTTTTGACTGCCAAAAGTTTTTTTTTTAACTTTATTATTAAAATGGGAAAGACAGCTGATTTTATTTAGATGGAATAATTGTTAAGATACTTTTTCTGCCTTAGATTACTATTGTATTTGTAATTAAAGTGCTTTTTTGGATACTGGCATTCTGTGTAACCAATTCTTCATAGGTCATGCCACCTCAGAACCTGGAAAGGGCAGATGAAATTTGCATTGCTGGCTCCCCTTTGACTCCCAGAAGGGTGACTGAAGTTCGTGCTGATACTGGAGGACTTGGAAGGAGTAAGTTTAAAATACTAGGAGAATATTTTGGGGCTTACTATCTGGAAATTTAAATTTCATCTAACCCTACAAGTGAAGTTAATAGGGTATACATAGAAGAAAATATTCTATGCATTTTTGTACCACATGGATCACTTAAAAGAAGGGCCTTTAAAGACTAAGAACACAGGAAAATGCATGATATAACAGGTATCTTTTAAAAAGGATAGACTGCTTTATTTATTTATTTATTTATTGAGACAGAGTCTTGCTCTGTCACTCAAGCTGGAGTGCAGTGGCCCAATCTCAGCTCACTGCAACCTCTGCCTGCCGGGTTCAAGCGATTCTCATGCCTCAGCCTCCTGAGTAGCTGGGACTACAGGCATGCGCCACCACGCCTAGCTAATTTTTGTATTTTTAGTAGAGAAGGGGTTTTGCCATATTGGCCAGGCTGGCCTTGAACTCCTGACCTCAAGTGATCCGCCTACCTCGTTCTCCCAAAGTGCTGGAATTACAGGCATGAGGCACCGTGCCCGGCTGACTGCTGTATATTTAATATGATCCCTATTTTTAAAGTGTATGTTTATTTATGAGCATACAAAATAGTGGAAATGGAAAAACCAAACTGTTAAGATCATTGTTGGGTGATAGAATTCCTGGTGATTTCTGTAAAATTTTTAAGGCAAATACATATTACTTTTAAAATCAGAAATAGAAAAGCCTTCTTAAAGATAGAGCTGCATGATCCAGTTAGGTATAGACAAGCCAGTGAGTTAAGACAACTGAGTATGTTCCACTTTGTTGAGCTGTGCTACCCTAGTTAATGTGACATTAGTGCTGGCCCAAGAAATACAGAAAAGGGCAGTTTTGCTATCTATCTGGTTTGTATTTTTTAGGCAGCTGCTTAGAAGATCTGCAAGGTGAAAGGTTTTAGTTTACATATGTGAGATAGAACTACTTTTTTAAAGAGCAATTCAGTAAATCCAGAGAGTTCTAAATCCTTGGATCCAATTAAAAGAATATTCTTATTTCTAGATCAGTTTTATAATGTAATTGATAAGAACTGGCTATAGAAGGAATACCAGTTTTAAAGTCAGGATTCACTCTAGGCTGGGCATGGTGGCTCATGCCTGTAATCCCAGCACTGTGGGAGACCTAGTGGGGAGGATCACTTGAGCCCCGGAGTTCAAGACCATCCTGGGCAACATAGCAAGATACCATCTCTACCCCCAACCCCCCCAAAAAAATCACTCTAAGTGTATACTTAATACACATGGATGATCCTTATGAAAAGTCCTCATTTTTGAAAGATCTGACAGCTGGTCTTTCTTAGTCTATTTTTGTAGAATTTTCCGTTCCCTAATCTACAGATTAGGAAGACTTGACTTTAAACTTCATTTTCTTTGTACTTACCACTTCTCAGTTTTCCTGAGATCTCTTGATATTTTATAAGAAAAAATGATCATAATCTATTCTTTCTGATTCTGCAGCTTTGTACCAAATACAAATCTAGTAAGTTTATTTACTTTTGTATCATCTGGAAATAGAAATGTTAAGCCACAGTTTGTTAGGATTTACTCCTATCAGTACTTCTTACAAACTTTCTATGTATATTTTAAATTTTAAAAACACTCTGATGCACAGCTCTTAGAAGTGGACACAGAAGAAGGAAGAAATGCTTCTCAAAAATTCAGACATTGGTGTGAATACTTAAAAATAGACTAAGCCATAATGGGTTGTGTACCACTGAATCATACACTTAAAAATGGTTGAATGGTAAATTTTATGTTATATATATAACCACAATTTTAAAAAACTAGCCTGTAATACCAGCATTTTGGGAGGCCAAGGCGGGTGGATCACCTGAGGTCAGGAGTTCGAGACCAGCCTGGCCAACATGGTGAGACCTCATCTCTACTAAAAATACAAAAATTAGCCATGCCTTGTGGCATATGCCTCTAATCCCAGTTACTTGGGAGGCTGAGGCACAAGAATCACTTAAACCCAGGAGGCAGAGGTTGTAGTGAGCCGAGATCAGGCTACTGCACTCCAGCCTGGGTGATAGAGTAAGACTCTGTCTCAAAAAATAAAAAAAATAGTAACAATTTGCCCCAAACCATTGAATTGTATAATTTAAGTAGATGAAATTTATGGTATATAAACTGTTTTAAAAAAATAAATTATGCTTAACTGAATCCAAATCATGCATGTCCACCTTGCTTAAGAACATTATTGAGTTTTAATAATTTTTTATATGTGGAAAAAGACAGAGATCAAAATTGATAAAACCGGTGGCGGAATGCTCCTAGATGACATACTACCAATCAGGTCCCCTTATCAAGTAGTGGCTCTGTAGTAAAATCACATCTTACATGAGTGGTAGGTAGAAAGTGGATATGATAGAAAATATTATAGAAAAATATAATATAGAAAAATAGGGTAATTCCTTAAATTGCCCCTAAATCATGAAGGTTCTTTAGTAGTGGAAGACAGAGTCAGGTCTGATTTGGGAAAGGGGGCGTGGAGAAAGGAACACTGCAAGACAAAAAATTCCGTTTTAAAATTTTGCTCTCAGTAGTGTTCACTGAACACGAATGAAAGTTCACTAATGAATATAGGTAAGATATGACTTCTGTAATTCTTGTTTGCTTTTTGAATTATGAAGTATTTCAAACACTGTAGTTATTTTTTAACATAAGAGCTTGGACGGAAGTCAGATCTGAGTCTCCTTGAGTTAAATGCTTTGTTTGATTTGTTTTGACCCTAGGCATAACATCTCCAACCACATTATACGATAGGTACAGCTCCCCACCAGCCAGCACTACCAGAAGGCGGCTATTTGTTGAGAATGATAGCCCCTCTGATGGAGGGACGCCTGGGCGCATGCCCCCACAGCCCCTAGTCAATGCTGTCCCTGTGCAGAATGTATCTGGGGAGACTGTTTCTGTCACACCAGTTCCTGGACAGACTTTGGTCACCATGGCAACCGCCACTGTCACAGCCAACAATGGGCAAACGGTAACCATTCCTGTGCAAGGTAAGGAAGGCAGAGTTGGATATTGAGTTCCTTCTCTGTGGCATGTATTGAAAAGTTACCCGAGGTTTGGCTAGAGTGACATAGGGGACAGAGGAGTGATGGGGAGAGAGGGTTTGGGAGAGCAGAAATTGTAAACCTCTGCCCGGAGAACCTCTTATTATCAACATTTTCTTCATGCTTTTTTTCTCTGTCACTAGGTATTGCCAATGAAAATGGAGGGATAACATTCTTCCCTGTCCAAGTCAATGTTGGGGGGCAGGCACAAGCTGTGACAGGCTCCATCCAGCCCCTCAGTGCTCAGGCCCTGGCTGGAAGTCTGAGCTCTCAACAGGTGACAGGAACAACTTTGCAAGTCCCTGGTCAAGTGGCCATTCAACAGATTTCCCCAGGTGGCCAACAGCAGAAGCAAGGCCAGTCTGTAACCAGCAGTAGTAATAGACCCAGGAAGACCAGCTCTTTATCGCTTTTCTTTAGAAAGGTAATTTTTCACATACCTTATCAGAGCATGAGCTTGGGAAATACAAGTGTTAAACAAAGTTTGAAATGTTTTTATCTCCTAGGTATACCATTTAGCAGCTGTCCGCCTTCGGGATCTCTGTGCCAAACTAGATATTTCAGATGAATTGAGGAAAAAAATCTGGACCTGCTTTGAATTCTCCATAATTCAGTGTCCTGAACTTATGATGGACAGACATCTGGACCAGTTATTAATGTGTGCCATTTATGTGATGGCAAAGGTGAGTACCATTTGGAATTGTAAAGGCAAAGATAGGTCTTCATTACTGAGAACATTTTTTAACCACTGTCTTGAGATACAGTTTACATGCTCTATAATTCACCTATTTAAAATGCACAACTAAATGGGTCTTAGTATATTCACAGATATGTGCAATACTCACCACAATTTTAGAACATAATATTCCATTGTATAGTTATATGAGAGTATTTTTATCCATTTATTAGCTAATGTATATTTTAGTTGTTTCTACTTTTGGCATATATGCATAATACCACTATTAGCATTTGTGTTTGGGTTTTTGTATAGACATGTATTTTCATTTCTCTAGGGTATATACCTAGGAATGGGCTGCTGGGTCATACATTAACTGTGTTTTAACTATTTAGGGAATTGCTAGATTGTTTTCCAAAGTACTGTACCATTTTACACTTACACAGCAGTATAATAAAGATTTTAGTTTCTCCACTATCTCATTAACACTTACTATCTTACTTTGTTTAAATAACTTATTGAGGAGAAATTCACATAACATAAAATTAATTGGGTTTTTCTTTTTTTTTTTGAGATGTTGTTTCATTCTTGTCACCCAGGCTGGAGTGCAGTGGTGCATCTCAGCTCACTGCAACCTCTGCCTCCCAGGTTCAAGCGATTCTCCTGTCGTAGCCTCCCGAGTAGCTGGGATTACAGCCATGTGCCACCATGCCTGGCTAATTTTTGCATTTTTAGTAGAGATGGGGTTTGACCATGTTGGCCAGGCAGGTCTCAAACTCCTGACCTCAGGTGATCTGCCCACCTCGGCCTCCCAAAGTGCTGGGATTACAGGCATGAGCCACTGGGCCCAGCCAAATTAACTATTTTAAGTTGAACAATTTAGGAGCATTTAGCACATTTACAGTACTAAGTGTAATAAATGGTTGTATACTCACCACCTCTGTCTAGTTCCAGAACATTTCCGTACCTGCAAAGTAAAACTCCTTTCCTATTAAGTAGTTTCTCCCCATTCTACCTCCCACAGCACCTGGCAACCAGCAGTTGGCATTCTGGCTGTATGGATTTATCTGTTCTTAATCGTTTATAGAAATGGTACAATATGTGACCTCTTGTGTATGGCTCCTTTTACTTAGGATAATATTTTCCAGGTTTACCCATGTTGCAGCATGTATCAGTACTTCATTCCTTTTTATGACTGAATGATATTCCATTGTATGGATAGGCACAATTTTTTTCTCCACTCATACACTGATGGATATTTGGGCTGTTTCCAACTGTTGGCTATAGTGAATAGCACTGTTGTGAACAGGTATATCATGTACCTGTTTGAGTGCCCATTTTCAGTCCTTTTGAGTTTATTCCTAGGAGTGGAACTGCAGGGTCATATGGTGATACTATGTTTAACTTTTTTGAAGAACCACCGTACCATTTTCCACAGAAGCTGCACCATTTGACATTGCTACCAGTAATGCACAAGAGTTCCAGTTTCTCCACATCCTTGCCAACTTATTATTTTTATTATAGCCATCTTAGCGGGTATTGGGTGATATATCATTGTGGTTTTGATTTTCATTTGCCTGATAACTAAGGATGTCAAGCATCTTTTCATGTGCTTACTGGCCATTTGCATATCTTATTTGGAGAAATATCTTTAAATCCTTTGCCCATTTTAAAATTATGTTATTATTGAGTTGTTGGAATTCTTTATTTTGGATACAACTACCTTCTCAGATGTATGATTTGCAAATATTTTCTCCCATTCGGTGTATCTTTTCACTTACTCGATAGTGTCATTTGAAGCATAAAAGTTTTTAATTTTGATGAAGTCCAGTTACCTGTTTTTTGGTTTGTTACTTGCACTTTGGGTGTCCTAAGAATCCATTACCAAACCCAAGGTCTTTTGATTTTTATAGTTTTATCTCATAGTTAGGTCTTTGATCAATTTTGAGTAATTTTTGTGTATGGTATGAGGTAGCAGTCCATTTCCATTCTGATTATGTGGTTGTGCAGTTGTCTCAGCACCATTGTTGAAAAGAAGATTTTTTTCCTCACTGAATGGCCTTGGTACCCTCCTTTAAAATCAATTGACCGTTGACAACATTTGGGTTTATTTCTGAACTCTAAATTCTATTCCACTGGACTATATGCCTATCCTTATGCAATACCATATTCTCTAGATTAGAGAGTTGCTTTCTTATAAGTTTTGAAATTGGGAAATATGAGTGCTCCTACTTTTTTTTTCTTTTCAAGATTATTTTCGAAGTCCCTTGAAAAATGAATTTTAGAATCAAATTATCAGTTTCACAAAGGAATAAGCTAGGATTCTGATAGGGTTGCACTGAATCTGTAGATCCATTTGGGGAGTATTGCCATCTTAACAATTTTATATCTTCTGATCCATGAACATAGGATGTTTTTCCATTTATTTAGATCTTCTGTTTTTTTTTCAACAATGCTTTGTACTTTTCAGAGTATGTTTGCAATTCTTTTGTTAAATTTATTCCTATTCTTGTTGATGCTATTCCAAGTGTAGTTGTTTCATTGTTAACGTGTTCATTGCAAGTGTATAGAAAAACACTTTTGTATATTGATCTAGTATCCAGCAACTTTGCAGAAGTTATTAGTTCTAATAGTTTTCTAGTAGATTCCTTAGGATTACTATGTAGGAAATCATGTAATCTGCTTATAATTTTACTTCTTGTCCAAACTGGATGCCTTTTATTTCTTTTTCTTTCCTAATTATCTTGCTAGAACTTCCAGTATAGTTGAACAGAACTGTCGAAAGCAGAAATCCTTGTCTTGATCTTAGGTGGAAAGCATCTAGTTTTTCACTATTAAAGTATGATAGTAGTTATGGTTTTTTTCATAGATGCCCTTTATCAGGTTGAGGAAGTTCCCTTCTTTTCTTAGTTCATTGAGTGTTTTTTTTATCATGAAAGGGCATTAGATTTTGTCAAATGCTTGTGTGTCCATTGAGATGATCGTGTGCTTATTTTTTTTATTCTATTAATATAGTATATTACACTGATTAATCTTCCTATGTTAAACCAGCCTTGCATTTCTGGTGTAAATCCCTCTCAGTCATGGTGTGTAAGTCTTATTTTTTTCTTTTTTTGAGACAGTGTCTCGCTCTGTTACCCAGGCTAGAGTGCAGTGGTGAGATCATAGCTCACTACAAGCAGTCCTCCCACCTTCATCTCCTGAGTAGCTGGGACTACAGGTACATGCTGCCATGCCTGGCTAATTTTTTAAATTTTTTGTAGACAGGGTCTACCTTGTTGCACAGGCTGGTCTCGAACTCCTAAGCTCAAGCAGTCCTCATGCCTCAGCCTCCCAATGTGTTGGGATTATAGGCGTGAGCCACTGCACCCGGCTGCTGTAATTCTTTTATTTATTTATTTATTTATTTATTTATTTTGAGATGGAATTTCGCTCTTGTTGCCCAGGCTGGAGTGCAGTGGCGAGATCTTGGCTCACCGCAACCTCCGCCTCCCAGGTTCAAGCAATTCTCCTGCCTCAGCCTCCCAAGTAGCTGGGATTACAGGCATGTGCCACCACCCCTGGCTAATTTTGTATTTTCAGTAGGGACGGGGTTTCTCCATATTGGTCAGGCTGGTCTCAAACTCCCAACCTCAGGTGATCCACCTGCCTCGGCCTCCCAAAGTGCTGGGATTATAGGCGTGAGCCACGGTGCCCAGCCTATAATTCTTTTTATATGTTGCTAGGTTTGGTTTGCCAACAGTTTGTTGAGGAATTTGTTTTCAGTTAAAAAAAATATTTATTTTTTCAAGTTTCCACATGCAGCAGTGATTGCTAAGGAATTTTATCCTTATGCATAAGAGGCATTGGTCTGTAGTTTTCTTGTTGTGGCTTTGTCTGGTTTTATTATCAGGGTAATAATGGTCTCATAGAATTGAGTAGGAAGTGTTCTCTTCTATATTTAGGTATTATATTTTTTCCTTTGCCTTTTTTTTTAATTTACAGCTGCCTGAAAGACCCATGGATATGAGCTTCTTGGTATTAATGTTTTAAAGTTTGGTAGAATTCAGCAGCGAAGCTGTTGAGACCAGAGATTTTCCTTGTGGGAAGTTTATTGGTGAATAATTCCGTCTCTTATTTGTTATAGGTCTATTCAGATCATCTGTTTCTTCTAGAATCAGTTGTGGTAGTGTATGTCTTTCTAAGAATTTGTCTGTTTCCTCTGGGCTAAATTGTTGGCAAATAATTATAATATTTCCTTCTGTTCTTTTTTATTCTTTAAGGTCAGTAGTAATGTCCTTTTCCTTTTATGATTGTAGTTTTCGTTTTGTTTTGTTTTTTGAGACAGTCTCACTCTGTTGTCCAGGCTGGAATACAGGGGCATGATCTTGGCTTACTGAAACCTTAGCCTCCTGGTTTCCAGTGATTCTTGTGCCTCAGCCTCCTGAGTAGTTGGGACTACAGGCCTGTGCCACCTCGCCCAGCTAGTTTTTGTATTTTTAGTAGAGATGGAATTTCCCCATGTTGCCCAGGCTGGTCTCAAACTCTTGGCCTCAAGCGATCCATCCACCTTGGCCTCCCAAAGTGCTGGGATTGCAGGCATGAGCCCCTGTGCCCTGCTTTTTGTAGTAGTTTGAGACTCCTCCCTTTTGTTCTTGGTCTAGCTAAAGGTTTGTCAATTTTCTTGATCTTTTTCTTTTAAAAACCAGCTTTTTGGTTTCATTTATCTATTTTTGTGTTCTTTATTCATTAGTATATAATCTTATTTCCTTCTTTCTGCTTACTTGAGGCTTACTTTTTGCCCTTTTCTGTTGTTTTAAGATGGTTTAAGATGGATGTTTAGGTAATTAATTTACTATTTCTCTTAATATCTTTTTTCCCCAAATCCTTTACGTAGATATCAGTATCTTTTAAAAGATACCTTTCTAATATTTCAATATCTTTTTTTTTTTTTTTTTTTTTTTTTTTTGAGACAGCATCTTGCTCTGTCGCCTAGGCTGGAGTGTAGTGCTCACGGCAGCCTTCCTCCAGGGCTTAAGTGATCCTCTTCCCTAAGCTTCCTGAGTAGCTGGGACCACAGCCGTGCACCACCATGCCCTGCTAATTTTTTGTAGATACGAGATTTTGCTGTGTTACCCAGGCTGGTCTCGAACTCCTGAGCTCAAGCAATCCTCCCTCCTCAGCCTCCCAAAGTGCTGGGATTACAGGTGTGAGCCACCGCCCTTGGCCCTTCTTCATTTTCAGTGTAAGCATTAACAACTCTAAATTTTCCTCCGTGCACTGCTTTAGCTGCATGAGTGTTGGTATGGTGTGTCTTCATTTCAAAAGTATTTTCTGATTTCTTTTTTTGGCTTCTGTTTGACTCACTGGTTATGTAGCAATATGTTGTTAACTTCGTATTTGTAAGTTTCCCAAATTTGTTACTGATTTCTACTTTCATTGTGATTGAAAACACACTTCATTTTATTCCAGTTCTTTTAAATATATTAAGAATTGTTTTATAGCCTAGCATATATGCTCTATCCTAATGAATTTCAAAGTACATTTGAGAACAGTGTGTATTCTGTGGAGGTTGGGGAGAGTGTTCTGTAGATGTCTGTTAGGTCTAATTGTTTTATATTGTTAGTAAAGTGTTTTGTTTCCTTGTTGATCTGCCTAGATCATCTCTCCATTCTTGAAAGTGAGGTACTGAAATCTATAAATATTATTGCTGAATTGTCTACTTTTCCCTTCACTTCTGTCACTTTTCGCTTCAGGTATTTTTTGTGCTCAGTTATTAGGTATGTGTATAACTGTTATAGATTCCTGATGGCTTGATCCTTTTATCATTATGGAATGTCCCTTTTTAATAACTTTTTTTGTCCTGAAGTCTGATTTATAGTGTGAGATATATAGTCACCCAGCTTTCTTATGGTTGCTGTCTGTATACCTCTTTCCATCCTTTCATTTTCGAATGTATTTGTATTTTTTAAATCTAAAATGTCTCCTGTAGATAAAATACATTTGGATTTCTTTTGCCTTTTGACTATGTATATAATTGGATTTACATCTGCCATTTTACTTTTTGTTTTCATGTCTTTCCCTTTGCCTTTGCAGCTTTGCTTTTGCATTAGGTCAATATTTTCTAAAGTAGCATTTTAACGTCAGTACTTTGGTTTCATTTTGTGTGTGTGTGTGTGTGTGTGTGTAGTGGTTGCCCTAGGGCTTACCATATATCTCTTATCAAAAATCAGCTTCAGATTATACTGACTTAATTCCAGTGAGATATAGGAGTGTTAACTGTTTCGTTACACATATTACATCCATAAATGTACAACTCCACCAGTACATTGTTATAATTATTGATACAATTTTATGACTTCTAAAGTAGCAGAAAGGAAAGGAGTGTAAGTATGTATTTAAAACTTTTGCTCTAGTAACCTTATTAATAATTTCTGGTTTCCTTTCTTTCTTTCTTTTTTAAGACTGAGTCTTGCTCTGTCGCCCAGACTAGAGAGCAGCGGTGCAATCTCAACTCACTGTAACCTCTGCCTCCCGGGCTCAAATGATCCTTCTGCCTCAGCCTCCCATGTAGCTGGGCCTACAGGGTGCAGGCATGTGCCACCATGCCCGGCTGATTTTTGTATTTTTTTGTAGAGACGGGGTTTTGCCATGTTGCCCAGGCTGGTGTCGAACTCCTGGCCTCAAGCAGTTCACTTGCCTCAGCCTCACAAAATGTTGGGATTACAGGAGTAGCCACTACACCCAGCCTATTTCTATTTCTCTTATTCATTCCTGTGTATGTGAGTTGCCATCTGGAGTAATTTCCTTTGCTCAATATGGCTTTGCTCCTGCCTACCTCCTTTGTACTGTTGTAGGCAAATATGTTACATTTTTGTATGTTATGGGTACATTATATATATATATTATTTATACAATTGATTTTTTAATCAGTTAAGAAAGGAGAAGAAATGTGCAGTTATACTGTATTTACGATTACATAATTATCTTTACCAGTGCTCTTGGCTTTCTTCATGTGTAGTGTTGTCCAGGGGCATTTGCTTTTGGCTTCTAGAATTTTGTGTAGTATTTCTTGTAAGGGGTTTGCTAGCACCAAATTCTGTTTTTGTTTATCTGAGAGTATATTTATTTTACCTTCATTTCTGAAAGATAACTTGCAAAAATTTTGAATATTGACATTTCAGAGATAAAAATCTTGAGTAACTTTTTAATACTGGATTCTTAGTTTAATATTTTTTCTTTCATCACTTTGAATGTTATCCCACTGCCTCCTGGCCTCTGTAGTTTCTGATTAGAAGTCAAATTTTATTTTATTGGGGTTTCCCTGTAACTGAAAAGTTGTTTTTCTCTTGATGCTTTTAATATTTTCTTTCTTTGGCTTTGAACATTTTTACTGTGATATATCTGGGTACGGATGAGTTTATCCTACCTGGAAGTCACTGAATGTCCTGGATATGTAATTTAATAAATTTGGGAAGTTTTCAGTATTTCTTTGAACATTTTTTTCTGCTTCTTTCTCTCCTCTCCTGATTCTCCCATTACACGTATGTTGATTTCCTTAATGGTGTGCCACATTTCTCTGAGGCTGTTTTTCTTCATTCTTTCTCTGTTCCTCAGATCACACAATCTCTTTCTTCATGTTTGCTAATCCTTTTTTTTTTTTTTTTGCTAGTTCAAATCTGTTTTCCCTAGCTTCTAGTGAATTTTTCATTTCATTTACTGTACTTTTCTACTCCAAGTCTTTTTTTGAGAGAGAGTCTTGCTCTGTCACCCAGGCTGTACAGTGGCTCAATCTCAGCTCACTGCAACCTCCATCTCCCAGGTTCAAGTGATTCTCCTGCCTCAGCCTCCCCAGTAGCTGGGATTACAGGCATGTGCCACCATGCCCGGCTAATTTTTGTATTTTTAGTAGATACTGGGTTTCACCATGATGGCCAGGCTGGTCTTGAACTCGTGACTTCAAGTGATCCACCCTCCTCAGCCTCCCAAAGTGCTGGGATTACAGGTGTGAACCACCGCACCTGGCCTCTAAGTCTTGATTCACATACTATAGACTCCTATTGTTTTTATTGAATTTTAATAGATATTCTTGAATCGATGTATCTTCATTTGCTATATGCCGTTAATACCATTTCCAGAGACTTTAAATAGCTTTTATATAATTTTCACCCCTTTTACTGGGCAGCAGGTTCACAGAGCTCCTCACACTATTATGGTGGTAGTTGCCATGTCTCTCAGAGCACTCTTATTGTTTGCCAGGTCACAAAAGAAGATAAGTCCTTCCAGAACATTATGCGTTGTTATAGGACTCAGCCGCAGGCCCGGAGCCAGGTAACTACATTTTCTCTATGGGCTGAAAAATAAAGCTTAAAGTCTGTGATGAATACAAAAAATTAACCATAGTTGACTCTGTGGCCTTTTTTCCAAGATAAACACCTGGGACTCTACTTAAGGGAAGTTTCTACTTTAATCTTTATTCTTGATGTCACATGTTGATTAAGGTCTCTTTTCCTCAAAAGGCAACAATGTTAAATATTTGATTGCCTTCTTAATTCAGAAAAATCACAAGATAGGAATTAAGAAGTTACTTGGTTTCTATGTCACCTTTCATTCTGGTTTAGTAAACATACTGTAGGTTTAACCAACAGAATGTCACATGGAAATTTAAAACCCACTTTGCCTTTATTACCATTCATCTCTGAGAGGCAAATCGGCCAGATCTGTGTATCTTACTTAGAATGACTTGACATTATGGTTGGGTGCTGTCACTGCAGTGTAGTACTGCAGGTAGTACTTGGCATGTGATGCTAGATGGGCTCTGATTGAATCCTGGATCTGTTATAATTTGAGTTATGTTTCTCAACCTGTTCTGAGGACAACTATTGCTATACAGGTTATTGTGAAAACCAAGTAACATATGTGAAGGTCCTATCACCAAGGGTGTGCTCAACAAATACTAGTTTATGTCCCCTTCTCATTGTTTCTCTAAAGGTGTATAGAAGTGTTTTGATAAAAGGGAAAAGAAAAAGAAGAAATTCTGGCAGCAGTGATAGCAGAAGCCATCAGAATTCTCCAACAGAACTAAACAAAGATAGAAGTAAGTGGGATCTTTGTGAACTACAAGACAAAATTAGGAGCTTTTCTTACTTTTTAGGCCTTGAAGAAGTAACTAAGCATTACTAAATGAAATAACTATAGAAACTATGAAAGTGTTTTATAGATCAGTAAACCATATTCTAGCTGGCAAAACTGTCCATTACATAGCTTTGGGGCACATATTATGTAACATTTTTCTCCAGGAGAATTAGAGCTTTCAGGGAGGAATCTGCTTGCCTGAGTTCCAGAAAGGTCTGATATGTCAATTGGAACCATGCTATGGAAATACCATCCCCTGCCTGTTGCTTTGTACCACTTAGTACAGGGCTTAGGTCCTAGAAAATTTGGTGTAACTTATTAATGGACACTACTCAGAAAGCCCTTGCTATGGTTATGGCATAGGGAGAAAGTTAATATCCTAGCTGAGCTTTGCTTTTTGGTGTGAAGAACAGAGTGCCTATTCACTGTTATTAGCAAGTAGTGCAGGTAGCTGTTCCCTTTCTCCTACTTTTAAAAAATTAAAACAGTCAATATTAGCAGCCTTTGTACTGACAGCCTTTGTTCTCCTGGCTGCAGCCAGTAGAGACTCCAGTCCAGTTATGAGGTCAAGCAGCACCTTGCCAGTTCCACAGCCCAGCAGTGCTCCTCCCACACCTACTCGCCTCACAGGTGCCAACAGTGACATGGAAGAAGAGGAGAGGGGAGACCTCATTCAGTTCTACAACAACATCTACATCAAACAGATTAAGACATTTGCCATGAAGTACTCACAGGCAAATGTAAGTATGACAGGGATTATTTCATACTTTTTTCACTCATGAGTGTTGAGGAATCATTTATGATTTATATATGGACCATTCACCTGGTCCGTATATAAACTAGTTTTGGCCAGGTGTGGTGGCTCACACCTGTAATCCCAGCACTTTGGGAGGCCGAGGAGGGCAGATCACTTGAGGTCAGGAGTTCAAGACCAGCCTGGCCAACGTGGTAAAACCCAGTCTCTACTAAAAATACAAAAATGAGCTGGGCGTGGTGGCACACACTTGTAATCCCAGCTACTCTGGGGGCTGAGGCAGGAGAATTGTTTGAACATGGGAGGCGGTGGTTGCAGTGACCTGAGATTGTGCCACTGCACTCCAGCTTGGGTGACAGAACAAGACTCTGTCTCATAAATAAGCTAGTTTTACAAATAATTCTATTAAGTAAAACTGAGGAGGTCTGTAATTTACCTAACCAATATAAATTCTACTGTTGTTAAGCATTAAACGAGTAAGATTGTATTTGGAGTCCCTACAAAGTATAGTAGTACAAGAGACAGGCTACATGGGTTCAAATTTTCCAGTACTTAACAGTGGTGGTAACCTTGCAAATCATTAAATTTTCTCTGTACCTCATTTCCTCATATATAAAATGGGAATATAACTAGTTCCTAGCATATGGGGTTGTTGTAAGGATGAAATGACATAATGTATAAAAATTGCTTAAAATAATAACTGGCACAAACTAAGCACTTAAGGTTTGCTATTAGAATATTTTTCTTTAGGTTAAGTTATTGCTAATACATCACTCTGTCATTCATAAAACTACTGGTTTAGCACACCTCTTCACTCAATAATCATTTTCAGTAAAAATAATTATAAATTTTTTTCTTAGAATTACTGATTTTTTTTTTTTAAACAGATGGATGCTCCTCCACTCTCTCCCTATCCATTTGTAAGAACAGGCTCCCCTCGCCGAATACAGTTGTCTCAAAATCATCCTGTCTACATTTCCCCACATAAAAATGAAACAATGCTTTCTCCTCGAGAAAAGATTTTCTATTACTTCAGCAACAGTCCTTCAAAGGTGAGCCTAACATCAATCTTGGCCTTTACTAACCTCAAAATGCTTCAGATGCTAGAAACAGGGTTTGTGCTAAGCTTAGGCACTCATTAGAGTGATGAGAGCTGCCAGGGAGCAGTGATCAGTCAGTCCTCATGAAGCAAAACCCAGGGTTTGTTTTGTTTTTTGCCTTTTTTGAGGGGGAGGGGGTGGAATTTTAGGGTGGGAAACAGGGTAAGGGATTTGGATTTCTTTTTATTCCCTCTCCTATTTGTACATTTTGCTGTAAACCTGAAATTTGTGTTTATCCCATTTGTAACAATTTTCCACATTTGTTAGGGAAAGAAATTTTGGATTCCTTACCAAAGGCCTGTTTCTGGGACAGGCAGTGTCCTCAGGACTCTGGCTAATGGGAGAAGTTGACATTTTTGACATTGCAGTGCAATAGTCATATTAGCACAGATGTATGTGGCAACAGCCACCTCATTCTAAGAAGGGGAAGGAAGCTTGAGTCAGGCCTTAATGTTGAAAAGTCAGGGAGCTGTTGAGGTATGGAAGGGCACTCAGCAGGAAGCAGGTTAAGGGGAAGAAAACAGTGTCCTTGAGGCAGACAGTGATCCAAAGCTTAATTACGGGCATCATGCTATGTTAGCGAGTGGAACTGGATTGTGAAGGCCCTTACATAATGAGATTTTTATTGATAAAGGTTGCTTAGAGGCTGGGCGTTGTGGCTCACACCTGTAATCCCAACACTTTGGGAGGCCACAGTGGGCAGATCACCTGAGGTCAGGAGTTCAAGACCAGCCTAGTCAACAGGGTGAAACCTCATCTCTATTAAAAATACAAAAATTAGCTGGGTGTGGTGGCATGCACCTGTAATCCCAGCTACTCGGGAGGCTAAGGCAGGAAAATAGCTTGAACCCAGGAGGTGGAGGTTGCAGTGAGCAGAGATCGCGCCATTGCACTCCAGCCTGGGTGACAAAAGCGAAACTCACTGTCTCAAAAAAAAAAAAAAAAACGGTTGCTTAGAAATACACATATATATATGGCCTGAACTCTTCAAAAAAAGGTCAGTATGGTAAGAGGACGGGGAAGGTATCATTGAGGAGACTAGGGAGACACGACATCCAAATGCAATGCATGATTTTTGATCCTGCATAGGAAAACGTTGCTATAAAGGACATTTTGAGGAAAATTTGAATGTGGCCTTCAGTGTATTTTTTTTTAAAAGTTTCTTTGGTGTTGATGATGCCTAGCAGATTATGTAGGAGACTGTGCTGAAAGTATTCAGAGGTAAAGTGTCCCAGTGTCTGCAGCTTACTTTCAAACGGGTTGGTTGCAATATATTTAGGTAGGGAGAGAGTGAAAGCAACTCTTAGACATTAATGATTGATAAGTGGCTGCTCAGTGTACTATTTTTTTCAACTCTTTGTAGGCTTGCAATCTTTTAAAAAGTTGAGGAAAACAGTCCGGGTGCAGTGCCTCACGCCTGTAATCCCAACATTTTGGCAGGCTGGGGTGGGAAGATTGCTTGAGGCCAGGAGTTGGAGAACGGCTCAGGCAACATAAGACCCCATCCCTACAACAAATAAAAATTAGCTGAGCATGGTGCCATGCACCTGTAGTTGTAGCTACTCAGGAGGCTGAGCCCAAGAGTTCAAGGCTGCGGTGAGCTATGGTCGTGCCACCACACTCCAGCCTGGGCAATAAAGTGAGAAACCCTGTCTGTTTGGAAAAAAAAGTTGAGGAAAACAAGTAAACAAGAACAGCAAAAATCTGTTAGAAAATGTAATAATGGGCCAGGTGTGGTGGCTCATGCCTGTAATCCCAGCACTTTGGGAGGCCGAGATGGGTGGATCACCTGAGGTCAGGAGTTCAAGATCAGCTTGGCCAACATGGTGAAACCCCATCTCTGCTAAAAGTACAAAAAAATTAGCCGGGCATGGTGGTGGACACCTGTAATCCCAGCTACTCAGAATCGCTTGAATCCCGGAGGCAAAGTTTGCAGTGAGCTGAGATCGTGCCATTGCACTCCAGCCTGGGGGACAAGAGCAAGACTCCGTCTCCAAAGAAAAACAGAAAATGTAATAATGGAGACACTTTTCCTATCATAGTAAAAAAAAAAAAAAAAAGGTGTAAAGGTGTCACGTGCTTTGGAATGAATTTATAAAACTTATGAAAACTGGAATAAATGAAGACATACCAGCGATTCTGAATAAGAAGACCAAATATTTAAAAGATATACTTTCTCTGTTATATAGGCTTAGTCTAATTCCAGTGATATTCCTAGTAGGACTGGTTATGAAACCTGGAAACATAAATTGGCAGTAACAGCCCCAAAAAGCAAATGGAGTTGGAGGAAATGATTCTGACGGCTTAAATTAGACTCTCATCCTGTAACCTATAAATTCTAAATGGATTAACAGAGTTAAATGGAAAAAAAGAACAGAATAATAGCAGGTAATAGACAAAGCAGATGAATTGGAATGATAATACTCAAAAGGTGGCTTAAAAAGGAGGAAAAAAGGAACATACAGGAAAATAGCATTTAAATGTAAATGGTCTAAATGTACCAATTAATAGTTAGAATTTATCTGACTGGACAAAAAAGCAGGACCAAACTATATGTTGTTTGTAAGTTATATACTTTAAATATAAAAATGTATATCCATAAAAGGAATATTTACTTGGCAATAAAAAGGATGAAGTACTGATACATGCTACAATATGAATGGACCTTGAAAACATCGTTAAGTGAAAGAAGCCAGTCACAAAAGAGAACATATTTTATGATTCCATTTATATGAGTTGTCCAGAATGGGCAAATATCTAGAAGCAGAAAGGAGATTCATGGTTGCCAAGGGTTGTGGGGAATAGAGTTTCTGCTTATGAACAAGAAGTTTCTGGGGTGATGAAAGAATTCAAAAATAGAATGTAGTGATGGCTGCTCTGGGAACTCTGGGAACATACTAAAAGCCATGGAGCTGTACACTTCAAATGGTTGAATAATACGGTATAAGAATTATATCTCAATAAAGCTGGAAGGGTGGAAAAGGTTATACCATGCTACCACTCATGAAAAGAAAGTTGGAGTGGCTGTATTAATATCAGAGAAAGTAGATTTCAGAGCAAAAAATATTATCAGGACAAAGAGGGTCGTTTCCTATTATAAAGAGGACATATAACCCTAAATAAAAAAAAAAAACTGGTAGTCAAGAGATTTCAACATAATTGGTACAACAAATAGAGAAAATCACTAAGGATACAGAAGATGTAGACATTATCAACTGATTGACATTTATAGAACACTCTCTAACAAATCAAGTGCAGAGAGAACATTTACCAACATAGACTACATTCTGGACCATAAAACAAGTCTCGATAAATGTTAAAAGGGTTGAAATACTGTGTTTTCACTATCACAATGGCATTAAATCAGAAATCAATAAAAGATACCTGGAAAATCCCCCAATTCTTGGAACCTAAATTATATATTTCTATTGGTTAAAGAAAGCACAAGAGAAATTAGAAAATATTTTGAACTAAATGAAAATGAAAATCCAAAATATTAAAATTTGTGGGATGTAGCTAAAACAGTGCTAAGAGAGAAATACATACACCTATGTTCCAAAAGAAAAAAGGTCTCAAATTAGTGACCTAAGATTTCAGCTTAAGAAAGTAGAAAAAGTGTAGGACTCACTGAAATGGAAAACTGTAAAGCAGAGAAAAACCAAGGCAAACAAAAGCTCGGTTTTTTTGGAGGCTGGGTGCTGTGTCTCATGCCTGTAATCTCAGCACTTTGGGAGGCTGAGGTGGGTGGACTGCCTGAGCTCAGGAGTTCGAGACCAGCCTGGTAACGTGGCAAGACCTTGTCTCTACTTTAAAAAAAAAAAATTTAACTGGGTGTGGTGCTGTACACCTGTGGTTCCAGCTACTCCGGAGGATAAGGTGGAAGGATGGCTTGAGCCCAGGTGGTTGAGGCTACAGTGAGCCATGCTCACATTACTACACTCCAGCCTGAGTGACAGAATGAGACCATCTAAAAAAAAACAAAAACAAAAACAAAAAACCACCTAGGTATTTTGGGAGATGATTTTAAAAATTGATTCCTCTATGTACAGAATAATCAGGAAAAGAAATGACACATTACTAGTATACATTAAAAGTATAATGAAAGATAAAGAACAACGTAATGCCAGCCAGATGTCGTGGCTCATGCCTGTAATCCCAGCACTTTGGGAGACCAAGGCAGAAGGATCCTTGAGCCCAGTAGTTCAAGACCAGCCTGGGCAACATAGCAAGACCTTGTCTCTGAAAAAAAAAAAAAAAAAAAAGCCAGGTGTGGTGGGGTTGGTGAGGTGTGCCTATAGTCCCAGTTACTTGGGAGGCTGAGGTGGGAGGGTTGCTAGAGCCTGCGTGGTCAAGGCTGCAGTGAGCTGTGATGGCACCCCTGCACTCCATCCTGGGCAACAGAGTGAGACCCTGTTTCAAAACTTTAATGCCAATAAATGTGACAATGCACATGAAATAGACAAATTCTTGAAAGATACAAACTAATAAAACTCAAGTAGTAGTCTCAGTAGCCCCTGTATCTACTAAAGAAATTAATTTGTGGTTTAAAAACCTCCTGTCAGAGAAAACTGTAGGCCCAGATGGCTTCATTGGTAAATGCTACCAAACATTTAAGGAAGAAATAATGCCAATTCTATAGAAACTCTCCCAAAAAGTGAAGGTGATAAATGATCTTAGTGTTTGAAGGAAAGCATCTGACAAAATCCAACATTCATTAATGTAAAAACTCTCAAGGAACTTCCTCAGCTTGGTAAACATTTACCAAAAGCATCTACAGATATCATACTTAATGGTGATAGACTGAATGCCTTGCCCCTGTGATCAAGAACAAGGCAACAATGTCCACTCTCACTACCCCTGTTCAACATTGTAACTGGGAGTCCTAGCATGTGCAATAAGACAAGAAAAGCCATACAGCCTGGATTGTCTACATAGGAAAATCACAAAGAATCCACAAAAAGCTACTGGAACTAATAAGGGAGGTTATGTGATCAACATACAAAAATCAAATGTATTTCTATATGCTAGCAGTGAACAATCAGAAGTAAAATAAAAAATTGAATACCATAACATTTTAAAATTACTTAGGGGTAGGTATGATAAAAACTATGCAACACATATATCCTGAAAACTATAGAAGCTTGGTGAGAGAAATTAAAGCCTGAGAAGATACAGAAATGTGTTCATGACATTGAATGAAAATAATACCTTAGTTTCCAATTCATGGAAAATAAAACAGCAGTTTTCTCCCAATTGATCTATAATTTCAAACCAATTTCAGTCAAAATCCAAACAGATTTATGTAAAAAACTGATTCTAAAATTTGTCATTTACAAGGCAAAGAACTCGAATAGCTAAAATAATTCAAAGGTGGAGGATTCACACTAATTATGAAGGTACACAAAATATCTGTATTATAACACCACAGTAATCAAGACAGTAGTGTTGGTGGAAGTATAGACACAGAGATCAATAGAACAGAACAGAGTCCTGAAATAGACAACACATGTATGGTAAACTGATTTTCAACAAAGGTGCAAAGGCAATTTGGTAGAGAAAGGATAGCCTTTTCAACAGATGGTGCTGGAACAATTGGATGTGCATATAACAAAATAATAGTAAACTTGTTCCCATACCCTGCACTATATACAAAAACTAAAAATGAACCACAGACATAAATGTAAAATCTCAAACTACAAAACCTCTAGAAGACAACAGAAAATCTTAGTGAACATGTTTTATGGGAAAATTTTATATACAACATCAAAAGCACAATCCGTAAAATACTGTTAAAATGGATTTTATCAAAATGAATAATTTCTGCTATTTGAGACACTGTTAAGAGAATTAAAAAACCAGCCATAGACTATTAGAAAATCTGTACACGTTCCATATCTGATGAAGCATTTGTATATCTACAGTATCTAAAGAATTCTCAAAATTCAGTAGGAAAACCACCAAATGTAAAAGTGGGCAAAAGATTTGAACACACTTCACCCATTACATGCCTGTTAGAATGGCTAAAATCCAAAAAGTGACAAATCGTAAGTTCTGACAACAATGTGGAACAATTTTACATATTGCTGGTGTGAACGCAAAATGGCATCGCCACTGTGGAAAGTTGTTTCTTAAACATACCATTATACAACCAGCAATCTCATTCCTAGGTATTTACACAAATGAAATGGAAACTTATGTTTAGACAAAATCACGTACATGACTGTTTATAGTGACTTTCTTCCTAATTGCCAAAAAGTGGGAAACAACCCAAACGTCCTTCAGCTGGTGAATGCATATAAATAAGCTGTGGTGCATCCAGACAATCGACTGCTACTTTGCAATAAAAAGGAACTGATATATTCAATGTAGATAAATCTCAAATGCATCAATGCTTAAGTGAAAGACACTGGATTCAGTAGGCTACTTATGATTCCATTTCTGTGACATTGTGGAAAAGGCAAAACTATTGGACAAGAACATCAGTGGTGGTTTGGGATAGGCTGACAAGGGAGTATGAGGGATTTTTTCAGAGGAACAGTTTTATCCGACTGTAGGTATTTCTAGCACAGAATTGGGAGTCTGTCCAGTAAAATGATAGCGATTATTAGACTCTTGGTTGGAGAAAGATTTGTCATCTTGACGTAATAGGTGATAGCTGAAACTTACGGGGAGAATATTACAAAGCAAGAAGGGGGAGAATATTACAAAGCAAGAAGTAGCTTATGTCTAGAACCAATCTATAACGTACTAACATTTAGACTACTATGAGAAAATAATTATCAAATACTATACAAGATCAGTTAAGATGAAGACTGATCATTAGTGATACTTGACAGAGCAGTGTCAGTGCACTGGTATGACTTGTTGAAAAATAAATTATGGTAGCATTGCTTATACACAATTAACAATGTATACAGTAAACAGTGTAAGAAATATTCAAGCAAATGGGAGACTGCAGAGATAGCAAATGCAGACCAGACTCTTAGGAAGGCAGAAAGGGGGCTAGAAAAAGAATTGAAGGAAAGCTTTCTTCAGATGCTTAAGATTTTGTGGCCAGGTGCAGTGGCTCATGCCTGTTCCCAGCACATTAGGAGGCCAAAGCAGGAGGATTGCTTGAGCCCAGGAATTCAAGACCAGCTTGGACAACATAGTGCAACCCCATTTCTATTGTTAATTAAAAAAAAAAAAAAAATGAAAAACACTTGTGAAGGTACATCTGTTGATAATAAAGAACACTGATTTTCATTAAAACCCCCAAAACATTTATTACTTTAAAGAATAAAAATAACAAGTGTCATGATAAAATATGTCTGGGATTTGTTTTAAAATAATCTGGGGAATGGAAGTGAATCAGAGTATAAATCAAACAAGGCTGGCCAAACATGCTGAAGTAGAGGAATAGGTATGTGAGGATGCATTATGCTTCTCTACTTTTGTATGTTTACAATTTCCTATAATAGATATCTGTGAATTTGCTTAGTATGCTTTCTGTAAGCAAACATGGATGAAGCAGCACATGAAAAAGAATTTTAACCAACAAACTAGCAGAAAATAATGTGACAGACGACTTTTAGAGGCTTTGGAGAAACTGAATGCTAAAGGTGCTGTACAGCCAGCCCCAGTCTTTCTGACATTCTGGCAGTGTCTTTCTCAATTGCAGCTCCTCATCTGAGCCACTGTCCAGAAAATAATTTGAGTAACTTTAATCCTCAATTCTCCCAAGGATAGTACCATTCTAGATCTTACTAATTTATTAGCTACAATGGATACCTTAGGGGGGGATTAAGGCCTACTTTTCTAGTGAAATCCCAGTTGAGAATGGCTGCTAAAAACTGAGTAACATTAGACTGAAAAAAAGGGAATATTGTATAAAGTTGTACTTTAAAAAAGAGAAAAAGATGTGTCTAAGTGACTATCAGATAGCAATGTAATGCTCCCTAATTGTAAAAAAAATCACAAATTTGTGAACTCACAAATTATAGACATGTATAATTGACCTACAGGTCAAAAGTGCCTGTGGAAGAGCTTGTTAAAAATAGAACTACTCAGCCCCTTCTCAAATAGCCATCGGCCTCAGCCAGCTGAAAAGTAAAGTTGGCAGGTTATGTAACTTAGTGTTTCTTTTCTCTGTAGATGTGTTCAAACTCTTCCAGGGTAAACTGCTTAACTCATTTGAGATTCTTTGACTTAATACTGAGCTATGTGCATTTGCATTTTAAAATTTTTGTATCTTTTTCCCACCATAGAGACTGAGAGAAATTAATAGTATGATACGCACAGGAGAAACTCCTACTAAAAAGAGAGGAATTCTTTTGGAAGATGGAAGTGAATCACCTGCAAAAAGAATTTGCCCAGAAAATCATTCTGCCTTATTACGCCGTCTCCAAGATGTAGCTAATGACCGTGGTTCCCACTGAGGTTAGTCTCTTGTATTAAACTCTTCACAAAATCTGTTTAGCAGCAGCCTTTAATGCATCTAGATTATGGAGCTTTTTTCCTTAATCCAGCTGATGAGTTACAGCCTGTTAGTAACATGAGGGGACATTTTGGTGAGAAATGGGACTTAACTCCTTCCAGTGTCCTTAGAACATTTTAATTCATCCCAACTGTCTTTTTTTCCCTACCATTCAGTGATTACTGTCAAGGCTGCTTAGAATCCAAACTTGGATTTTTGACTCTGGCAAAGCTTTTAGAAATACTGCAAGAAAATGATGTGTACCCAAACGTGAGCATAGGAGGCTTCTGTTGACGTACTCCAACAGAAGAACTGTGTTTCAAGTTCAATCCTACCTGTTTTGTGGTCAGCTGTAGTCCTCATAAAAAGCAAAACAAAAATTAGGTATTTTGTCCTAAAACACCTGGTAGGAGTGTGTGATTTTTTGCATTCCTGACAAAGGAGAGCACACCCAGGTTTGGAGGTCCTAGGTCATTAGCCCTCGTCTCCCGTTCCCTTTGTGCACATCTTCCCTCTCCCCATTCGGTGTGGTGCAGTGTGAAAAGTCCTTGATTGTTCGGGTGTGCAATGTCTGAGTGAACCTGTATAAGTGGAGGCACTTTAGGGCTGTAAAATGCATGATTTTGTAACCCAGATTTTGCTGTATATTTGTGATAGCACTTTCTACAATGTGAACTTTATTAAATACAAAACTTCCAGGCTAAACATCCAATATTTTCTTTAATGCTTTTATATTTTTTTAAAATGTTAAAACCCCTATAGCCACCTTTTGGGAATGTTTTAAATTCTCCAGTTTTTTGTTATATAGGGATCAACCAGCTAAGAAAAGATTTTAATCAAGTTGAATTGAGGGGATTAATATGAAAACTTATGACCTCTTCCTTTAGGAGGGAGTTATCTAAAAGAAATGTCTATTAAGGTGATATATTTAAAAATATTTTTGGGTGTTCCTGGCAGTTTAAAAAAATTGGTTGGAGAATTTAGGTTTTTATTAGTACCATAGTACCATTTATACAAATTAGAAAATGTTATTTAACAGCTGAATTATCTATACATATCTTTATTAATCACTATTGTTCCAGCAGTTTTCAAGTCAAATTAATAATCTTATTAGGGAGAAAATTCAATTGTAAATTGAATCAGTATAAACAAAGTTACTAGGTAACTTCATATTGCTGAGAGAAATATGGAACTTACATTGTTCAATTAGAATAGTGTTCTGCAAAAATATTTATAAAACTTCTCAAGATACTGCTACTGTAATTTTATATGAAGATAAGTGTATTTTTCAATAAAGCATTTATAAATTAGCCTTTGTTTGGTTATATTGAGAAAAGGGTAGTTTCCTGCATAAATGGCAAAGAACAATCATTTATTGGTTTATTTTGTCTCTACTAAACACATTAGTCATTTATCATTTAAATACCGGACTTCATTAGAAACCGTTGTAACACTTTTTCTCCCTCCTGCCATAAAAATACAGTAAGTAATTTGCTTAAAAAAAACAACACAACACTAGGAACAAGTGTTCTGGTTTCTTCTCACTGAACTAAAGACATTTCTCAGTGATTTCAGTTTGTAAATCAGTAAGACAGTGCAGGCTACAAATCAGTGCAGGCTGAAGACTGAGATTCAAATGATCTTCCACTTAAAAGTGCTGAGCTATGGAACCTGCTCTCTCTATACCTCTCCATTTCCTAACATATATACAACTGAAACCACTGATTTATAAACTATTAAGTAGTGCTGAATTCTGTCTGCTCTATTAGTTTAAATGAATGCAACTTACCTTTAGCATTATATTCAGAAAAATACTTACTTAAGCCTCAAGGTCCCCAATAATTTGGAGTACTGAACTAGATAACCACCCTAAGACACTTCTGACAGAAGTAATGCATTACTTAGAGACAGGTTTCCAAACCCTGCTGTTAGAACCTATGCATACATGGAAAACACTGGCAGTCAGTCATTGTTCACACAGTTTTACTCTTCAGGCAGTCCTCTGCCATTGGTCAGCTTGAACTAGGCCAGAGTCTAGCAGGAAAGTGCATGGTGCACCAGATTCACCATCTCTTAAGTCGCCACTGTTTTCTCTTCTTTACTGAAAGGCTGTACTGAGCCAGGCTTTACCCATGACAGGCCAGCAACATGAACACTTTTATTGTGCTGTTCTTCAGGCTTCTTCTAGGCACAATCAAAACAGATATTTAAAAAATTACTGGTGAGGAGATTTCAGCACTGTACAAACTTGTTTCCCAAAAAAAGTTACTTGTATGTAATGAGCAGTCTCCAAATGAAGACATTTTAGAAAAGAAACAATGAGTTAGCCATTTCATAAGTTGTTATCCACTTACTTTCTGAGTCAGCATCTTTTCTCTGGCTTCATCATGTACAGAAGGATTCCATGGAGAAAAGCTTAAGGAAGAGAAAAGTATTTAAAAACTATTTGTTGGCTCACTAAATTTCTATAACATTCATTTTGCAGTTTTAAGCCAATTCCCCTAACTTAATAAAGCACAGTATTTTTTATTGTTGTCGACATGTATGTTTTAGACATTATCTAATTAATTTTCTCACATAACTATCCCTCATACATGAATGATCTCATTTAAGCCTCACACCACCCCTTGAAGTACTGTTATTTAAAGATTAAGACAGCAAAGCAGAGTAAATTAATTGCTCTGGGTTACCAGAGCTAAAAAGTACAAAAGCCACGTAGTCCATCTGCTGACTCCAAGCTCTTTTTTTTGAGACTGAGTCTAGTTCTGTCACCCAGGCTGGAGTGCAGTGGTGTGATCTCGGCTCACTGCAACCTCCGCCTCCTAGATTCAGGCCATTCTCCTGCTTCAGCCTCGCTGGGACTACAGGTACCTGGAGTGCAATGCCAAGATCTTGGCTCACTGCAACTTCTGCCTCCCTGGTTCAAGTGATTCTCCTGCCTCAGCCTTCCTGAGTAGCTGGGATTACAGGCATGCACCACCCACACCCAGCTAATTTTGTATTTTGTATTTTTAATAGAGACGGGGTTTCTCCATGTTGGTCAGGCTGGTCTCGAACTCCCAACTTCGGGTGATCTCCCCGCCTCGGCCTCCCAAAGTGCTGGGATTACAAGTGTGAGCCACTGCACCTGACCAATTTTTGTATTTTTAGTAGAGATGGGGTTTGGCCATATTGGTCAGGCTGGTCTTGAACTCCTGACCTCGTGATCCACCCACCTCGGCTTCCCAAAGTGCTAGGATTACTGGCATAAGCCACCATGCCTGGCCATGAGTCCAAGCTCTTAATAGCTATACTCCACTGCCTTCCTAAGCACTACCAATGTTGCCAAAGAGCAAAATCACCAATTCGTCCATTCCCAATACTCCTCCAGACACTGTTCCTTAAATCAAATGTCATAGTGCTTCAGGAACCCACCATTCTCACACTATTCAGTTTCCCTCCTTTTACCACATCTGAATGTCAATGAGGGTTTGGCAGTTTAAGAGGGGCTCCAGCTAAAACTGCCAGCTGAAAAGAAGAGTCCTGACATGGGAATGAATAAATATATCACAAGGATCCCTGGGAAACCAAAGTCACCAGAGAATGTGCTGTCGGCACAGCCTGTCAGATGTGAAGCTTTTTGTTTAAGAGAAGAGCCTCAAGAGGCATCAGAAATCGAGTTGGCACCAAGTTATAAAGGTTGTAGGCTAACAGCTTATGCATGTGCCTTTTTATATCCCTATTCTGAGACCACCTGGAGAAAGGAAGCAGTGTATTGGAAAGGACAGTGGACAGTTCACTTGGGGGATGCACCACTTACCTAATTGCATAGGGGTCTTCTATTTTAGGTTGGTCAAACAAACGAGCAGTGCACACCTTAACACTGTCAACAACTTTACTTTTAAAAAGCTGAATATCTTTTTCATACCTGTGTTAAAAGTTTAAGTCAAAAAGTTACTAACTTAATCTACTTAGCTGCATCTTCAAATTTATTTTAAATAACAAAGCAAAAGTTACATACAGTACTGCAGCCTCTGGGTTCAGGGGGCTTGCTGTATCAATCTTGTAGAAAACTCTCCTTGCATACATTAATACCTGCCAAATATGATTATGGTTCCGCCTAAAGGGAAACATGGCGTGATTACCGAGGCGTCCTCTTGCTGTATTATGTCACTAAAAGAAACACTTTATTTACTTACCTCCATTTTGCAAATGCTCTCTTCACATCCAGCTCACCTGAGGTGGGATCAACTAGCGGGTGAAAGACAGGAATATCGAACACCAAGCGCTGTATTTAAATAAAGAGAGACATGTCCTTTAATGGAAGCAGTGGCGCTTATGAGACCCATAGGAATCGTGATAAAAAGAGCTTCAGGACAAGGCAGTCACGTTATTTAAAGCTAAAGAGCTGCCTCAAGAGGGCTACTTAACTACTTTTACCATTTTCCTGAAAAACTAAATTTTGCAATGAAGCGGGGAAAACTCCCTCTCCTCCACTAGAGCCTGAGGGCCACCATTCACCTGGTGAGTGCTGCAGGATGGCAGGCAGCCAGCCTCCCTTGCAGACCCTGAGCAGAGAAACAAAGCTCTGATGGCATGCCGG
Source organism: Homo sapiens (assembly GCF_000001405.40). Lineage (NCBI taxonomy): Eukaryota > Metazoa > Chordata > Mammalia > Primates > Hominidae > Homo > Homo sapiens. The sequence continues at coordinate 53,494,921 of NC_000016.10, forward strand.
AAGCTGCTGCAAAGCACAGAAGTCCCCCTGGACAACTACTGGGTAGATAAATCATAAAGGTACCAGGTCAGGAAAAGAACCAGGAAAGCTGTAAGCCCTTTCAGCCCTTCTCGCTGATCCACAAATAAAGCCAGACTGTGTCTCCAACTTACTGGACAGTCACCATCTGGATAGTTATCAGGGATGTAAACTGTAAACTTAAATACGCCATCTTGGTAAAGTCCATGCCGTATGAATATTACTCCAAACCACACTGTAGGAAAAAATAAAAGAGTTAAGGCCTAAATTTGTGTGGGAGGAACTAAATGTGCCCATAAATTAAGAGTGAATCCTCATCTTACTTAATGCAGAGCGATAAGATGGCTGCACATAGACGCCTGGTAGCTTCTGCTTCACAACCAAGGTACTACAACAAAAGCAGAATAATTAACTTGTGTGGATACAAATGACACATGCAGATCAAACCACCCCACATTCACTTTGAGACAATGAACGGCCCCTCAATGGGCAGCTGATGCCCAAACCCTGCAAGCCAAGTTCTCACAATCTCTCACCTGACACAACTCAGGAAAGAGCCCCAGCCCTGATCGCTGCCCACTACTGGCCTCATAGCAGCAGCTCACAGAGAAACCAGCAGGCCAGCAGGGGCCCCACAGTAAGAACTAAAGCCAAACAGGAATAAATGAAGAATAAAGTTTCCTCCCAGAAATTCGCTCTTCCAAAACATCATCTTGGAAACCAGCCTATAGGTAATTCCGAATAATGCAACCTGAGGTAAGTTCTGTACAGCTGAGGTCAATGAGAGTATTTGTAAAATTATGCTTTTGTGCCTGGATGATCATTCAAAAACTTTTAAAATACAATGTTAGATAAATTAAGATTTCTTGGAATTGGGTCACAAAGTTGTCATTTTACATTTTAATCACAAGATCCCACAGCAGAAGGCAATGTTCAGACTCGCAGTACTGCCTGGGGAGGGCAGGCATCCTTGTGCGGCTCTCACACGCCCTGCTCTCAAATGGACACCCTGATGCAGAGACCTGAACTCTGTGGGCCTTGCCAGGGAATGGAAAACTGGGTGCTGAAAACAAGAAACGATAAGTGTATTGACACAAAGGCTACACTGGTTCTTCTGGGACCCAGTTACCCACCCACAGCCATTCTGATCACATTAACCTACCAATCCTGGATTCTATCAAGAACTAGTTTATCAGGCCTTAAGTTTATCATTTTTATTACCTACTTTCCATTCACTTACTTTTCATCATTTTTGAGTTATTATCCGGTCCATTTTTAAGTTGCTAAAATTCAGCATGTCAGTAGCAACATGGCTGGCAGCTGTATCTCTACTACAGTGAAGTTTGCCAGAAAAGGCAGTTCTAATACAGATTTAATCACCCCAATAGACGCCTGTCCAACTCACTGCCCAGCCTCAAACACAAGGCCTCCATTATAGAGCCAAAGGGGCCATTACTACCAAATCATACCCAGCCTTTGTATACAGTTAAAAAGTTACACTGGGGCCTCAGACCCACTGACCATTACAACATTAATACATCCAGGGAGGGGTCAAGGATGCTTTTTTTTTTTTTTTTTTTGGTTTAAAAAAAAAAAGATGAGGTCTCATAGGCTGTCTGCGATGTCTCATGCCTGTAATCTCAGCCCTTTGGGAGGCGCCAAGGCAGGCAGATCACTTGAGGTCAGGAGTTTGAGACCAGCCTAGCCAACATGGTGAAATCCAGTCTCTTACTAAAACTACAAAAATTAGCCGGGTGTGGTGGCGCACACCTGTAGTCCCAGCTACTCCAGAGGCTGAAGCAGGAGAATCCAGAGGCAGAGGCTCTGAGGAGGCAGAGGCTGCAGTAAGCTGAGATTGTGCCACTGCACCCCAGCCTGGGTGACACAGTGAGACTCCATCTCAAAAAAAAGAAAAAAAGATGAGGTCTCACTATATGGCCTACACTTGTCTCACATTGCAGAGCTCAAATGATCCTCCCACTTCAGCCTCCTGAGTAGCCGGGACTATAGGTCTGCAGCTGGGAAATTTTTAATTTTTTTTTTAGAGACGGGGTCACTCTATTGCCCAGGCTGGTCTTGAACTCCTGGGTTCCAGTGATCCTCCTGCGTCAGTCTCCCAAGTAGCTGGGATTACAGGCATAAGCCACTGTGCCTGGCTCAAGGATGCTTTTAAAATAACTGTATACAAAGGAATTTTTAAATGATGGAAATTAAGAATTCTCCAAACTTTCTGTCCTTTTAACAAATTCTCTAATGAAATGCCATCTGCGTCTGTGCAGTGCTGGAGCCCCCGTGTGTGCCAGGCACCACAGGGTCGCTGCCAGCACTCCGCACCCTGCTTGGCTTCTTGCACTCCACAACCAGGTGCAACTGCAGCCCAGCTGCAGACCTCGGTGACCAGTCAGCGTCTTCCTTACATGGAGCCCACATCTTTGTCTCTTCCCTAGAATTGCTAAGTCCTGCCTTTGGGGGTCATACAGAATAAGATCCTTCCTTGTGACAGACCTTCAAATATATTAAGACAACTTTAATACGTGCTTAAGCTGTCTCTTCTCCAAGAAAACTTCTCCAGTTCCTTCAACTGTGGATCCCTAAGGACTGGCCTTCCTGGTCCCTCCCTGCTAGGCCTTCTCCTCCATCTGTCAGGAGGCTGCCTACAAGGCGACAACCAAATGGAGCACCACCCTCCAGATGGGTCTGACCCAAGAAGGCAGAGACAGCCACTCTCCCACTGTCCTACTCTCTAGAAAAACCTCCAGGAGGCGAATTCCTCACTTCACATAAACGAAGACTAAATTTATTAAGTTCCTAATCTACTGTAGGTTCTTTGAGACGGGGTTTCGCTTTATCGCCCAGGCTGGAGTGCAATGGCACAATCTCGGCTCACTGCAACCTCCACCTCCCGACTTCAAGCAATTCTCTGCCTCAGCCTCCCGAGTAGCTGGGATTACAGGCGCCTGCCATCAAACCTGGCTAATTTTTGTATTTTTAGTAGAGACGGGGTTTCACCATCTTGGCCAGGCTGGTCTTGAACTCCTGAACCTCGTGATCCACCTGCCTGGGCCTCCCAAAGTGCTAGGATTATAGGCGTGAGCCGCCATGCCCGGCCAATCTACTGTAGGTTCTTAATAAGCCTTAGTTTCTTCCTTTTGTTACTCTCCAAAACAGACATGGAAATTAAAGTACCCTCTGCCTTTAAATCTTATTCACCCGAGCTCTAAAGAATCTTTAAGAGAGGCTATTTTTATCTCTCTACCTAGGTCTTGGTTAAGAAACATTTTATCACCAGCAATAGCCTATAGTTTTATATTTATTAAGTCTGATACTGGAAAGGGACAGGTTTGAGCTTTGAGATTAAATGTCTGCCCTTTACTGCATCCATCAGAATAAATTTCATTCTTCACTTTAAAGGATCATTCCTAATTTAACCAAATAGTTTGTTAAGGACTTACAATTCTGCAAGAAGAGAGTATTCCAGGTAGAAGGGTCCATAGGACGCATGCGTGCCATTTGTTGACTGTGCTGCTGGGGCAGGAGATGTAGGCTTAGTTATGGGCAAAGCATTTTTGGGAATAGAAGGCAGCTGTTTCTTTGGTGCAGTTCGTGGAGGACTGGTTTTCACGTCCCCTGTTAATGTCTTCTCTTCACCTTCAGATCGCTATACAAGATGAAGTTGTAAGAATATCTGTTAGGATGATTCTTAAATCACAAGAGTACATTATTAGCTCCATGGCCTAAATGCTGGAATTACTCCTTTACAAGCACATTCTAACACCATGACCAAGATGACTAGAAAGTCCTTTGGGCAGGCAGGTCATATAAAGAGAAGACAAACCTGAAGCAAGACCAAAGCATTAGAGAAACTCTTTCATATAGGGAAACTCATCCTATAAGGATGATACAATCAGTGTGTACAGGATTAACTGAAACACAGAAAGAAATGTTTTTTCCTAGTGGCCCCAAAAAGAGGGCAAGGGGTTACTAAGCAATTAGACAACTGTACAAGGCTAGAAAAGTCCCCCAGCACTTACATGCTACAGAAGGTTAGGTGCTAAGAAGCTCAAAATAATGTGGATGACTGAAATCAGTCACTGCCTGTTAGCACTTAGGTTAGAAACAAAGAATGAAGCTATTCTCTCACTTGCCTGGGTCTGATTTTGATTTGTCCCTACTGGGTATGTTTCAACATTTCAAATATCACCAGCATAAACTGTCATCCTTCGTCAAAGACAAAGGTCGACATGAGTCAGAGACTAAACTACCATCTCATAGGTACTTCCTTGGCGCAAGTACAACCAAACGCTGTTTAATTAGCTATATAAAAACATGTATATCATATGCATTGCTCCAGTGATGGGGGCATCTAAAGGCCCTGAATTCAGCACAATGCAATATGCCAATGTAGCAAAACTAAACTTGTACCCCATTACTATGTACAAGTAAGGAAGAGATGTCATGTATATAGAAAAAAAGTAATAGTGGTGTTTGTTCTCCTAGAGGTGAGATTATAGTTTTTTTTTTTTTTTTTTCTTTTTGAGATGGAGTCTTGCTCTGTTGCCCAGGCTGGAGTGCAGTGGCGCGATCTCAGCTCACTGCAAGCAAGCTTTGCCTCCTGGGTTGACGCCATTCTCCTGCCTCAGCTTCCTGAGAAGCTGGGACAACAGGCGCCCGCCACCATGCCCAGCTAATTTTTTTGTATATTTAGTAGAGACGGGGTTTCACCATGTTAGTCAGGATGGTCTCGATCTCCTGACCTCGTGATCTGCCCGCCTCGGCCTCTCAAAGTGCTGGGGATTACAAGCATGAGCCACCGTGCCCAGCTGGTTTTTATTTTCTTATTGTTTGCCTATTTTAACCTTTCCTAAAATGAAAATATATTTTTAAAAAATCATTTTATTTAGAAAAATTAAATTAGTGCCCCTCAAGTCTGATTTAATGATATTAGACTAGCCTTTCCCACAGCTGTTCTAACCGTAGAACCTTGAAGTTTAGTAGAAAACTACAATGTTACAAATTTCATCATGTGTAAATATAACCTAAATCATCTTAGAATTGTGATGACCAGAACGATTTCTATTTGAGATGCAATCCTAGTCTCAGAAACAGACTTCAACCAACAAAATAATTATTTCTCAAGAGTAAACCCTTAACTAGAAAAACCAGGTAATTTTGTCAAGATTACAGGTGACCGTGACAGATTATTTTAGCCTTCATTCTGACCCTATTTTCAGACACAGAAGCAAATGGGTTTTCTTACTGAATTTATCAACTATACCTACTTTGCGTACAGAGCTTGTAGACATGCTCCAGAAAGGGTTCATAACGTGTATTCCAAACAAAGAAAGTCAGTGGTGTATCATCCAAATCTTCTGTCTTCGGCATTCACTTTACCTTAAAACAAGACGGGAAGACATAGAAACATGCCAACACCAACCATTAAGACTTTTTTTTTTTTTTAAGATGGAGTCTCACTCTGTTGCCCAGGCTGGAGTGCAGTGGTGTGATCTCGGCTCACTGCAACCTCCACCTCCTGGGTTCAAGCGATTCTCCTGCCTCAGCCTCCTGAGTAGCTGGGATTACAGGTGCCTGCCACCATGCCCAGCTAAGTTTTGTATCTTTAGTAGAGACAGGGTTTCACCATGTTGGCCAGGCTGGTCTCGAACTCCTGACCTCAAGTGATCCACCTGCCTCAGCCTCCCAAAGTGCTGGGATTACGGGCATGAGCCACCACGCCCGGCCAACAGTTAAGACTTCTGAAATGATGAATAACTAATTATGACACCCTGGATATACAATATAATGTTATATAACAAGGGGTTATAAAAACCTAGGAAAAGGTCTTCAGGCATCTTCAGAAATAGTTTCCTTCTATACCCACCTCCTTTTCTGGTTCTAATTTCTTTCACACTTAGATGTCTATAAGAATCTGTGCACCAGGTCCCTTGGCCAGGATTCAGATTACTCAGTGACACAGATGAGCTTTGGTGCCAGAAATTCAGAAGATACGGACAACAGTTGTTACTAGCACATCTCGGCATTTAACTAACAGGAAAGCCAGACTCAGAATGCACTGTACCCACATACACATAAGTTGTATCACTGTTCCCAGGGTTATGGGAACAAACAATAGATACAAGGAGGCTGATTTAAGCGCTGCCTCAACTCACCTGAGTACAAAATGATTCCTCCAGCAAAGTATTAGCCAAAGAAATAAGAGAAAACAGGAAGGCACAGCACAAGTATGTCACTAAGACGACAAAAGTAGTTACCTGAGTCCTGTCAGTACCATCCCCCAATAAACTGCCTTCTACAACTTCGAAACATATAGAAACTGCAGGATCATGTACTTAAGGAACTGCCAAGCAATCCAGACAAATGCAACACAGGCACGCAAGAGAGACATTTCACAAGTACAGATCTTCCAGCCGAAGCTTCAAGTCGTGGATAAGAAAGCATGTCTCAAAGGTCATAAAGTCAGTGGGTCATTTACTAAAAATACAAAGAAGCAAAGGAAAAGCAGCCAAGCCCAGCTGTAAGAACAGCAACTTCCCTGCCCTGGTATTTCCCCCCAGGCTCTGTTACCTTTAAAGCAGAGCTCCTTCTCTGAATTCCTACTTGCACCAATCAAACGGCTGAAGGTGAAAAGGGTCAAAACTAAGCAACGTTTTCCTAATTTCTTAAACAGATCATGAGCAAACCATGTACTAAATGTCCCCAATCAGCAATAATTTGTCTTCTCTGACGAGCTTGTGACATCCAGGGACGTACCCAACCCAGGTCATCCATACCTTGCCAGTGCCCATTACTGCTGTTTTGTTTTCCAAGAGAAAATGCCACCCAGTAATTAAATCAGAGGAATGAAGATCCTGGCTCTTCTACTAGCATGGATAACATGCAATAAGTAACAACAGTTCTCCGCAAATCTGCCTTTAAAGGTGAGTATGACACACTGAATATACTTGAGATATCAAAAATGTGCGGGGGCATGTTCCCCTTTGGCTCAAATGAAGACACTGATTTTCAGATCTAGCAGTAATGTGCAGCACCCCAGTGTCCTCTAGGACACACCTAACACGGGACCGGATCCCTTGGGACACAGTGGTGTGCTCCACAACATACATTTAATGGGCTGGTGCAAACCTGTAAAGTCTCTTAAAGGTCTAACGCGTTAGGATTCTCTTTAAGAATCCAGTAAATTTTGTCCCCAGTTCTGCCTGTCATTAAGCAGGAGGTATTGTCTTCTGCTGCCTAACTTTGCTATGGATCTTTTAATCCAATGTTTCCAGCAGCAACATAATCACGAGAAACTGTAGCACACTTTTCAGGGTCTAGTCTAGGACAAGCACAGCATACATGTTCTGAGAGGAATGACATAGATGGAAGCAAGACATGTTACATCCTTGTCACTTGGAAACAATTTTAGAATTTCTGCCTGTTTGGCCACGGCTGCATTCCTTTACATCACCCAGCTGAGAAGTCTGGGTCTTCAGCCTGCGCGAATGACAGTGCGTGGCAGAGCTAAAACTAGGCTAAAACATGAGTGCTGCTGTTACTCTACATGCCACAGCGCACTCACATCACCCCGAATCGGACTTAAGAAATTACACGTTAAGAGGAGACAGAGCAGGGGCCAGAAAAAAAAAGATGAAAACGGCCCGGGCCAGGCTCGCTGGGGACAGCCGGGACCCGCGGCGGCCTCGGACCGGCACCCTCACCGCGGGCGGAAACCCGTCTCTGAGCACTCAGGGAATCTGGACAAACCTGTCTCGAGGTGATGCAAGGCGGGGGCCCTGTCCTGGCCTCGCAGCTAGCTCGATGCTGGCCCGGGAGCCGCGGGCCCCTCCAGTGGGGGGGCTCTGGGGCCCGGCGACGCCCCCTTAACCAGAGCTCGGGGTCGGGACCCGGCCGGGGAGGGCGGGCACGGGCCGGGGCGAGCCAGCTGGGCCCCCCTCTCCCTCGGGCCGGGCCAGCCCAGCTCCAGCCGCAGTCCCCAGCAGCAGTCCCGGGCTGCGAGGCGGCCAGCGCAGCAGGTGCCTGCAAACGCGCACAGGTGCCCGGCCCCGCCTCCGTGTCCCACTGCGGCCGCCGTCGCCGAGTCGCGAGCGCCTAGAAAGATGGACAAATGCCGGGCCCGTGGAGGCTGGCGGCCAGATTTACAGACACCTCAGCCCTCGCGTACCCACCAGCCTGCCGGGCAGTAAGCCTCACCCCAGTGCCTTCAATGCAGAGCTCCTGGCTGCCAAGCGCCGCCGCGGCCCGACAGCATCTCCCGCCGCAGCGCCAGCCCTGCCCCTGCTTGATCCCCGCCCCGCCCCACCCCGCCCTGCCCTGCCCTGCCCTGCCCTCGGCAGCGGGCTCCGCCCCCTGCTGCACGATCCTGGGGCCCGAGGCTTCCGCCTGGCCTCCCGGCGCCAACTGGCTCTCACACCTGCCCGTCAAAGACGTTCTTCCGGGGGCGTTGGGAAGAACACACTCGGTCCTGCAAATCAAATCACCCCGGTTTGGGTGGGACTGCACTTGACCCTCCCCTTACGTAACAGCGCCTGGGACGGCCTGTCAGTCATGGAAGTATCGGCCCCCCGGGGAGGGATGGGGCAGAGACAAACAAGCGCCGGGTCACAATTGGCCAGGGCGTCTGCCAGTCACCACGGAGACCTTCCCGGAGGTTTATTCGCACAGCCCACAGCGCAACCGCCATGCGCAGGGGCTGGGGCATACGCTAACGTCTGCAAGCCAAGCTTTTGGGGAGGGCCGGGCCGCGCGACTGCCCAGTGGCTCCCATCGCTAGGTCCTACTGCGTTGGGCGGCGCTGCGAGGCCCGAGGCCGCCACGTCGGGCCCACAGGGTACCAGGGGTCAGAAGGACACTTGGCGTGGCATCAAGAAACGCCCGTTCTCTCCATCAGTGCAGGAGCTGAAGGCTGGAGCTGAAGGGAGCTCAGCTCCAAGTGGGCCCTGGGCACTAGAGCAGCCAGAGGAGCTTTGTAAATCTGTGTGTGTCGGCCCCGACCTGCAGCATCCGAGTGGGGGCCGGGGGCTGGGGGGAGGGGGGAGGCTGAGGACCAGGAATCCACATCTGTCACAGTTCGCTGCTGATTCTGGCGCACACTGAAGTTGGAGAACCTCTCCCATAGCAACATAGTTCCTGGTCTTTTTTTTTTTTTTTTTTTTTAATTCACACGCTCTCATTTGGACCTCCCGTCTGCTTTCCCATGGAGGTCTCTCTCTGGCCTAATTCTGTGACTGCTGCCAGCTGCTTTCCAGGCCTGTTCTTACCAACGGTGCCTCCCCGTGGTTAGTCCGTCCAATCTCGGCACTCCACTTCCACACTTGCGCGACAGCCCTCTCCCCGCAAGCCCCTGCCCCTTTTCTAGACACCAGAGGCACTGACCTGTCTGTGACACCGCCTCAGTGTCTTACACTCAGAAGCCGCATTCTCTGGCCGGGTTGTTTGGTCCATTTTTGGTTGCCTCTGAGATTCTGGTAAGTGACTTATTAAAGGGCAGGAAGCCAAATTCTCCTGATGTTAATCCCAAGGGTTGGTTCTGAAACCCAGCTTCCTCCCCTAGCTGAAAACACTTCTGAGCCACTTCCTTTTGTCCCCTTAGGACACATTTAGGAATGTTATCATGCCTTTTAATACGAGTCTTAATACAGAAAGGCAGGCAAGCAGGAAATCCTTTTTTCAGGCCACAGGTGGTCTCCTTTGGCACCTCTGTGGCCCATTTCCTCCCAATCTTCTTTGAAGCTCATTATCCTCTGCAAAGCTTTTTTTCTGCTTTCCTCCTTTCCCCAACCTTCAGTTTTCACCGAGGACCCACATAGGTATTTCTCCAGCTCACATCTATCCACTGAGCTTCCAATGCATGTCATCAACTGCGTACTTGGCACCGGATGACTCAGACGCACACCAGCATCAGACTGCACATGGCAGGAAAGCCAACTCAAACCGGCTTACTTAGCAAGGGGATTTCTCTCCCATGGGAGGATTGTCTCCAGAGGTGGTGCCCTGGTCTTCAGGCTCTGCTTTCCTTGCAGTCCCTGGAATTGCACTTTCAGGCTGGTAGCAAGATGGCCGCGGCACACCCAGGATCTCACAAAATTAAAAGTATCCCTTTCTTCCAGTGGTCCCTTTTGAAATACATGACTACCTTTCCCAGAAGCTCCGCAGAAGAAATGCCTGCAGGTTTCAATGGCCAGAAGTAAGTCTCTGGCCACAACGAAACCCAGTCAACGGCAAGTGGAAGGAGTCCGCCATGATCGACTTGGGCTGAGATTTTCCCTAGATCTCTGCCTGGACTTTAGGCAGAGGAGAGCCATGATCAGATTTGTATTTTGAAAACATCACTTTGTGCGGAAAACAGATTGTAGGGGCACAAGGCTCACGGGGCAGTTGAGGAACCATGGCAGTAGTTCAGGCAACAGAGAATCGCATGAATTTGAAGGTAGAGATGGAGAATTGAATGAGTTCCAGAGATGTTTAAGACGGGATGATATAGTTTGGATATGGTTTGACCCTTCCAAACCTCATATTGAAATGTGACCCCCAATGTTGAAAGTGGGGCCTGGTGGGAGTATTTGGGTCATGGAGGCTGATCCCTCATGAAAGGCTTGGTGCTGTCCTGGCAGTAGTGAGTTCTTGGCAGTAGTGAGTGAGTTCTATTAGTTCCCGAGAGAATTGATTGTCAAAAAGAGCCTGTCACCTTCTCCTCCCCTGACCACTGCTCTCTCTCTTGCCAAATGATTCCTGCTGGCCTCTCCCTCTGCCATGAATGGAAGCTTCCTGAGGTCCTCACCAGAAGATGCTGGTGCCATGCTTCTTATACTTAGTTGCCTCTGTCTTTCATTTGACATATATTTATTGCATGCTTAATGACATCTAGGCTTTAAATGCTGGGGAGGCGTTGGAGAACAAAACAGACATTGTTCCTCCTCATGGAGCTACGGGAGATAGATGCTAATCAAGTCATCTCCCAAATCAATGGCTAATTGCCCCAAGGAAGTGGACAATGAGCTGAATAAACCTCTTTTTAAAAATAAATGACCCAGCCTCAGGTATTCCTTTATAGCAACACTGATGGATTCATACAGGTGGGGTGGACAGAGCTTGGCCATGGACTAGGTATGGGGGATGAAGAGGCAGATATGGCTGACACCTAGATTTTTAGCATGAGCTACAGGATGGATGGTGAGGCCATTCACTGAGGTGACAAACAGTGAACCACAAGCAGGTTTGGGACAGTGGGAAATGGGAAAATCTGGGTTGTGTTTTGGGTAGGTATGTTTGGGGTGTTTCTGTAAGCACTATTGCCTGTATACCTAATACCCACTTCTCCCTTTTTCATTGCTGACAGAACCTCCATTTTCTTGAGGAATTTAAGCCCTTCAGTGGTTCCCCATTGGGCAAAGACCAAACTCCTCACCATGGCTGTGTCCCAGCCCCAGGTGGCTGCAGACTCCAGCCACTCTGACATTCTTCCAGTTCCTTGGAAGGGAGTTGCTCCCCTACCTGCCCTGCCACAAAAGGGGCCTTCGCAGTGAACGTTCCCTTTGCCCAGTTCATTCTCTTCAATCCCCTACACAGATCTCAGCTCTAACACTACTTCCTTGGGGGCAATTTGCTGTTGATTTGGGAGATTATTAGTGTCTGTCTCCCACACTGTAAGCTCCTGAGGAGGAACCATTTTTTTGCTTTCTATTGTCTCCCCGGCACCCAAGAGCTAGATGTTGTAGGCATGCAATAAATATTTGCCAAATGAAGGACAGAAGAAACAAAAGTACATTTGAAACACCTACCTGCACGCCCACAGGTCTGCACCAAGAAAGCAACTCATTATGAAAATCAGGATGATTTATTCAAAGGGAAATGAGGAGGTGGCCTCAAGGTACCATTTCTTTAAGACTAAAACATAAAGTGCTGAGAAAAATCTCAATGGACCCAAAACCTTACCTATAAAACATTTTAAATCGCTTCATATTACATTTCCTATTCTCAATTTTTGAAGCATATTTGATATATTTGCACCAAAAGGTTCTTTTTGCATCCAGACTTAATAGATATGTGATCTCTGAGTATTCAGGACTTCTGCTCATGTTCTAATCAGCAAAATATTCCCTGAATCATACATCTTTTGGACTCCGGAAAAGTAACTGTACAAAGCTGTTTAGATCACTGACTTAACTATTAAAGGCCTTCACAGAAAGAAGGAAAGGATAAAATGTTGAAGGTTGTTAAAATACATATGTTTCATACACAGGCACACATATAAGCCGATGTTTTTAGCGCAATCCATTTGCCCCCAAGTCCTTTTCTGAAAAGTAGATTCCTGTATACATGTCACTGATTACATATACTGTTCAAAATATGGGAGGATGATCTAGCTATACATATTAATGTCTTTGAAAAAATATACTTAGCACATTAAAGCCATTATTTTATGGGTAATAATGTTTAGGATGAGACCAAAGTAGGCATTTAATGTTGTTGTTTTTTTTAAGTAAATGGATTTAAGGGAGATCAGATAGTTGTCCTATAGTTAACAATGATCCTCAGACAAGACAGAAATCACAAACTTTTAAGAATTATTGAAGGTTTAGAAATGCTGCTATAGACGGATGATGTGGCTTTCTTCCTTTCCATAGCCTCATCGAGCGATACGGTTCTTGCTTATAACATCACACATGTGCTTCCAGGTTTTGGTTGCATCATGTTTTCCTCCCTATCCCATTACCCATAACTCCTATCCCTGAGCAAGTGGGTGGGCGGGTGGAGGAATGAATTTTACAGACAGACTACAACATTTCAAAATGAAATCAGGGTAGCTGATGGACCACTGCGGATATTTATGTCTTAAGGAAAAGCAACCAATATATGATACGGCTGCTCATTCAGGGCTGAAGAGAACTGATTTCCTTTTATAATCAAACAGCATTTTGAACGTGGTCTGACACCGCAAATAATCCCCACTCCCTCAGCACGCTGATGACTGTACCCACAGCCATAAGAGCAGTGTTCTCTTTGATTCAGTTTATCTTTGGGAAACCACTTCACTCTGTGGTCTCAAAGCATTTGGAATGATGATAAAGGCTTGAGTTAGTTTTATCTAGAGTGGCACACTCAGAAAACCAAAGAGAGAGAAAGCAATACTCTTTCAGGGAAGGGTACTATTCCAGGCACAGACACCTTTTCTTTCTTGCAATAGGTAAATGGTGATTCCGTGAACGATAGGGAAGCTCAGTGATCTCGAGAGTCACCCACCCAAAGCAAATGACACCGTGACCATCATTTATTCTAATATTTTACTATAAAAATGTTCAGTCATACCGAAGAGTAGAGGACAACAAACTCCCTTACACTCACCATCTAGATTCAACAATGTTAATGTTTTGCCGTATTTCATCTATTAGTTTTCCTCCTGAGTCATTTAAAAATAAGTTGCCGTCATCATGTCCTTCCCTCCTTAGTGCTTCCCAGGGTGTTTCTCTTCAGAGCAAGGACATTCCCTTACAGAACTACACTGCCACAGCCACCCCTAAGAAAATTAACTCCACATTCCTAGACTTTGTATGCTTTTTTTTTGTTTTTTGAGACACAATCTTGCTCTGTTGCCCTTGCTGGAGTGCAGTGTCTCACTGCAACCTCAGCATACTGGGCTCAAGCAATCCTCCCACCTTAGCCTCCCGAGTAACTGGGACTACAGGTGCATACCACCACACCGAGCTGACTTTTGTATTTTTTTGTAGACACAGGGATGCGCCCTGTTGGCCAGGCTGGTCTCAAAATATGCCGACTTCGGCCTCCCAAAGTGCTGGGATTACAGGCCTGAGCCACCGCACCTAGCCTTCAGACCTATTAAAATTGCCCTAATTGTCACACACCAAGAAAACACTTTTATGGTTAAGGACGGAATGTTTATCTCTTCAAAATTTATATGTTGAAAACGTAATAACTAATGTAATGGTATTTGGAGGTGAAGCCTTTTGGAGATGACTGGGTTATGAGTTAGTCATACATGGGATTTGTGCCCTTATAAAAGGGACCCCAGAGAGCGATCTTCCTTCTTCCACCACATGAGGACGCAGTGAGAAGATGCTATCCCTGAAGAAGCAAGAACTCACCAGACTCCTAAACTGCCAGCACCTTGCTCTCAGACTTCCCAGCCCCCAGGACTATGAGAAATAAATTTCTGCTGTTTATAAGCTGCCCAGTTTATGGTATTTTGTTATAGCAGTCCAAACAGACTAAGACAGTTATTTTTCTAAACCAGGATTCAATCAAGATTCAGTCATTGCATTTGGTTATATCCCTTTAATCTCTATTCTAGAACAGCCCTCCCACTTTTTCCTCCCAATAATATTGACAATTTGAACCGGTCAACAGATCAGAGTATTCCGCATTTTGGATTTGGCTGTTTTCTTGTGATGTTTAACTTGATCCTCTATCCTTGTATTTCCTATAAACTGTCAGGTGTGAAGGCTTGATTGGATTCGTCATTTTTGGCAGGAGTGCTTCATGGGTGAGAAGCTTATTGTGGCTCCTCGAGCTGTCTACAGGGTCTCCCTTTGTCCTCCAGGATAGAGTGCAGTGTTGCGGTCATAGCTCACTGCAATGTCAAACTCCTGGGCTCAAGCAATCCTCCTGCCACAGCCTTCTGAGTAGCTGGGACCACAGGTGTGTACCACTACCTCACCCAGCTAATTTTTTTCTTTTTTTTTTTTTTTTTGTAGAGATGGGGGCTTTACCATGTTGCCCAGGTTGGTTTCAAACTCCAGGCCTCAAGCCATCTTCCTGTATTGGCCTCCCAAAGTGCTGGGGTTACAGATGTGAGCCATCGCGCCTGGCTGGAGCCACTGATTTAGTAAGAATTGCATCCTAATGGTTTTGCATGAACCAACGATTAAAAACAGAAATGTAGTCTGCTAAGAAAAGTTATCTGAATATCTGGAACTGTACAATAATGAGCAAATAATGAGGCTTCCAGGAGAGTATTAGGGTCATTCCTACTTCCCACTTATAAGACTGACTTCCTGTCAATAACTTTGTTATTATGAATGTCGAGTCCATAACAGACTTATTCTCGTGGCCCTTGCTGCCTACTTCATGCTAGCCAAGTCGAATCCAGTTTTAAAATACGCCGGATGCAGTGCAGGAGACACTAAGTGGCGAACTGCGGTTGCCGTGCTGCTGAAATTTAGTGAGGGAAGCCCCGGCCCGGGTGGGTGGTTACGCATTCCGCACCCGGTATTGCCGCATCCGACCTCTGGCCAAGTCAGGCCTCAGGTCCCTGATAACTGGTGTGCCCTAAACTCGCTCTGCAGAACGTCCTTTTTTTTTTTTTTCCTCTAATGTGACAAGGTACAAAACATTCCCTAATGTGCCCGAGAAGAGGAAATAAAGACTGCTGGAAAGAATGCTAAAGCCAGGCACACAGCTTTTTCCTCTGGGAATGTGAATAACACAGCAAACGTGACCGCAGAGAGGCAGTGGCTGTACATCCTACTGGGCTCGCATGAGTGTCATTTGTATTTTTCTCAGTCACAGGCGGCGGCTTCTCTTGACACCATTTAGATGGCCCTTTCAGAAGACACTTAGCGGGTCAACTTTCCCTTGTTCTAACTCAGCTCCAGCCTGGGAAGATGCTGGGTGCGGTTGAGGAATCCACGGGTTAGGGAACTCCGCCTGGCGGGTGCTTGAGTGCCCTCTGGTGGGCAATAGGAAGAATGCAAGTAGCAAAGCCGAAATTATCTTCTCAAGTTGCTCATACAGATTTTAAACAAACTCCTTCCCTTAAAAGAAAAAGAAATCCTAAGTCTACATTGGCATTCCTAAAAATCATTCCTAAAAGTTTTATATTTTCCTTAACCAAAGGGTTGAATAGTCTCAAGCAGGGTAGCATCTCCACCAAAGGTTTGAGTACATGGAGATGAGGGGTGGATTCAAGGAAAACATTTTTACTGAGCCTTCCACCTAAGACGCCTTAAAGATCCTGTAAGAAGCCATTCCGCAGGGTTGCCACACCTGAGGAAATTCAGACCTTTAGCCCCCAGAATCTCCCCATCTACAACTACATCTCTCCCTCCACATCAAAAGCAAACCTTGGAATCTTCATTCCCTAAATATAAATGACTGAGTTTAATCCTTCCGCATACGTTAGGACTTAAAGCCCTGCATTAAAGAGATCAATCAATAATGGTGGAGTTTCCAGTACTGGCCCAGGGCATAATGACAAATTCTCTCCTCCATCACAGATGGTCCGAGGAAATGAGGGGATGGTGAAGGGACTGGGGAGAGGCTAGGGGCTGTGAGAAGCGGGGATCACTACACCCCTCCCCGAGGCTCCACGCTTACACTATGTAGGAGCATGGTAACATGGCCTAGGTTGAAGGCCAGCCCCAAATTTGCCCACGCAATTAAGGATGAGGTATGTAAATGGGGACACAGCATCTCTGAGCAAGGTGTGTTTAGGTGGAAATCAGGGGTGGAGGTGTCACTGGGGAGGTGCAACATTCCTAGTGACACAAGTCACTGAGGAACCAGGCCATCACCCAAGGGTCATGTGACCCAGCTTCTCAGGACAAATATTTAT
This sequence comes from Homo sapiens, assembly GCF_000001405.40. NCBI lineage: Eukaryota > Metazoa > Chordata > Mammalia > Primates > Hominidae > Homo > Homo sapiens. The sequence goes on from NC_000016.10 coordinate 53,511,524, forward strand.
TTAGTCACTGACCAAATAGAGCCACTGGGCTGTCAGTATTAGTGGAGTCAGGCAGGAAAACAGATGAAGCCAGGTGGTGAGCCCTCTGGGGCCAAAGAGAGTGTGGGAGAGCTCCCTCAGCCCCCAACCACCACCTGTCCATATCCTCATGATGGGCCCCGGTGCTTCCTGGGGTGCCTCTACCTTAAGTCACATGGCATGGGGCATGGTAGGTGACCCCGTTTAGCCTCTGCTTATCTTCCCTTCTGTAACAGCCACAGCCACCCGTGTCGGAGGCAGCCCTTCTAGAAATGTGAGCTGATTAGAGAGTGTGCCGCTATTGCTTCCTGACCAGAAATATCGCTCTCCAGCAAAGGGCAAGGTCACACATGGACAGAGGGCAGCAGGGGGAGCAAAGGTTACACCACAAAACAGGCAACCCCCAAATCGTTCCCACACCTCCACTGCTACTACCCTGGTTTGAGCAACCGTGCCCTATGCCCCTTGGCCTGGGTGAGGGTGCCAGACTCCTTGCTGGGCTCTGCCTCCCCTCCATCCTTCTCATCTGCCCTCAGCGTGGCCAGCAGTGTGACCACGCTGAACCTGGGTCAGGTCAGGTCACTTTCTGCTTAGACCCCTCTGGAGGTTCCCCATCTCACATGGACAAAAAGCCTATGGGGGGCCAGGCACAGTGGCTCACGCCTGTAATCTCAGCACTTTGGGAGGCCAAGATGGGAGGATCACTTGAGGCCAGGAGTTCGAGACCAGCCTGGGCAACATAGTGATACTCTACAAAAGAATAAAAAATTAGCCAGGACTGGTGGCACATGCCTGTAGTCCCAGTTGAGGTGGGAGGATCACCTGAGCCCACGGAGGTTGAGGCTGCAGTGAGCTCTGGTTGTGCCACTTGCACTCCAGCCTGAGTGACAGAACAAGACCCTGTCTCAAAAACAAAAAACAAAAAACAAAAAACCCAACAAAACAAACACAAACGCCCCCCAAAACAAAATATAAAAACCTATATTAGGTCCATTTTCACACTGCTGTTGAAGACATAACCAAAACTGGGAACAAAAAGAGGTTTAATTGGACTTACTGTTCCATACGGCTGGGAAGGCCTCAGAATCATAGTGGGAGGTGAAAGGCACTTCTTACATGGTGGTGGCAAGAGAAAAATGAGGAGGAAGCAAAAGCAGGAACCCTGATAAACCCATCGGATCTCATGAAACTTATTCACTACCACAAGAACAGCATGGGAAAGACCGGTCCCCATGATTCAGTTACCTCCCCCTGGGTCTCTCCCACAACTTGTAGGAATTCTGGGAGATACAATTCAAGTTGAGATTTTGGTGGGGACACAGCCAAACTATATGATTCTGCCCCCTCCAAATTTCATGTCCTCACATTTCAAAGCCAATCCTGCCTTCCCAATAGTTCCCCAAAGTCTTAGCTCATTTCAGCATTAACCCAAAAGTCCACAGTCCAAAGTCTCATCTGAGACAAGGCAAGTCCCTCTCGCCTATGAGCCTGTAAATCAAAAGCAAGCTAGTTACTTCCTAGATACAATGGGGGTACAGGTATTGGATAAGTACAGCTGTTCTAAATGGGAGAAATTGGCCAACACAAAGCAGTTTACAGGGACCATGCAAGTCCTAAATCCAGCAGGGCAATCAAATTTTAAAGCTCCAAAATGATCTCCAATGACTCCAGGTCTCACATCCAGGTCGCACTTTGCAAGAGGTGGGTTCCCATGGCCTTGGGCAGCTCTGTTCCTGTGGCTTTGCAGGGTACAGTCACCCTCCTGGGTGCTTTCACGGGCTGGCATTGAGTGTCTGTGGCTTTTCTAGGCACACGGTGCAAGCTGTTGATGGATCTATCATTCTGGGGTCTGGAGGATGGTGGCCCTCTTCTCACAGTTCTACTAGGCAGTGCCCCAGCAGGGACTCTGTGTGGGGGCTCTCACCCCACATTTCCCTTCCACACTACCCTAGCAGAGGTTCTCCATTCAGGGCCCCACCCCTGTAGCAAACTTTTACCTGGGCATCCAGGAGTTTCCATACATCTGAAATCTAAGTGGAGGTTCCCAAACCTCAATTCCTGACTTCTTTGCACTCGCAGGCTCAACACCACGTTGAAGCTGCCAAGGCTTGGGGTTTCCACCCTCTGAAGCCACAGCCTGAGCTATACATTGGCCCCTTTCAGCCATGGCTGGAACAGCTGAGACACAGGGCACAAAGTCCCTAGGCTCCACACAGCATGCGGACCCTGGGCCCAGCTCACAAAACCACTTTTTACTCCTGGGCCTCCAGGCCTGTGATGGGAAGGGATGCCTGGAAGTTCTCTGACATGGTCTGGAGACATTTTCACCGTGGACTTGGAGATTAACATTAGGCGTCTTGCTACTTATGCAAATTTCTGCAGCTGGCTTGAATTTATCCACAGAAAATGGGTTTTTCTTTTCTATTGCATAGTAAGGCTACAAATTTTCCAAACTTTTGTGCTCTACTACCCTTTTAAAATGGAATGCTTTTAACAGTACACAAGTCATCTCTTGAATGCTTTTCTGCTTAGAAATTTCTTCCACCAGATACCCTAAATCATCTCTCTCAAGTTGAGAGTTCCACAAATCTCTAGGGTGGGGGCAAAATGCCACAAGTCTCTTTGCTAAAACACAACAAAAGTCACCTTTACTCTAGTTACCAAGTTCCTCATCTCCATCTGAGACCACCTCACCCTGGACCTTATTGTTCGTATCACTATCAGCATTTTTGTCAAAGCCATTCAACAAGTCTCTAGGAGATTCTAAACTTTCCCACATTTTCCTGTCTTCTTCTGAGCCCTGCAAACCGTCCCAACCTTTGCCTGTTACCCAGTTCCAAAGTTGCTTCCACATTTTCAGGTATCTTTTCAGCAACACCCCACTCTACTGGTACCAATTTACTGTATTAGTCTGTTTTCACACTGCTGTTAAAGACATACCTGAAACTGGGAACAAAAAGAGGTTTAGTTGGCCTTACAGTTCCACATGGCTGGGAGGACCTCAGAATCATGGTGGGAGGTGAAAGGCACTTCAAAAGGCACTTCTTACATGGTGGCGGCAAGAGAAAAATGAGGAGGAAGCAAAAGTAGAAACCCCTGATAAACACATCAGATCTTGTGAGACTTATTCACTATCACAAGAACAGCACGGTAAAAACCATCTCCATGGCCAGGTGCAGTGGCTTATGCCTGTAATCCCAGCACTTTGGGAGGCCAAGGTGGGTGGATCATGAGGTCAGGAGATCGAGACCATCCTGGCTAACATGGTGAAACCCCATCTCTACTAAAAATACAAAAAAAAATTAGCTGGGCATGGTGGCGGATACCTGTAGTCTCAGCTACTCGGGAGGCTGAGACAGGAGAATGGCATGAACCCAGGAGGCAGAGCTTGCAGTGAGCAGAGATCACGCCACTGCACTTCAGTCTGGGCGACAGAGTGAGACTCCATTTCAAAAAACAAACAAACAAAAAAACTGTCTCCATGATTCAATTACCTCCCCCTGGGTCCCTCCCACAACCTGTGGGAATTCTGGAAGGTACAAGTTGAGATTTTGGTGGGGACACAGCCAAGCCATATCAAAACCCAAGAGGAAATTTAGACACACACAGAGGCACAAGGGACCTGCACTCAAAGAACGATGACCACAGGAAGAGACAGCAAGGGAATGGCCATCTGCAAGCCAGGGACACAGGCCTTAGGGGAGGAAACCAACCCTGCCAGCACCTTGATCTTGGACTTTCAGCCTCCAGAACTGTGAGAAAATAAGTTTCTGTTGCATGAGCCACCCCGTGGGTGGTACTTTGTTACCATGGCCCTAACAGACCAATAGGGCCCTGTAAGTATTTGTTGACTGGAAAGCTGGAAATGACTGCCTCCTCTGCAGCTGCGGATGAGCCTCATTGTTTTTCTTCTTCCTGTATTAAGATGAGCGTCCACTGTGCAGTCCTCACTCCTGAGGAATCTGCTGACCACAGGAAGAGCCAAACTGTGATTAGGAGGTTTCCCCACAGTCTGTATCAAAGTGTAGACGGGTCACGTCAGAGGCTGTCAGGGCATGACTGTACCAAGGTTTTTTTTTTGAGACAGAGTCTGGCTCTGTCGCCCAGGCTGGAGTGCAACGGCATGACCTTGGGTCACTGCAACCTCTGCCTCCTGGGTTCAAGTGATTCTCCTGCCTCAGCCTCCCAAGTAGCTGGGATTACAGGTGTGCGCCAAGATGCCTGGCTAATTTTTGCATTTTTAGTAGAGATGGGGTTTCACCACATTGGCCAGGATGGTCTCAAACCCCTGACTTCAAATAATCCACCTGCCTCAGCTTCCCAAAGTGCTGGGATTACAGGCATGAACCACCATACCCAGCAAGAGGTATCTCTTTGATTGTGAAAGACACTCTCCCCCATGATCCTCTTGGCATGGCCCACAGGCACCCATGACCTGTCTCATTTATTCAGGAAAAGGACCACATTTTGTTATTTAGCACTTTGCAAACCCATGGGCAAAGTGCCAGGGTAAGTATTTAAAACACAGCTTATAACAATGAGAAAACAGCCCACTTAGGAATAAGAGGGTCTGTCCACCAGCTGTGGCCTTCTGTGCATTGATGGCCATTTCTGTGCAGTTCTGCGACCTGTACCTGATAGGAGAGGGGCATCTCAGAGCCCGTATTGCAGGGAGTTAATGGGAATATTGTGGCGCATTGGCAAAGCCTTTTTGGGACCTGGGGAGGCCTCCGACTGCCATGCATGCCTCTGCTTGCATGGGTCATAGCTCTTAGTTCTGCTCATACACGGGGCATCTGACTGCACGCTGTGAAAAAGGAGCTGAAGAGAGATGGGTTTCAGCACAAAAACAGTCTGCAGAACAATAAACCCCTGGTGACACTGGGTTTAGTTTGACAGCCCTGGGGACAATGTGAAGAGTCTTTGATTACAGCAAATACCTCTGCTTGTCTCTTCTCTTCTGCAAACTATCCACCCAGGAAGCACATCCAATAGTGGAGGAAAAGGCAGAGACATGTCAAAAGAGCAGCCTCATCTGAAATAAGATCATGAGGACAGGCATAGTGGCTCATGCCTGTAATCCCAGCACTTTGGGAGGCTGAGGCGGGAGGACTGCTTGAGCCCAGGAGTTTGAGACCAGCATGGGCAACATAGCGAGACCCTGTCTCTTAAAAAAAAAAAAAAAAAAGTCTAAGAATTAGCTGGGTGTGTTTCTGTAGGCCCAGTCACCCAGGAGGCTGAAGTGGGAGGATCGCTTGAGCCCAGGAGGTCAAGGCTTCAGTGAGACACGATCATGCTACCACATTCCAGCCTGAGTAAAAGAGAGAAACCCTGTCTCTAAAAAAAATAAAAATGAAATAAGATCATGAAACAAAACACACATATTTTGGCTCCAGAGAACCACGAGCTGAAGGATCATGAGCCAGTTCTGCATAATTCAGGCTGGGCCAACAAGTCATTAACTTTGCAGCTGGGACTTAGAGAAGAGTGAGGACTCTAGGAATAGGTGTCTACCTCTGAGATGCAGACCTAGGTTAACCTTGCACTGCTGCCCCACCATACATGTTTTCTTGGTGCCTGATATGGTTCCCAGCATACCTACACCTCTAGGAGCCCAGAAGAGCTGGAATCATGCTTCAGATTCTTTGATGGCCACACCCTTCATGAAAGCACAGGCAGCCACCTGCATCATTCATGTATTATTATTCTCTTTTCTTTTTTTTTTTGAGACAGGATCTCACTCTGTCATCTAGGTTACAGTGCAGTGGCATGATCATGGCTCACTGCAGCCTCGAACTCCTGGGCTAAGCAATCCTCCCATCTCAGCCTCCTGAGTAGCCAGTACTACAGGTGTACACCACCATACCTGGCTAATTTTTATAAATTTATTTACAGAGATGGAGGTCTATGTTGCCCAGGCTGGTCTTGAACTCCTGGCCTCAAGTGATCTTCCTGCCTTGGCCTCTCCAAAGTGCTGAGATTACAGGCATGAGCCACTGCCCTGCCTGGCCAATTTATATTATTTTTCAAGACATTTGAAGACTCCTTCAGGGTCTGTCTACCAAACACATTGCTCCAGCAACAATAGGAAGACACCTTCCAGCATGGCCACTTGCTGGGGTGCCCCAGAGAAAGGCCTTTGATGCCTTAAAATCTTTCTGCTCTTGGGATAGAGAAAACTAACCCCAGGCTGCAGGGAAGGGAGGTGTAGTCAAGAATGCAGTCACAGTCCTTGTCCCACCATCATTGCCGCTATTAGCCAGGACCTGTCCAATTGCTGGTGGAAGAGCCTTCTCTTCCAAAACTGAATTGTGGAGACTGAGCTCCCTCATCCCTCCCCAGCTCTAAACTCTGATTCTGAAGATCTCAAGTTAGAAAGGACTTTAAAGACAAAGTGGTACAAATCTCCAATTCTGCAGAAGAAATGGAGGCCCAGGAAGATGAGAAGTTTTGAGAGTCTCATGGATAATTAGCTGCACTTGGGAGAGTGTGGCACCTGAGCGTGCAGCGCGTGCACTTGTGCGTGTGTGGGGAGGAGAGAGAGGGGTGCAGAGAGAATGCCTTTCTTTTTGCAGATCCCTGTAGAGATTTTCTTGACTTTACAGGTGGAGCTGAAGATAAATGGATTAGCTAGGTGAATAAACCTGTATTAAAAACTTTCTGAAAAATCAATTTGAGAGAGAAGATTTGGGAAAATAAAATATGATCAGCTGTGTTGGATAACTTGACTAAATCGATGCCTGCTAGCCTGGTAAACAATTTCTGATCTACAGCTCCCACTGTCTCCTTGCTGGCGATAGTTACCTCAGTAATTGTACCGTGGGATGAGGCCAGGCCAGAATGAAAGCCATTAAAAATGATGTTTCTTCAAGTGAAAATTAATTTATTTGCTGACCAACAAAGACCAAAGTAATTTCAGAATTTTAAGGATGGTGAGACTTTTTACCCCCTCTTTAAATTAGACATGGAAATGAAAAACAAATAGACCTCTCTGTCCCCACGCGTGCCATGCCAAGCACAGAGGCAATCGACTAATAATAAGAATGCAGTTTCCCGAGCGTCTGACAATTTCAGGAGCAAAAGTGAAGAGAGGTAGGGCAGGATCCTAGGTCGCGCTACAAAAACCAATATCTCCATGTATTGCAGGAGGGAAATCAAAACAATGTGGACAGTCAGGAGGGGTTTTCTTCCCTGCTCTGGATTTTCTCCACATAATAGCAGGAGAAGTTAAAGAGAAGTCACTTTCGGCACTGGAATCCATCAGCCTCGAGAAAAGATCAAGTCCATTGTTGAGATCAGATTAAGACCTAAGGCTGTGGTTTGTACCCTAGCAGGAAAGGCAGGCAGGATGTGGGAAGGGAACGGAAGGAAGTGATGCGGTTAGCCCTGTGATGACGGTGGGGTAAGCACCTTTGATTTGAAGGGCTCAAGAAAGTCCACACAGCAGCCAGATGGTCTTAACAGGAATCAAAGCACACGACTCTCTGGCTTAACCCAGGGGTATGAGGAGCCACTCATCAGCTTGTAATGTTTTGTTTTATAAAATGCCCTTTAAGTGTAAAAAGCAGCATACTTTCAATAAAACCAGTCCAAAGGAAGGAGCCATCATTTTCACCCACGGCTGTCTGTGCACGTCTCCTTTTAACTCTGAGCTCAGTGAACACTTGGGGAATTTGAAATTGTCCTCATGGGAACATCTACACCATAGAAGTCAGCAAACACTCTCGGTCAGACTCCACGTCCCCACTCCACAGCCAGTTGAGCACGTACCAGCACTCCATCGCTTAAACCCTTCCCCGAGCTTCAAACTGCAACGAAAGACAATCTGATTCTTCACTGTGGCCTTTGGGGTCACTTCTCCATGCTCAGTTGTTATGTCTCCCCCTTTCACCTACCGTGAACCAACTCACAAGCCTTACTTCTGCTCCTTGGACGCCCTCTTGGACAGCCTGTCCGCTCTGCCTGGATGTTCCTTCCCCAGATCTTGCCTGTCTTCTTCTCTTTCACGCCTCAGCTAAAGCGTCACCTCCCCAAGAAGCCTTCTCTGACTCCGTCTTTTTTTTTTTTTTTGTCACTGTTACATCATCCTATTTTCCTCACAGCACTTATCTCTCCTTCTTTTATACATATGTATATATTTATGTATAATATATATGTAAATATATATATATATATTTTTTTTAAGATATGGGGTCTTGCTGTGTTGCCCAGGCTGGAGTGCAGTGGTGCAATCAAGGCTCACTGCAGACTTGAACTCCTGGGCTCAAAGGATACTCCCACTTCAGCTGCCTGAGTAGCTGGGACTACAGGCATGCGCCACCACACCTGGCTACTGTTTCATTTTTTTTTGTAGAGACAGGGTCTTGCTACATTGCCCAGGCTGGTCCGGAACTCCTAGCCTGAAGCCATCCTCCACCTCAACCTCCCAGAACACTGGAATTCCAGGCATGAGCCACTGTGCCTGGCCTTTATCCCTCCTTAAAATCCTCATTTGTTTGCTTGATTGTTGTATGTTATGCTACAACATAAAACTTCCTTGAGTGTGGGGCCTTCAATTTCTCATTTCCTCCAAGCCCAGCTCAGTCCCTGGTACACACTAAACTCTCCGTCAATAGTTGCTGAATTGAATGAATAAATGGTGCAGATCCTCAAATATGATCATGGGCGAGTCAGCCTTCTGAGGTAAGCAGCGTGCCTCCATTTCTAAGTCAGTAATTTCAGAGAATATCCCACTTTTAGTGACTAAAACCCTCAAGGGAATACGTTTCTCTACTTAGCTCCTCCTGGGTGAAAGGGGCCAGAACAGCCCTGTAGAGGCTGAGCAATGAAAAGGGGCATTGCGTGCAAACCCAGTCCAGTAACTTCTCTGCTGAGTGACACTTCCAGGTGCCCTGTCAAAAACTACAGGTAGGCCGGGCACAGTGGCTCATGCGTGTAATCCCAACACTTCAGAAGGCCAAGGCAGGTGGATCACCTGAGGTCAGGAGTTCGAGACCAGCCTGGCCAACATGGCAAAATCCTGTCTCTACTAAAAATACAAAAATTAGCCAGGCATGGTGGTGCATGCCTGTAATCCCAGCTACTCAGAAGGCTGAGGCAGGAGAATTGCTTGAACCCGTGAGGCAGAGGTTACAGGAGGCGGAGGTTGCAGTGAGCCGAGATTATGCCACTGCACTCCAGCCTGGGTGATAAGAGATTCTGTCTCAAAACAAAACAAAACAAACTACAGGCAACCCCACCAATGGCAAGAGAAGTGCAGACTGAAATTCCATTCTTTAAAACTCTCAGATGAAAGAGAAAGAATTTGGTAACAGACTATGCTGGAAAATGTGTCGAAACATGAACTCTTGTACGTGGCTTGTGGGAGCTTAAACTGTACCACCTTTGGGGATCTCTATTAAAAATGCAAATACACATCCCCCTTGACCTAACAATTCTGCTTCTAGGAATTTATCCAACTGATTTATATTCACACAGGTGCAAAATTACAGGCGAGCAAGGTTATTATTGCAACAAAAGATGGGAAGCGACGTAAAAGTCCCTTGGTAAGGGGCTGGTTAAGCAAATTACGGCACATGCACAAAAGAGAAAAAAGAGAATGAGTAAGTTCTTTATTTGTATATTAGTACATGATCTTCAAGGAATGGTCTTTGAGATGTGTTAAATGAACAGCGGGTATATGCTATCATTGTGAAATGAAGGGCAAAGGGAGGAATGTGTGCTCACACCCCCTGCCACCCCCATGCTTGTACAGGCATGCCACAGAGATATGGAGGGATTTAGATCCAAACCACTGAGATAAAGCAACTCACATGCATTTTTTTTTGACTTCCCGGTGCATATAAAAGTTACATTTACAGGCCGGGCACTGTGGCTCACGCCTGTAATCCCAGCACTTTGGGAGGCCGAGGCAGGTGGATGACAAGGTCAGGAGTTCGAGACCATCATGGCCAACATGATGAAACCCTGTCTGTACTAAAAATACAAAAATTAGCTGGGCATGGTGGCAGGCGCCTGTAATCCCAGCTACTTGGGGAGGCTGAGGCAGAAGAATCGCTTGAACCCGGGAGGCGGAGGTTGCAGTGAGCCGAGATCTTACCACCGCACTCCAGCCTCGGCAACAGAGGGAGACTCCATCCCTCCACCGCCAAAAAAAAAAGTTACATTTACACTATACAACTGATTTATATTGTCTTTTTTTTTTTTTTTTTTTTTTTTTTTTAAAGACAGGGTCTCTATCTCCCAGGCCAGAGTGCAGTGGCACAATCAGCTCACTGCAACCTCCACCTCCCAGACTCAAGCGATCCTACTTCAGCCTCCCTAGTAGCTGGGACCACAGGCACACGCCACCACACCCAGCTAATTTCTGTATTTTTTTGCAGAAACGGGGCTGGTCTTGAACTCCTGGACTCAAGCAATCCTCTCGCCTCAGCCTCCCAAAGCCCTAGGGTTACAGGTATGAGCCACTGTGTCCAGCCTTATACTGTAACCTTTTAAGTGGAATAGCACTATCTAAAAAAATGTACATAGCATACGCCAAGAACACTTCTGGAAGACTAAGAAATTGGGGACCTGGTTGGCTCTGGGTAAGGGGTCGGGGGCTGAGGAGCAAGGGTGAGGGAAAGACTGCTGTGCTCTTTGAACGTGAACCATATGGTGAGTGTATCTCCTATCCAAAACTTACATTAAAACATTTTAAGCTAGGCCAGGCATGGTGGCTCATGCTTGTAATCCCAGCACTTTGGGAGGCTGAGACGGGGGGATCACTTGAGGCCAGCCATTCAAGACCAGCCTGGCCAACATGGTGAAACCCCATCTCTACTAAAAATACAAAAATTACCCGGGCATGGTGGTGGGCACCTGTAATCCCAGCTACTCAGGAGGCTGAGGCAGGAGAATCACTTGAACCCAGGAAGCAGAGGTTGCAGTTAGCCAAGATCGTGCCGCTGCATTCCAGCCTAGGCAACAGAGAAAGACTGTCTCAAAAATATATATATATATTTTTTAAAGCTATAAATTTGGCCCCAATTTAGGGTGCCAAAATCCCTTGGGAGACAGGAAATTCTTTATTTTGGTTTAGTTATATAAATAAGTCAGCAATTTTTTTTTTTTTTTTTTTTTTTTGAGACAGGGTCTCACTCTGTCACCCAGGCTGGAGTGCAGTGGCGTGATCTCTCAGCTCACTGCAACCTCTGCCTCCCGGGTTCAAGCGATCCTTCCACCTCAGCCTCCCGAGTAGCTGGAATTATGGGTGCAAGCCACCATGCCTGGCAAATTTTTCTATTTCTTATAGAGACAGGGTTTTGTCATGTTGCCCAGGCTGGTCTCGAACTTCTGGGCTCAAGCAATCCTCCCGCCTCGGCCTCCCAAAGTGTTGGGATCACAGGCATGAGCCACCGCGCCCAGCCCCTGGCAAAACTTTTTTACCCACTTTCTTCCCTATGGAAGATAAACTCGAGAGGAACAACTTCTAACTGACCTGCTGCTCTCCTCACTGACCTGCTGCTGGTGTCTCCAACTGTCGCTGCCTTCTTAATGCTGGCAAGCTCAGGGCTCAGCCTGAGACCTCACCTATGGTCACCTGCTTGGTGACACACCCTGGGCTCCAGCCTCTCTCCTGATCTTCTGACTCCTGAACTCCAGGCTCCTGTAACCAGCTGCTCCTTCCTCATCTTCACTCGAATTTGATCATCTCAAAGCCAACACATCTCCGTGCCACAGCGTACCTCATCCCTGAGGGCCTCCCGTTTTGTAAATGGCAATGCTACGCTTCCAGCTGTTCGGGTCCATAACCCTACGGTCATCCTCTCATCTCATGCCCCACGCGTCACTCGTCAGCAGATGCAGGAGCCCCATTTTCGTCTGTATCCAGAATCCAGTCATTTCTTGCTGCCTTGCCTGCGGCCATCCCTCCTCCCCACTCCCTTCCCTCACCTGGGTGACTGTTAGAGCCTGTGGATTGACTTCTCCACATTCTTCCCACAAGCCCGGCCACCGTGATCCGGTTAAAGCCTAACTCAGGCCACTCTTCTGTTAAGCTCCCAGAGCTTTCCCATCTCAGAGTAAAGTCCAGAGTGCTTGTGCCATACCATCAGGCCCTGTCCGAGTTTCCTCCTCCCTTGCCCTAGTCTCCTGCCACTCTCCTCCCGGGCTCCTGCAGTGGCGGCCACAGTCCCAGTACCCTCTGGCTCTGCCTCCGGTGCACCGAGCACAGGGCATTTGCACTTGCCGTTTCCCTCTGCCTGAAATTCTTCCAGACAACTACATCACTTGCCTCCCCACTTCCTTCAGGCCTTTACTCAAACAGCACCTTCTCTGAGAGGTGTTCCTCGCCCCTCTATCTACAGCGGCAAGCCTCCCGCCCTCGGCCTCCTTCTCTCTGCCTACCTCATGCCAACACTCCCTCTCCCGCTGGTTCCCTAGCCCTTCTTGCCATGCAGCAAACAGTGTGCTTTACTTATTGTGTATATTATCTGGAAAGGGCACTCCACGAGGGCAGGAATGCTCACAGCTGTCCTAGCATCTGGAGCAATGCACCTAGCGGGTGCTGAATGAATATCTGTGGAATGAGTGAGTCCTCTGCTCGGCTCCTGGTCGGTGGCTGCTGGCCTGCCTGTGTCCGTGCTCCACAGTGGACCGGCCCCTCCTCGGGGGCTTCTCTGACAGGCGCACACTGCAGGCCTGGGAATCACACCTGGCATGGGCTACCGCCCTGACTGCACTCCCCAGGCAGAGTCCTAATGTCTGCTCTGCCTTTGGAGCTGCTCTGAAGTTACCCTGGAGCACGGACCAGATGTCCAGATACCCACGGAGGCCAGACAGGGCACAGAAATGAGGGACTCGGGCCAGGCCAGGGAAGGTACAGGCCCAGCCCGAGGGACGGCCACTGCTCAGCTCTGGTCAGTGGGTACCAGGCATGGATGTGTTTTACAGTCATTAAAAGTCTTTGGTTTTTCCAGGGAAAGTGGAAATCTGGATTTTTTAAAAAATGGCATGGCTGGGCGCCATGGCTCATGCCTGTAATCCCAATGCTTCCGGAGGCTAAGACGAGAGAACTGCTTGAGCCAGGAGTCTGAGGCTAGCCTGGGCGGTATACTGAGACCCTGTCTCTACATATCATTTTTTAAAAGTTAGTTGCATGTGGCGGCGCATGCCAGTGGTACCAGCTACTCAGGAGGCTGAGGTGGGAGGAATACTTGAGCCCAGGCAGTTGAGACTGCAGTGAGCTGTGATTGTGCCACTGCACTCTAGCCTGGGTGACAGAGCTAGACTCCATCTTATAAATAAATAGATAAATAAGCCAGGCATGGTGGCTGACACCTATAATCCCAGCACTTTGGGAGGCTGAGGCAGGCAGATCACTTGAGGTCAGGAGTTTGAGACCAGCCTAGCCAACGCAGCAAAACCCCATCTCTACTGAAAATGCAAAAATTAGCTGGGTGTGGTGGTACATGCCTGTAATCCCAGCTACTAAAGAGACTAAAGCATGAGAATCACTTGAACCCGGGAGGCGGAGGTTGCAGTGAACTGAGATCGTGCCACTGCATTTCAGCCTGGCGGACACAGTGAAATGGTGTCTCAATAAATAAATAGACAATTAAATGGCTCTTAACTTTTAAAAGCAGAAGACTTAAACATTCTCAACATGAATATATATACCTACTATATATCCACAAAATTTCTGTTAAATGAAGTTAGAAAAATTTTCAACACTGAGAGTTTAATAAACGATGTACATCTTCAAGGTCTTTAGTCTGTGGCATCTGTATAGACCTTGACCAGAAAGCTGAAACCTTCCGACTGGGTGAAGGGGAGATGTCCTGTGATAGACTTTATCTGCAGTGTAACTTGGTAGCAAAAATTCTATTTTATTATATTCCATAGTTTTCTTTTTTTTTTCTCTGAGATGTAGTCTCGCTCTGTTGCCCAGGCTAGAGTGCAGTGGCATGGTTTCAGTTCACTGCAACCTCCACTTCCTGGGTTCTAGCCATTCTTCTCCTGCCTCAGCCTCCCGAGTAGTTGGGACTACAGGCACCCACTGCCACGCCCGGCTAATTTTTGTATTTTTAGTAGAGATGGGGTTTCACCATGTTGGTCAGGCTGGTCTCAAACTCCTGACCTTAGGTGATCCACCCGCCTTGGCCTCCTAAAGTGCTGGGATTGCAAGTGTGAGCCACTGCACCCAGCCTCTCCCATAGTTTTCTAAGGAGGGTGGGTCCCGGGAGAATCTTGTTCATGGAGCTCAGGACCACCTTCTTTGTTGCATGGCCTTCAATGGCCTTTTCTCTGCTTGAAGAAAATGTGAATGAGTCCATGTAGGGAGGCAGGCTTGGAAGACCCAGACTGAGTTTTAGTGCTTTTGTGGAAAGGAACAAAACTTAGGGAGAAGGTTGGGAGGCAGGTGGATGATGGGTTGGGGATGCAGGAGGGAAGAGAGACTGAGAATGAGAGAGGTGAAATGGAGTTTTTTATTTACCAAGAACTGCAGGGTGTTCAGCGTCAACCCCTCCCTTGCTCTTCATACAAAATCTTCAGTAAAATATATGCAGTTGACTCAATGTTTGTCCCAGTGGAATTCACCTTGCGGGGAACTCGAGTGAGGAGGGAAGGCAACCACTGACATGAGCCATTGTGGCAAAAATTAGTTTTAAATACTGATCAGAAGTTAGTAGCACTGACCCAGCAATTCCACTCCTGGACATATATCCAGAATTGACAACAAGTGTTCAAACAAAAACGTGTACCGAATGTTCACAGTAGCCCTATTCACAAGAGCCAAAGGTGGAAAGCACCTAAATGCCCATGAACAAATCAATGGCTAAACAAAGTGATAGACAGTCGTGCCTTGGTATAAGTGAGGGGTTGGGTCCAGGACCCCTAAGTTTACCAAAATCTGTGCATACTCAAGTTCTGCAGTTGGCCCTGAGGAACTTCATAAGAAAAGTTAGCCCTCCATATATATAGGTTTCACATCCCACAAATACTGTATTTTTGATCTGCATTTGGTTAAAAAATATCTGTGTATAAGTGGACCCTCACAGTTCAAACCCACGTTGTTCAAGGGCCAACTGTATTTCTACAATAGAATATTATTTGGCCATAGAAAGGAATGAGATTCTGATACAGGCTACACGTGGATGAACCCTGAAAATATCATGCTAAGCACAAGAAGTCACAAAAGACCACCTATCATGATTCTGTTTCTCTGAAATGTCCAGAGTGGGCAAGTCTATAGAAACAGAAAGTCAATTCATGGTTGCTTATGGTTGGGTGGCGGCCTATAGGGGTAGTAGCTAGCTACAGGTAAGTGATTTCTTTTTGAGGTCATGAAAATGTTCTAAAATTGACTGTGGTGATGGTTGCACTACTCTGTGAATATACAAAAGTCCATGCATTATACACTAAATAGGAAAATTGGCCGGGCACCGTGGCTCATGCCTATAATCCCAGGACTTTGGGAGGCTGAGGAGGGTGGGTCACTTGAAGCCAAGAGTTGGAGACCAGTCTGGGCAACATGGCAAAACCCCATTTCTACTAAAAATACAAAAATTAGCCAGGGGTGGTGGCACACGCCTGTAATCCCAGCTACTGGGGAGGCTGAGGCAGGAGAAGTGCTTGAACCCAGGAGGTGGAGGTTGCAGTGAGCTGAGATTGCACCACTGCACTCCAGCCTGGGTGACAGAGCGAGACCCCATCTCAAAAAAAAAAAAAAATTGTGTGGTATGTGAATTATATCTCAATAAAGCTGTTTAAAAATGTCAAAGTTGGTGACACACCCATGGGTAATTCACAAAACACCACGTGCCATGGCATGCCCACTGGAAACCACAGCCTGAGACACGCTCAGGTGCAGGGAGGGCCTGGACTAGAAGCTTTCAGAAAGGACTCTCTCCCTGACCAGGATTCAGCTCCAACTCTGGGATCCCGTGGATGGAACAACAGCCTCTTCAGCTGTGCCAAAGCAAGGAAGGGACAAGAGGAGAGAAGTCCCCAACACCCTCTCCCAGCCAAACAGCCAAGAAGGCCTCATCTCAGCCTTCCACAGCCGCTGCGTGCATGCTGTATTTTATAAACTCACGTCAGCACCCAAGACAACATGTGCGTGCTTAGAATTAAGTCCTTTTTAATACTAGAGATGGGGGGAACAGAAATCAGCCAAGAGGAGGAAGAGGAGGGACTTGAGTGTTCCCTGTGTGGGAGTGTTCCCGGTGGCTCAAGCCTGTAATCCCAGCACTTTGGGAGGCCAAGGTGGGTGTATCATCTGAGGTCAGGAGCTTGAGACCAGCCTGGCCAACATGGTGAAACCTTGTCTCTACTAAAAATACAAAAATTAGCCAGGCGTGGTAGTGTGCACCTTTAATCTCAGCTACTCAGGAGGCTGAGGCAGGAGAATAGCTTGAACCCAGGAGGTGGAGGCTGTAGTGAGCTGAGATCATGCCACTGCAACTCCTGCCTGGTGACAGAGTGAGACTCTGTCTCAAAAAACCATCACCACCACCAAACAAACCTGAGGACCTGTGGCAGCATAACCGCTGCAGCCGTGGGTCTGGCCAGAAACAGCCCAGCTTGGTAGAGACCAATGTAGGTGAGGGCACAGGACTCAGGGATCCTCTGTGTCAATTTTTGAGCACTGACACCTTTGAACAAAGTGCATAGGAAGCATTTTGGAGTCCCAGGGCTTGGCTGCAAATGTTAAAGTGCTACTGAGAGGGGCGATGACATGCGTTCTCTTGGGGATGGTCTGTCACTGGCTTCCTTGAATACTGGACCTTCTTGGAAGGCAAAGCAAGCCTAGGTCCTCAGTGACAACCTGGTGACAAGACTGCTGGTGACAGGCAGTGGCCCGAGCTGCTGTGGCCGCTGCCTCTTTCTCCACATTGCCGTGCTCTCGGGGCCTGCTCCTGGCCACACCCCTTCCTTGTGTCCCCTTATGGGCTCAACCAGCTGCTTCCAGAGCCTTCATCGCCTCAGCCTCCTTAAATCTCAGCATCTTCATTTTTCATCAGCAGGACAAGAATGACACTTATCTGAGACAGTTGTCTTTATGGATGTTTAATGAGGGGATTCACAGGAAGCACCAACCACAGGGGCCTAGTAAGAGGCTGCGATAGGTGGAAAGTTTGTTCCCACCTGAATGTTACGCCGGACGGGAGTATGGTACCCCGATGTGACCAGGCTCTAGCTGAGCTGGCGAGACAAGGTCTTGGGTGCCGCTCCCTCCTTCTGAATATCTGGCTGTGCTCCAGGAAGAGCCCTCCCTCTATGAATACCAAAGCATAACTCTTAACCACTTTAAGGTGGACTGTGGCTTCTCTCCAGCCATGCCCTGGCATTGCCTTGCCTCCTGGAGGGTTACACAGCAGCCCCGGGGCCCCAGATCAAGTCACCCTACAGCTTTCAGCTGGCTGGCCCCTCCTGTCCCTGCAGGCTGGCATCCTGTCTGCAAGCTTGCCTTAGCACACCATGGGGGTGGGCGACATGGGTCTCACCCTCCTGGAAGGCAATTGACTTTTCCCAAGAAGCAGGCCACGCTCAAGTGCAGGTGCTGAGTGGGCTCTGAGCACAGCCCTGGGCTCCGCAGCCACCTGCACGCCCCTCTCTCTCTGAATGCCAACCCAGGTGTCCGGCCACCATCAAGGTGACTGTGAAGTACTAAGGCTGTGCGCTTTCCATTCCACAAAAATCACTGGGAGCCTCTTTGATTTCCAGGGAAATTGGGGCTCCTTGCTATACTTCCTGTCAGGCTGGCCCTTTGAACAAGCTCACTCCATAATTTCGAGTTTGAATCTCGTTTTAAATGGCAGTTAAAAATTGTATGTGGCAGTTCACAATGAAATTTAGCTTGACAGCTTGGACATAAAACTAAAAATAAATGACTTCACATCCAAATAATAAGTAATAACAATGTTAGCCTGCATAAGAATAGCAGGGCTAGATTCAAATACAATATTAATTTTAGGAATATGAGTGACTCGGGAGAGACAGAGGCAAAGAAACAAATCCTTCATATAGCAATCGGCTCCTCTTATCCCCCAGGCAACTGGCTGCCTTTCACCTCCGCGGCACAGCAATTATGTGGTGTAATGGAGGCAGCGCAAATAAGCAGAAAGATTTTATTAAACCAAATGAGCAAATCATCTGCGTATTATTGCGATTTGATTGACACTGACAAGTGTCGAGCAGACGCGGATGTGAATATGATACAGAAGCTTGCAGCAAAGCTCTTGATAATGTTACTCTTGATAAAGTTGCCTGGCCACCCTCTCTAAGTAAATAAAGGGGAGAGGAATATGACGCATATTAATTCACCCAGTTTGCAGCCTACTGGAGGACGAGAGGGGAAAAAAAAGTTGCAATGGGTTCAGCGCGTGGCATTTTATATGAATACCAAAATTGCATTCATGATTCACATAGACTTTACGATAATATATTAATATTAAAACTAAAGGTCATTCCACGTAACAGTTAAGCTGCCTGAGCTTCAACCTTTATACCAATAACAGATTCTAGAAAGTAAGGAAGAAATATTTGAATACTCTAAAAAAAAATTCTTTTTTTTTTAATTTGGAAGGATTGCTGGCTAACGCTAGCACAGGTGGCCCCTCACCCACCTGCCTTCTCCGGGGACAATTAAAGGGCTACCTCTAGGATGGCTGCATCTGAGACAGCTGGTGCTGCTGAGTGAGGAAAGGTGATTAATTGCCACAGGCCTTCAGGCCCTCATTCAGGGCTACATCTCACTAATGATTCCCTTATGAGCTGCGGGAGCGCCTGCCGTCGTCAGAGCTCCACGGAGTCAGCACAAAACTTTACTCAGCTGCTCAGGGAGCTCCGAGCAAATGGCCCAGGACGAGGAAGGCTCTGTCTAGTACGATTTAGGGGGAGATCTGCCTAGAGGCAGGGGGCTGGCCACAATGACCTCTGGAGCTCCCTTCAGGGGGTGGTTTGCTCCGATTCTGTCAGTCAGGCTGGCTCACGCAAAAGATTGTCCTGGGTGGGTAGACAGACCCTGAGAATTTTCCTGGAAGAGGGGCTTGAAGAAGAAAATGGAGACAAGGGCAGTCTACTTGTCCACAATGAGGTTCTGTTCACGCAAAGCAGAGAGCCATTTCCATAGAGTAAGTGAAACCAGTGTGAGAGAAAGCAGTATTTATGCTGGAAAGTTGATCTGGCCCTCAGACTCATGGGCACATTCAGAAGTCTTGCCTACTGAGACTGGGTGGCCAGGGAGCCTAGTGGCTAGAGTCAGCTTGTCCAGGCTCAGAGCCCACTGTGCCTCATTTAAGATAACTCTGCAACCAGTGGCCTCTACAGTAGCTTGAAATTGGTGGGAGTAGTTACACCATGGAAATTGGCCATGGTGGGTGGAGTTACACCACGGAAATTGGCCATAGCAGGAGTATTTACACCATGGAAATTGGCAAGCACTATAAATCAGGACTCCTCAAGCTGATTTAACAGCTTGTTTTTAAACATTTTAACAGCACTCCACTGGCTGACTCAGGGCATAGATACATGGCTATTTTACCTAGAACTGAGTCTTTATGAATGCCAATTTGGTACAAAACAAGAGGGAAGAAAAAGGCTGAACTCACTCCAGCCTATACAATAATACTAACAGCTTCTCTAGGTGATTTTCTACCTCTTTTGGGAAAATAATTCGGGTACTCTGGCTTCTAAGCTCCTCTCTGAGGCAGCGCTGGAGTAAATGAGGTGGGACGTGGGGGTGCTGCTGTAGGTGCCTGGCTCTTGTGGAAGGTGTCCTTGTCTGCTGGTTACTACTGACCTCGCTGGCATCTTAAACAGGTGAACTCATGCTCTGGTCTCCCTCGGCCTGGTCACTCTCTGGGCCTGGCTCAGCCTTGCCCTCCCCCAGCCTTCTGGCCTCATTAGGCCTCCCTCATCTGCTGTGGAGTCTCCTGGCCTGTTCTGAGAGGGAAGTGCCTGGGTTGTGTCCACACCTCGAGGGAGGGGAAGGCAGCTCAGAAAGCCCATGCAGCTCCTCTGCCGGACCACGACTACCCACCCTACTTTGCTCATCCAGTTGGATGGAGAGCGAGCAGGGGATCTATTTCCAGGTTCTTAAGGGGAATTGGGGCAGAGATAACCTCTTCCTTTAGCCTCCTCTTATTCCTTTATCTTACACCTTTCCCAGCCAAGATGTGAAGGAGAGAGGTCAGGACACACATCCAGCTTCACCTCTCGCCCATCTGTCTCTCTCACCTTCCTCCTCCTGCATCTGCCAATGTTTTTCAATGTTTTCATGCTACCAGTCATGACCCATTCCTGGGGGAGTGACTGAAGTCAGGGGGTTATGACCAGCATTAATACAAATTTAAAAAGAATTTTAAAAATGAGAAAATATCACACATAACAAGGCTAAGAATTGTTTTCTAAAATTTGTTTTGTGTACGTGTCTGTGTGCACACACAAATGTCTTGCTGTGGGTCATGGAAAAAATATGTGAC
The DNA here is from genome assembly GCF_000001405.40 of Homo sapiens. Classification (NCBI taxonomy): domain Eukaryota; kingdom Metazoa; phylum Chordata; class Mammalia; order Primates; family Hominidae; genus Homo; species Homo sapiens. The sequence continues at coordinate 53,532,010 of NC_000016.10, forward strand.
AGCCACTCTTCTGCATGATATTCTATCACAGAGCAACAGGCTGAATATCCCAAGGGACACAGGGCTGTCTTCTCCACACGAGAGATCTCCAAGCACTGAGGCTCCCTAGCCTAGCTCTTGACATGCTGAGTACATTTTTCTTTAAAAAAAAAAAAAAAAAAGGAGGAAATCTTCAAGACAAGTCTGGTTTGCCATGCAAAATCCAGTTATGAATGTCAAAACCTGAGCATAATTCTTTCTCTTGCATTTCCACTGTAAACAAGCGTGACCTCTCCCACTCCCCGAAGATGACCAATGCCTCTGGCCAGCTGGGGAGAGGCTCATTTTCAGAAAGGCCAAAGAAAAAAGGCATATATTTGTTCAAACAATGTGTCTTCTTCCATGCTAATGGTGTAAGAGGCTGTTGGGCTGACCCCCCATCTATGGGGCCCTCCTTGCTTCGCCAGCGGTGCATGGGTAGTGATGGACACTGAGCTACATTTTCTCAAGAGGTACTCAGAGCTATACTGATCTGCATCTGAGAAGCCTCCACTGTCCATCCTGTTGCCAATGCCATGAGCCACACTTGGCTTTAATGAGCAAATCTATGTGCGATTGTGCAAAAGCCAAGTTAAGTGGCTCAGAGGTTCCTTCCACCAGGACTAAGCCAGGTTGTTCTTGTAATCACTTTTTGCCACCTCCCCTTCCCTCTAGACTGTTTTAGGAGGGTAGAGAATATGTCTGCTTAACTCATCCTCACCCTCAGTCCTAGCAGAGCATCCAAGGCATTTGGTAGGCGTTCAATGAAGTTGTGTAGAATAAATGAATGTGGGCCAGACGCAGTGGCTCAAGCCTGTAATCCCAGCACTTTGGGAAGCTGAGGCGGGCAGATCACCTGAGGTCAGGAGCTCGAGACCTGGCTGGCCAACATGGCAAAACCCCATGTCTACTAAAAATACAAAAATTATTGGCAGGTGCCTGTAATCCCAGCTACTCGGGGGGCTGAGGCAGGAGAATCGCTTGAACCCAGGAGATGGGGGTTGCAATGAGCAGAGATCATGACACTGCACTCCAGCCTGGGCGACAAGAGCGAGACTCCATCTCAAAAAATAAATAAATAAATAAAAAAGAATAATGTGAATGTGAACTTATGTGGGAGAAGTGGCAAATCTCCTATATTCCTTTAAAGTATTTCTCTAATGCTGGGGTGTCCAATCTTTTGGCTTCCCTGGACCACATTGGAAGAATTGTCTTGGCTCACACATAAAAAATACACTAACACTACCAATAGCTGATGAGCTTTAAAAAAATTCCCCAAAAATCTCATAATGTTTTAAGAAAGTTTACAAATTTGGGTTGGGCCTCATTCAAAGCCGTCCTAGGTCACGTGCAGCCCATGGGTCAAAGGTTGGACAAGCTTGCTCTAATGGGTTCCAGGGAATATTATTAAGTTCGGTGTCTCAACCATGTCACAACAATAAGGCCAAAACACTTCTTGTGTTTTCTTTTACAAATTTGCAAACAGGCAGAAACCTGAGAGACAGATTAGGTGATTTCTGGTGTGCCAATCTTTTCATAAAACGTTATCACACTTTTGTTTGTTGTTTCAGAAGAGTATTTTAAGATCCCATCATTTAAAGTAAGTGTATAGCTCACTGTGCACCACAGCAAAGCATTGCATATCCTTTGTGTCTTTAAATACTACCATTACTGCTAGTAAAAGTGAGATACACACCCATCAATATATTTTATGCCCTTCTGTTCAAGAATACATACAACGATAACATCATTCCCTATTTAACTCTGAATACTGGTCTGAGGGGAAAGTAAACAAGGCTATATATTTTTTGGAGTAATAGGTCTCTAAATTCTACAAAATTTCAAGGGATAAAATCAGTCAGATATATCTTAAATGCTAACTGCCATTTCCCTGTGCTCTTAACAGGATTGAAAACCTCAGCGGTAGGATATTCAGTGTCTATAAGATATATGTGTTCTAATCCTTGCTTTATGGCCTACAATAACCAAAACTTTATTTTAAATGAACAATTTTCCCAAAGTACCATTTTCAACACTATTTTCCTATTGCCTACGCACAGTGCAGACTTTGTAACCTGGCGCTGAAGACACATATAAGCTGAATCTTTGTTACTTCCCCAATCTTATTGACTCATTTGTATTAAGTTCCAGAATACATGTTAGGACTTTGGCAAGACAGACAAGACCTGTACAAGAAGGAAAAAAAAAAATTCCAGATCATGGTAGGTGCTGTGAAGGAAATATACAGGGTAAAAACAGACAGACAGCCCTTTGGATGCGAGAGGGTGGCTTTGGATAGAGATGTCAGGAAGGCCCCGGGGAGGAGCTATGGGATCTGAGGGTGAGCTGTGGGAAGGGCCAAGGTAGTCCCAAGGCCTTGGAAAGGGGAGTACTTGGCCTATTCAGAGTGAGTGAGTGGAGGGGGAGGGGTGGCCTGAGAAGAGGTATGTGTGGTTGGATCACAGAGGCCTCCAGAATCACAGTGAGAAATGTCAGTTTTGTGTTAGAGAAATTTGAAGTTAAACATTGCATAGTGGCTTTATTCATCATTGCCAAAAGACAGGGAAAAGCTCAAATGTTCCTCACCTGGTGGACGGGTAGGCAAACTCTGCACACCCATTTAAAGGCATACTACTCAGTAATGAAAAGGAACAATGGGTACACGCAACAACATGGGTGAATTTCAGACGCGTTATGCCAAGGGACAAAAGCCAGACTTTGGGGGAGTCATCCATTGCTGCCAACAAAACTATTCCTAAACTTGGCAGGAGCAGTGAAGTACAATCCTACTGTGTATCTGGAAGGAAAACTTGAAAGACAGCACAACAGCCTGTTGTAGAAGTTGTAACTGCCTACTCGGGAGGCTGAGGCAGGAGAATCGCTTGAACCCGGGAGGTGGAGGTTGTAGTGAGCTGAGATCGCACCACTGCACTCCAGCCTGGGCAACAGAGGGAGTTTCCGTCTCAAAAAAAAAAAAAAAAAAATTTACAACTGTGTCTCTGTCTTACTTCTAGGGAAAGTCCTGTGGTTCTTCACAAATGCACCTCATCCTTGGCACTTTGTGAGGTGGAAGAGACAGAGCATGCCACTCACAGTACTTGTTATTCACATTACTCATTATTCACATTTCTGGAAGCAAAATGTACTATTGTATTGAGTCAGCTGCTGAAAGAGAAGTGTCCTGTGACATAGCACAAGCTGTGACAGGCAGTGAGATAGCAGGGACTGGGGTGATCCATGCGGGGTTGCACAGCCAGAGTCCTGTGCTGGTTCTCCCACTGACACCTGTGTTTCCCCAGACTCTCAACACTTCATTCATTCATTCATTCATTCATTCATTCATTCATTTTTGAGACAGAAACTCACTCTATTACCCAGGCTGGAGTGCAGTGGCACCATCTTGGCTCACTGCAACTTCTGCCTCCCGGGTTCGAGTGATTCTTGTGCCTCAGCCTCCCAAGTAGCTGAGATTACAGGTGTGCACCACCACACCTGGCTAATTTTTCTTTTTTTTTTTTTTTTTTTAGTAGAGACTGGGTTTCACCATGTTGGTCAGGCTGGTCTTAACTCCTGACCTCAGATGATCCACCCACCTTGGCCTCCCAAAGTGCTGGGATTCCAGGCATGAGCCTTCGCACCTGGCCGCAGACCCTCAACACTTCAGAGCCTCAGTTTCCCTCACCTGCTAAAGTTGCGCCTAGGATCTCTAAGGTCCCTTCCATCTATAAATTGTTAGTCATCATTCTGTGATGACATACTACTTCTTGTGTGACAAGTTGGGAGCTCCCTCAATCCCTGAAGCACATGCCCACGCCTCTCCCAGGGTCATTTGGATACCACCTATGTGATTTATGCCACATCTGCTGGCCACCTGCTCTACTGGTCGTTTATCCTGTTCCTTCAAACGAACTCACTTTTTAAAACAAATTTAAATGGGTTTATTTTAAAAGTAAACTTTTGACAGGGCACAGTAGCTCATGCCTATAATCCCAGCACTTTCGGAGGCCAAGGTGGGTGGATCACTTGAGCCCAGGAGTTTGAGACCAGCCTGGGAACATAGTAAGACCATGTCTCTACAAAAAATAAACACACACACACACACACACACACACACACACGCCAGGGATGGTGGCGCATGCCTGTAGTCCCAGCTACTTGAGGGGGCAGAGATGAGAGGATTGCTTGAGCCTGGAAGGTTGAGGCTGCAGTGAGCTGTGACTGCACCACTGTGCTCCAGCCTGGGTGACAGAGAAGGACTGTGTCTCAAAAATAAATAAACAATAGTAAGTTTTTTTTTTTTTTTGAGACAGAGTCTCACTCTGTCACCCAGGCTGGAGTTCAGTGGTGTGACATCAGCTCGCCGAAACCTTGGCCTCCTGAGTTCAAGGGATTATCCTACCCCAGCCTCCCGAGTAGCTGGGATTACAGGCATGCACCACCATGCCTGGCTAGCTTTTTTATTTTTAATAGAGACGGGGTTTCACCATATTGGTCAGGATGGTCTCAAAGTCCTGGCCTCAAGTGATCCACCTGCCTCAGCCTCCCAAAGTGTTAGGATTACAGGCATGAGCCACCACGCCTGGCCTAGAAGTAAACTTTATATCACAGTGATAAATGGGGAAAAAATATCAGTGAGACCAGCTAATTAGAAGCCAACTAAAAAATAAATACCATGAAAGCAGAGCAATGTTGCCAATTTCTGGTTTGATACTATTACAGCTGGAGACTTGAGTCTGTCTGCTTGCTTTTTTTTTTTTTTAAAAGGAGGTGTGATTGAAGAGAGGTGTTAAAGACTTATTAGCTCCAAACTAAGACTTTCTGCTTGCTTTCTCTGAAGGCTTAAAAGATAATTGAAAAGGGAATAACTTTGTCCTTTGGTGACTCAGTGTTGTTAATGCCGTGTCTACCTAATACAATTTCCCATTACATACAGGTACACCTCCCACACTTTGAGAAACATCAAATTTGGCGTGCATTGTAATAATTTATATAGGAGCTGGTTCCTTTGCTTCCCCTGACTGAACTCCCAGAGGCCAGGTGCATTCTGGTTTCTCTATCTCTGCAGCCCTACCAGACGTCCCTTCTGACCTCCTGGCAGAGGGCTTGGCGGCATCTAGAGCAGGTCAAGCCTTATGGAGGTGTGATAAGAGTGAGTCAGGGAACGAAGCAGGGGCAGCCACCATCACCAGCAAGAGGAGATCTCAGTCCTGGTTGCTGTTGCACAAAATTAATGAGCTTTGTCTGACGTTCTAAAGAGTGGGGAAAGGGGCACAGCAAAGGAGGAGTCAGGCCTAAGTTCAAGTGCTGTTTTGCGATGATTTTCAGAGACACTCAAGTCTCTCAGTGGGTATAAGTCTACAAAACAGTAATTACAGAACGAATGCTTAAAATAAGTAAACGTTTTAGAGAATTTTTTAAATGAAAAAACACGAGGTTTAGCGTCTCTCATACTTTTTTCATGAAAAATTAGAGCCGAGCCACCCCTGCAATGGGACAAATGGAGGCCCTACCTGGACAGCTCATAGCAGACACCCTGGGGGTGCAGCTGGCCTCCATAGTTTAAAACCTCCCCTGGTGATTCTGACAGGCAGCCAAGGCTGAGAACACTGGATCAGAAAATTCACAAATAAAGAGAAAAACTTGGCCCAGATGAATGTGTTTGCTCATTACCACATCGGCCCCCTCTGTACCAGATAACTCCTTGTGCCCCAAAACACACATCTCATCTCCATTTTGTGGCCTTTGAAAATAAGTCAGCTATACTCTCAACGTCATTCGCCATTAGGGAAATGCTAATTAAAACCACAATGAGGTGCCACTTCACACCCAGTAGAATGATTATTATCAAAAAATGAAAAATAACAAGTGTTGGCAAAGATGTGAAGAAATTGGAACCCTCGGGCATTGCTGATGGGAACGTAAATGGTGTAGCTGTGATGGAAAATGTGGTGGTTCCTCAAAAAGCTAAATGTAGAATTATCATATGACCCTGCAATTTCACACCTACGTATATCCAGAAGAATTGAAAACAGGGACCCAGGCAAGTACCTGTACACACACAGTAGCCAAGTGGTAGGAACAATTCAAGTGTCCATCCACAAATGAGTGGATAAACAAAGTGGTGTACACATATACAATTATTCAGCCACAAAAAGGAATTGAGCATTATTCAGCCATAAAAAGAAACGCAATTCTGAGAATCCTACAAATGAGCAAATTTTGAAAACATTATGCTAAGTGAAATAAGCCAGACCCAAAAGGAAAAATATTGTACAATACCCCTTACAGGAGATATGTAGAATAAGCAAATTCATAGAGAAGTAGAATAGGTTAGCAGGGGCTGGGAGAGGTTGGTGTCTAATGGGTCCAGAGTTTCAGTTTGGAATGATGAAAAAGTTCTGGAAATAGGTAGTGGTAATAGTTACATGAAATCGTAAATGTGCTTGTAGGAGTCCATTCTACATTGCTATAAAGAAAAAGCTCTCCCTCTCCCTCCTCTCCCTCCTCTCCCTCCTCTCCCTCCTCTCCCTCCTCTCCCTCTCCCTCTCTTTCCACGGTCTCCCTCTCCCTCTCTTTCCATGGTCTCCCTCTGATGCCGAGCAGAAGCTGCACTGTACTGCTGCCATCTCGGCTCACTGCAACCTCCCTGCCTGATTCTCCTGCCTCAGCCTGCCGAGTGCCTGTGATTGCAGGCGCGTGCCGCCACACCTGACTGGTTTTCGTATTTTTTTGGTGGAGACGGGGTTTCGCTGTGTTGGCCGAGCTGGTCTCCAGCTCCTAACCGCGAGTGATCTGCCAGCCTCGGCCTCCCGAGGTGCCGGGATTGCAGACGGAGTCTGGTTTACTCAGTGCTCAATGGTGCCCAGGCTGGAGTGCAGAGGCGTGATCTCGGCTCGCTACAACCTCCACCTCCCAGCCGCCTGCCTTGGCCTCCCAAAGTGCCGAGATTGCAGCCTCTGCCCGGCCGCCACCCCGTCTGGGAAGTGAGGAGCGTCTCTGCCTGGCCGCCCATCGTCTGGGACGTGAGGAGCCCCTCTGCCTGGCTGCCCAGTCTGGAAAGTGAGGAGCATCTCTGCCTGGCCGCCATCCCATCTAGGAAGTGAGGAGCGCCTCTTCCCGGCCGCCATCCCATCTAGGAAGTGAGGAACGTCTCTGCCCGGCTGCCCATCGTCTGAGATGTGGGGAGCGCCTCTGCCCCACCGCCCCGTCTGGGATGTGAGGAGCGCCTCTACCCGGCCGCGACCCCGTCTGGGAGGTGAGGAGCGTCTCTGCCCGGCCGCCCCGTCTGAGAAGTGAGGAGACCCTCCGCCTGGCAACCGCCCCGTCTGAGAAGTGAGGAGCCCCTCTGCCCAGCAGCCGCCCCGTCTGAGAAGTGAGGAGCCCCTCTGCCCGGCAGCCGCCCCGTCTGAGAAGTGAGGAGCCTCTCCGCCCGGCAGCCACCCCGTCTGGGAAGTGAGGAGCATCTCTGCCCAGCAGCCACCCCGTCCGGGAGGGAGGTGGGGGGGTCAGCCCCCCGCCCGGCCAGCCGCCCCGTCCGGGAGGGAGGTGAGGGGGTCAGCCCCCCGCCCGGCCAGCCACCCCGTCCGGGAGGGAGGTGGGGGGGTCAGCCCCCCGCCCAGCCAGCCGCCCCGTCCGGGAGGGAGGTGGGGGGGTCAGCCCCCCTCCCGGCCAGCCGCCCCTACTGGGAAGTGAGGAGCCCCTCTGCCCGGCCACCACCCCGTCTGGGAGGTGTACCCAACAGCTCATTCAGAGCGGGCCATGATGACAATGGCAGTTTTGTGGAATAGAAAGGGAGGAAAGGTGGGGAAAAGATTGAGAAATCGGATGGTTGCCGTGTCTGTGTAGAAAGAGGTGGACATGGGAGACTTTTCGTTTTGTTCTGTAGTAGGAAAAATTCTTATCCTGTTGATCTGTGACCTTGCCCCCAACCCTGTGCTCTCTGAAACATGTGCTCTGTCCACTCAGGGTTAAATGGATTAAGGGTGGTGCAAGATGTGCTTTGTTAAACAGATGCTTGAAGGCAGCATGCTCGTTAAGAGTCATCACCACTCCCTAATCTCGAGTACCCAGGGACACAAACACTGCGGAAGGCCGCAGGGTCCTCTGCCTAGGAAAACCAGAGACCTTTGTTCACTTGTTTATCTGCTGACCTTCCCTCCACTATTGTCCTATGACCCTGCCAAATCCCCCTCTGCGAGAAACACCCAAGAATGATCAATTAAAAAAATAAATAAATAAAATAAATAAATAAATAAATAAATAAATAAATAAAAAGAAAAAGCTCTGGAAATGGGTAGTGGTGATACTTACATGAAATTGTAAATGTGCTTGTATGGGTCCCTTCTTGCTTTGCTATAAAGAAACCTGAGACTGGGTAATTTATAAAGGAAAGAGGTTTAATTGACTCACAGTTCCACAGGCTGTACAGGAAGCATGGCTGGGGAGGCCTCAGGAAACTTACAATCCTGGCAGAAGGCGAAGGGAAGCAGGCACGTCCTACACAGCCAGGCAAGGAGAAAGAGAATGAAGGTGGAGGTACTACACACTTTTAAACAACTAGATTGTGTAAGAACTCACTCACTATCACAAGAACAGCAAGGGGGAGATCAGCCCCCAAGATCCGATAACTTCCCACCAGGCCCCTCCTCCAACATTGGGGATTACAATTTGACATGAGATTTGGGCGGGGACACAGATCAAACCATATCACTGCTTAATGCCACATAATTGTACACTTAAAAAGATCGAAATGATAAGTCTTATGTTATATACATTTTAATCACAATCTTTAAAAAAACAAACAAACTAATAAACTGGAAAAAAGAAAAGCCAGCTACAATGGGCCTCTCTAGGCATAGGGAGATCTTTCTAAACTCTACAGGGAACAGACCCATAAAGTCAGCGGAGAGACCCATAGAGTCAGTACGCATCTCCTGGGATCAAACCCCATGGATGCAGGCTTCTCTCTCGATCTCTGTGCCTCCGTTCTCTTAATAAAGTGAGGATACCAACATTGCTCACCTATTTGGTATGTAACAAGACTGAGTGAAATATGTATTCATATTGCATGAACAGGCATACGTATGAACAGGCATATGTAAAGCATTCAGCACAGTGGCCGGTATACAGTAAGTGCTCAATGATATTAATAGCTACTGATACCACTATCATCATCACCCATGCATACAGGGAAGTGTCTACCTTGACCCTGATCTCCATTCCAAAGGCGGGATGTATTTTGAGGGTGATGAAAATATTCTGGAATTAGTGGTGATGGTGGCACGACCTTCTGAATATACTAAAACCCACTGAATTGTAGTATGCTTTAAAATGGTGGATTTTGTAGTACATAAGTTATATCTGTTTTTCCAAAGGAAGATTATACAGTCACATAAAGTTTTCTGTGATGTAGACAGAATTGTGTGTAGGCGGTACATATTTGCTAAGCCTCAAAGTCATGGACACCACACACAAGGGCGATTTGCCAGCATAGCAGAGAAAGGCTTGCGTGCTGCTGATAGTTTGTAAGAGCTCCCCTGGGGGTGTCGGTAAGCAGCCCGGCTCAGACCCTGGGAGGCCCAGTCACCTCTGTTCTCTCAGAAAAACAAGAAGCCGCAGCATGGACCCATCATCTTGCAACACGTGTGATAACCTCCTCTGAACCTCCAGGCCTGGCGTGAAGGATGTCACGCCTGTTTAGCCACCCGTGGGGGTCGATACCTGCCACACATGCAATTGGCTGGGAAGGTGGCCAGCCTGAGTCTGAGGTCTCCCCTTGACCAGGCAGCAACATTAGCATCCACAGCGGTGTCAACACCTGCCTCCCAGCAGGTACCATGCATGATAGGTGGCTTGTCTTCATGGACAAACTCTGAAGACCGGGGACCACTCACCTCCTGACCTTGCCTGTTTCCACCACAGCCTCGGGGCCAGCCATACCTGGCTCTTTAGTTACCTACTGAAAGGGAGGAGTGGAATCGGACCTTCCGGTGGCAAAATCCAACAAAAACCCCTGGCGTGTGGGGTATCCCGCTGAAATGGAATCAGGCTCACCAACATCCCAAATCCATAATCTCCCTGCCCCTTCCACCTTCACACACACCGCCTCCAGCTTTTGCCCTGCCTTGTCCCTAGAATCCCTTCTTACCTTGGTTCGTAAGATAAACTTGCAGGGCAAGAGGGATGGAGGAAGATCAGCCACGAACCAGCAATCCCAGCCTCACTTGTAAGCAGGGATAACACCGGCCTTGAAAGACAGCTCGAGCAGAAGGTGGGACGATGCCGATCACCTTGGAGAGGTCTCGGCCATCTTGAAGGAAATGCTCAGAAGGGGCACCTGCTTCACGGTGTTAACAAGAATGGGCAGCACCTGCTTCGGCGCCACGGGGTCAGCATCCGCGCGGGCCGCGCCCCGCACCTGGCAGCTGCTGACACAGCACCGGGACGCATTTCCTGCCTGGGTCACTCAGAGGCGCTCAAGCCTAGGATCCAAGCTGGAGGGCTGGGTGCGGAGAGTATTTGGCAGGTGTTGTGGGAAGGCGGGAGGTGTGAGCAGGGGACGGATTCAAAGTTTTCTTGTAACCCGGAGACTGGAATTTTGTGAATAAGTTGGAACTATTTCCTTCTGGGACAGGAGAGACAATTCCTGCTCATACTGTTTGTGTGATAAGACAGAAATCTAGCAACACCCAACCCGAATCCATCAAGAGAAGAGTTGGAAAATGTGTGGGCTCTCGGGACAGAGGAAGACAGAACAACAACCAACATTTCAGTCTGGAGGATAATCTCCAAGGCTCAAATATAGGTATTCAGGGAAACATTGCCCCACACACGAAAACTTCAATGCTACTATGATTATTTAGGAAAGATATCATGCTTAAATATTCACAGTGTATTGTCTGCCAATCATACCTCAATAAAGCACATGAAAATTTAAAAGATATTAGCCGGGCGTATTGGCTCACGCCTGTAATCCCAGCACTTTGGGAGGCCGAGGCGGGTGGATCACGAGGTCAGGAGTTTGAGACCAGCTTAGCCAACATGGTGAAACTCCATCTCTACTAAAAATACAAAAAATTAGCTGGGTGTGGTGGCAGGTGCCTGTAATCCCAGCTACTCGGGAGGTCGAGGCAGGAGAATCGCTTGAACCCAGGACGTGGAGGTTGCAGTGAGCTGAGATCACGCCACTGCACTCCAGCCTGGGCAACAGAGTGAGACTCTGTCTCAAAAAAAAAAAAAAAAAAAAAGTTAGATATTATTAGCGACCTGCCCCTTGAAGTTTAGGTATCAGGTCTCATTGACTTCTTGAACAGGGAGGAAGGGCAGGTGTGACCCACACTGTGGGGCGGAGGCTTCTGGTGTTCAGGTGATTTGTTGGAGGTCGGACAGGCAGAGTGGTGGAACTGGGCCTCTGCTAAGTTTCCACGAACATTTATGAGCTTGTTGTGGGCTGCTTGGTGGGAAAAGTGTCAGGGAAATATTACAGGGAGTGTTAAGAGAGAGTTCCTATTCAGGAGTTGCCCCTGACTCGCTGTGTAACTGAGCAGCTGATGTCTCTCTGGGCCTCAGTTTCTTTATCTGTAAAAGGGCTGCGAAAGGTCTCTGAGACCCCTTTTTGCTCTGGGAAGCCAAAGGTGATCTGTGAATAGTTTTTCTAACTTAAAAGCAACGTGTCAGGTGCAGTGGTTCATGCCTGTAATCCCAGTGCTTTGGGAGGCCAAGGTGGGCAGATCACTTGAGGTCAGGAGTTCGAGACCAGCCTGTCCAACATGGTAAAACCCTGTCTCTACGAAAAATACAAAAAAATTAGCCAGGCATGGTGGCACATGCCTGTAATCCCAGCTACTTGGGAGGCTGAGGCAGGAGAATTGCTTGAACCCGGGAGGTGAAGGTTGCAGTGGGCCGAGATCGCACCACTGCATTCCAGCCTGGGCAACAGAACGAGACTCTGCCTCAAAAAAAAAAAAAAAAAAAAAAAGCAATGTAACCTCTCCATCCCACCCAAATATTGAAAAGAAGGACCCATCTCCTTTCCCAAATTAAGCAGCAGTTGTCTTTCTAATTATAACTTTGATTCTGCTCTGAAATCGGCAGAGCAGCTTCAAACTTTAGGATCTCTCACTGAGGATCCTAAAGTTATGAGTTATCTAACTCCAATGTCTTAGTCATTAAAGTGCCAGCGAATTATGTGTATGTGAATCAAAGCATACTTTTGGGTTTAAGACTAAAAGGTTCGAATATCTGGGGTGTGTGTGTAAGAAAAACGACGAATATCAGCCATTAGAAAAATCAGCTCACTTTGAGACCTCCATGCCATTATTGCCTCCTTTAATATTGCTGACAGTCTCTTGCAAATGTATCACAAGTTGGCATTTATTAGTGCGAGGCACAAGTAAGGGGCATGTTATTTGATTTGAATAACAGCTTGGAGCTACAGTTTGAGTCCAGAAATATATTAGTCAGAAACAATCTCATTTAATAACACAGAAACTAATAAAAGAAAAGTATTCCAACTGATTCAGAATTGAATTTATGAATATTGCTTTAGCAGGATTAATGATCAAAACCCCAACCTGTTTGTCACGTTATAACTGACTTTTCCATTTAAATGCAAAACCAGAAGTCAATGAGTCCAAAAGATTGTATATTGCTTTGAAGAAAACCAGTTCATTTTACATGTAAGCTTCCAAATTGGCAATAAACTTTAATTACAGGGTCAGATAATCAAATTATAATCAAATAGCCTCACATAAAAATCTATGTTTGAAATTAACAAGACACAAGCCTGCCACTTGGTATCATTGCACCTCTGTAACTTACTAACAGACATTTCATTTTCATTTAAAAGTCACCTTAAGGACTTTCTCCTCAATTTCCACCGTGTAGCTTAATTTTATTTAGAAAACATTTCATTCTTAGACCATGCAGTCCTTCAGATTTTCATATTCAGCTCTACATTCCCCCGCCCCTTCTCACCTTGGGGAGGTCTGTTTTACAATTGATGATGGGATTTCCAAATTGGGATGATTGTAACCCTTTCCAACTGAGAGGTGTCTATACTGGGAAGAACCCTTGATCTGGTGTCAGGTATCATTGGACAGAGGCAGCATCCACACCATGGGACTGAGTGGCCTGGAAAATTTTGCCAGAGGAAAAAAATGTGTATAGCAAGCTTGTCCAACCTGTGGCACAGGATGGCTTTGAATGCAGCCCAAAAGAAATTTGTAAACTTTCTTAAAACATTATGAGACTTTTTTTGCAATTTTTTTTCTTTCTTTCTTTTCTTTTTTTAGCTTATCAACTATTGTTAGTGTTAGTGTATTTTATGTGTGGCCCAAGACAATTCTTCTTCCAATGTGGCCCAGGGAAGCCAAAGATTGGACACCCCTGGTGTATAGCTTAGAAATACTTAAGTTATTTTGAAATCAGCAAATGCATTGGCAAATGAATGGCATACCTGCTTCACTGTCTCATGAGATCCGAACAAGCAGAATGCGAAGTAATGCTTCAAAACCTCTTTTTATCTTTAAAAGTGGTTTCTTTGTCTTCTTCAGTAACAGCAGCGTTTTTTGTCGGCATGATGAAGAGCCGGCTGCCGAGCTTCCTCTTCCTGGCAAGCAGGCGAGTGGTGGCCACATGAAAAGAATGAGGAGCTGAGCAGCCTGCGGAGGGGAATCTAAGATGTGCACACTTCTACCATGGCACACTTTCTTCCTCTAAGGATTATACTTTTCTCCTAGCTCTCCCATAGAATAAAATAAATGGAGTGCAAAGCATCCGACAGGGTCACCAGATAAAAATATATTTTTTGTATATCCCAAATATTGCATGGGATATACTAAAAATAAACATCATTCCTTGTTTATCTGAAATACAAATTTAAGTGGACATCCTATATTTTTATTAGCTAAACTGGCAATCCTGGCCTGCAATAAGAATGGCAATAAATGCTTCTTTAAGTGTTCAGAGCTTGACATCTTCTGAAGCATTGAAGGATTTCATGGTGATTAACTTAACATTTCCCAAACTTGCCAATGATCACCCAATCATAAGAATCAGCTGGGAGCCTTATAAAACTATAGATGCCCAGCCGGCATGCTGGCTTACACCTGTAATCCCAGTACTTTGGGAGGCCGAGGCGGGTGAATCGCCTGAGGTCAGGAGTTCGAGACCAGCCTGGCCAACATGATGAAACCCCATCTCTACTAAAAAATACAAAAAATTAGCTGGGCGTCGTGGCGGGTGCCTGTAATCCCAGCTACTCGGGAGGCTGAGGCAGGAGAATCACTTGAACCTGGGAGGCAGAGGTTGCAGCAAGCCGAGATTGTGCCACTGCATTCCAGGCTGGCCAACAAGAGCGAAACTCCATCTCAAAATAAATAAATAAAACTACAGATGCCCAGGCCCATCCTACAATTACTTATTCAGTAAGACCAGGGTTTAGGCTGGAAGTCTGTATTTGGACAAGTTTCCCAGGTGCTTCTTGGCATCAGAAAAGTCTGGAAAACACTGCAAATATTGCAAATATCTCTTGTCTTGTCACTGCATCCCTGAGAAGCAAGTGGTGATGGGGTTTGAGAGTTGGGGCAAAATTATTAACTTTCACTTCCAGCTGGGGAAATAATGGCTTAGAAAAGTGCTCAGCTGTATTTGTAACTTGGACCGACTGAAATGCCAGCCTCAAAATATTTTATTTCATTGCCACATAAAGTAAAAGATCATATGGTTAAGAGATGGACAGACAGGAGGCATCTGACCCTGTAAGTTACTTCTATCAGCATAATTATGATCTTTGCTGTGTTGTCTGGTGTGCTCAAGGGTCCCACTGTGAGCTATTAAAGAATGAGGTATTGATTACCTCTGCCTTGGGTTTTTTATCTGCAGTAAGGAGATCCTCCCTGCCTCAAGCTTTCTCCATGTTTTTAACCCTGGAACAAAAAAAATAGAGTGCGGTGGACCAAAAACCCATGAGAAGTTCCATCCATCAGTGCATGGAGGGTGGAGGGAAGGTGCTATGCAGGTGAGCAACTCTGTCCCCTGGCGGCCACTTTAGCCCCTGTCCCATTGAACATCCATGGGCCCCAGACACACAGGGAAGGCGGGGACAAGTAGGAAAAACAGAACTCCCAAGACAGTCATTTGCACTCTCAGCATGACACACGTGCATTAAAGGGAAACTGCAAGGATGTCAGGGTGATGAGAACATTCAATACAAACAGAGAGGCCCCAGGGTTATGTCCACCCTCCCCCACTCTGCGCAGTTACTGCCAGGGCAGGAAAACTGGGTTTCAAGTCAACAATTTGTCTCCTTCTCCTGAGAGGTGTTTGCCTGCAGAAAGATGAATCAGAGAAAAGATTGAGGTCTGATTTCACCCTCCATGTTCTGCCTTACCATGGCCAAGCACGCAAGGGAACACATGGTGGGAAATTGTTTCTTCCCAAGAGACTCCAGCCTCTAGTAGGAGCCCTGCTGCTGGTTCCCCTTATGCAGTTGAGTGTCTTCTTGCTCTCTAACAACTAAGGCAGTCACATTTTACTTCTGTAGTTAAGTCACCCTCTTTTAAAATGATCACTGAGCCAGTAGGCAGAAAGGCAGCTTACACCCACCTCTTACCGTGACCATGACCTTGGGCAGCCCTTGTCTCTGCCTCAACTTCCAATAACGCTAGTTACATTAGGTGCTAACTTTATGGGATTCTCTGCCGACATTCTTCCTTTGTGTGTGACTGATGGGACATTGTCTACTAGGCACACAGTAAAATCAAAGCTTCTCTTTCCAAAATTAACCCAAAACTGACTTTTGCTGTGCAATCATACTCTTGTAAAATCTGCTTTTCATATCCCTTGAGTTGTTGCCACAACTCTATATAAACATATGGAAAATGTTTCAGTTCCAAAGAAAAAAGCTCAAGTCTTCCCTAAGTCAGTGTATTGAGTCCTTAGACCACATCTCACATCTGAGAGGGGCCAGGGTTTTTTCTAACACCCACTGGATGTAGTTACCACAGCTCTGTGACCTCAGAGGAACCCAGCTTCACCTTATAAGACATGGAGGAGAGGAAAGGGCAAAGTATCTGTGGGCACAAACTGTGGACAGAATGTGGGAACAGGAAAAATAAGCCAGGGGTGATATTAACCATGACAAGTGGTGAGGTTTGGGTGATGAAGATACATTAAAATAATCCTGTCTTTCTTAATCTCCTGAGCCCTTGGTAATGCTCTATTGACTAAATACTTACCAGGTTAAAAACATGTCTTGCTTCCTGCTTTCCTGGAGGCACTCCAGTCTAAATCATCTACAAGGTAAAGAATTTATCAAAAACCATTCTGATAACTTTGACTACCTCCAGCTGGGATGCCCTGCAAAGCTTCCCGAACACCAAGGATCACCACTTACCATCACACTCTTTCTGGAACTGTGAATGCTCTGGGCTCCTGAAGTTAGATTTTGGTTTCAGATGCGATGTTAAATTCTAGGAGGTTGACCCTGGATGGCAACTTGATATATGTCTCAGAGGCCTTGAAGGTACATGCCCTCTTTGATCCAGAAGTTCCAGAGCTAAGAGTGTATCTTAAGAAATGTCATCAGTACAAACCTTATCATTGTTAAAAGTCAGTAATCATGTGTGGCATAAGTAAATTATGGTATGCTCATATGAAAGAATACTCTGTAGCCATTCAAAATCATATAGAGGAATATGCAGTGACATGAAAGAAAGTTCCTCTCCTATGGGTTAATGAAAATTATAGTACCATGTAAAGTTAACAGTGGTCATCTTTGGTTGATAGGATTATAACTGAGATTTTTAAATTCCTTTTTGTCTTGTTTTCCAAATTTTCTGCACAAAGCAAATATTATTTATTTATTTTCAGCGACAGGGTCTTGCTCTGTTGCCCAGGCTGGAGTGCAGTGGTGTGATCATAGCTCACTACAATCTTGAACTCCTGGGCTCAAGCAATCCTTCCGCCTCAGCCTCCCAAATAGCTGGGACTACAGGCATGTGCCATCACACCCAGCTATTTAAAAATATTTTTTGGTAGAGACAGGGTCTTACTATGTTGCCTGGGCTGATCTCAAACTCCTGGGCTAAAGGGATCCTCCCACCCAAACCTCCCAAAGTGTTGGGATTACAGGCATGAGCCACTGCACCCAGGCTGTTGGTGCAGTGGTGTGATCTTGGCTCACTGCAGCCTCAACCTCCCAGGCTCAAGCGATCCGCCCACCTCAGCCTCCCAAGTAGTTGGGACTACAGGTGTGCGCCACCACACATGGCTAATTTTTGTATTTTTGTAGAGATGGGGCTCTCCCGATGTTGCCCAGGAAGGTCTTGAACTACTGGGTGCAAGCAATCTGCCCACCTCGATCCCCGAAAATGCTGGGATTACCGCACCTGACTTCAGCTGGTAACTTTTTAAGTAGGAAAAAACTAATTCCACTTCTGAGTAGGAAAAAAATAATAGAACAGGATAAAAATCTTACTGGCCTTTATGGGACTGACTTCCAGCTTCCACTTTGTCATGAAAAGATTCTATGTTCCTTGTGTTTCTAACTTGTCCCAAACACTATATTCACAGGTTGTCTCGGTTCTTCCTCTCTCACTATTCCTGTGGAAATGTTCCAGACATAAAGGACAAGTAGCAAAAATACCCTCTGATGAGTAAATAATAGGATGCATTCAGATCTGACTTAATTATTGCACTTAACACAGAGCCAGACACGCAGTAGGTGCTAATTAGCTGTTGAATGAATGAAAGAAAATGCAATCTTAGTATTTTAAGGGCTTTTATTTTTTCCATTGTTAAAATAGGGAAAATGTGTTAAAAAAAAAAAAGACATTTAACTCAATTCATAACAAACAGTGGTTTAAAATAGAAATTCCAAACCAATTTTGGCTAAAAGGATGCTAGTATATTCTGAACAGCTGCTGTTGTAGACACAGTCTGAAATAAATAACTTCCAGTGTGGTTCCAAGTCTGTGTTGAATAAACAGCACAGATACAGGAACGAGCTTTATTAGCGTTAATTGCAATGAGTCTGCGCAGCTCAAAGGCCGGATTCTTGCTCACGGCGAAATCTAGCAGTGATGATCCTTCCTCCGGCTGTAGATGGAGCCATAACATTACTAAATACGATCCCAGCACGTGCGTTGGGGGTTTTGTGCTGTAAAAGCCAGATGTTTGGAACTTTTCTGGCTTTAGTTTCTGAGTGTGAACAACCAGAAAACTCAGACCTCTATTTTCTCTGACGCTGACTGGGCTTGGAGAAGCCAAGAGACTCGCTGGGGTGGCTTCAGCTTTCATTCTCCCAGCAATTATCACCTCCTCTCACCTTCTTCTCTGACAATTTCTCTGCTTGAGGGCATCCCGGGGCTGTCAGTCCTGCCTCAGCTGGTGACTTTGTTTAGAAAAATCAGACCTGAATCCAACTTTTCCTCCCATTCTCTTGCCTTCTTTTCACAAAAGCCACTCACAAGCAAGGCGCCTGGGGCTCTCCAGACTTCCTGGGCCAGAGAAGTTCAGGATGGGTTTTCACACCCACAAACGGGGGCCTCTGCGAGCTGGGCGGGCGCAAACTCCACTGTCTCCCCACATCTGTTCTTTCTCCCCCTTCCTGCTCCATCTCTCCTCTTTCTGCACCACCCCAACCTCCCTCACTTCTTTCTTCCCCGTCTCCTCCCTCTTCTCTTCCCCCCTCCTCCACACACACAGCCCTGTAGCCAGAGTCTTGAGACAAAGGCCGTTTCTACATGTGTCTCTGCATGACTCCCCACTGGCCTGCGGCATCTCATCGTGTCACTCCTTCCTCCAAAATATTCCACAGCTTCCTCCCTGCCCTCATTCTGGGGAAGTCCAACCTCCTTGGTTGAGGTTCTAGGGTATAGATCTCCCTTCTGCCTTCCCCAATCCCAGGCTGGGGAGATGAGGCCGACCCAAGCTACCCTGATGCTTCATGCCTCGGGTCCCATTCCTCCTCCACCAGCTGAGATTTTACTCATCTCCCGAGGCCAGGTTACATGCCCCTGCCTCCTTCAAGCAGCCCTCTTTGCTTGCCTCCGGTGGGAATTTCTTTCTCTCTCCTATGGAAGGACTTTGTGATGGCACTTGATGGCATTCTAGATTCGCCTTGGATTCTGATTACTTGGGTGCACATCTGGGTGATGAAATGACGATTTGAAGGTTTCCCCATATGTCCTTCTGCACTGCAGTCTTTCCCGTTCACTCAGCGCATTCTTGCGAGGCTCACTGTTACAAGAGAAGGGAGCAAGGAATTTATACCATGGACAAAGTCTTCTCTTCCCTGGCCTTGGAGCTGCCAAAGTGACTCCATATAGCTTTAGGTGACTGTGTGCCTTGAAAGAGGATGTCGGGCCTGGTGCAGTGGCTCACGCCTATAATTCCAGCACTTTGGGAGGCCGAGGCAGGCAGATCGCTTGAGGTCAGGAGTTCAAGACCAGCCTGGCCAACATGGTGAAACCCTGTCTCTACTAAAAATACAAAAATTAACTGGGCATGGTGCCGTACACCTGTAATCCCAGTTACTGGGGAGGCTGAGACTGGAGAATTGCTTGAACCCGGGAGGCAGAGGTTGTAGTGAGCTGAGATCACACCAGTGCGCTCTAGCCGAGGCAACAGAGTGAGACCCTATCTCAAAAAAAAAAAAAAAAAAAAAAAAGAAAGAAAAGAAAAGGAAGAGAAAAGAAAAGAAAGAGGATGTCTTCACATCCTTGGGCTGGCTAGGAGGAGGGCAGAGGGTGAGTTGAAGAGGATAGGAGTGCAGATGCTGCTGGGTCCTGGAGAAGGTGCCCTGTACATGCCCCACAGACCTAAACCTGGGGGCACTGGGTTGGGAAACCACTGATTCCCAGACAACTTTGTTGGATCTGAGTAGCAAGCTCTGGAGTCTTGCTTCCTGGGTAGGGCTTGGAGAGGTGAACAGAGTCTCGAGGCAACCCAGCTACCGGATGGGTCTGGGTAAAAAAGGCCTTAGCTTCACAGAGTTTCCATCTCCCATGCTGGCACAGAGGGACTCAGGGACACAGAGTCAGGCCTTGTAGTAGAGGCAGGAGGTCCCACCAGCCCCCATGGCCCTGGGGCTGTGATTTCTCCTTGCTGGCTGGCTTGACATCAGCTGCCAGCACCCAGGTCTGTCTGCCAGAGAGGTTTCTCTAGTTGCCAGGGCCGGCCCTGCCCAAGCATGTGGCAGGGCAAAGTGTTGAGAAATTGATGGAACAACGGCCCTAATCCAATGACCGGTGGGAGTTGGTGTATAAATACCCCAGCTCTCTCACTCCTCTTGTGGGATAACTCTGAGATGCACGCACGCTCTGCAGTGTTTTCCAGAGCTCCCCCAAGAGATTATGCTCAGCTGGCCACAGGTAACTTGCTGAATAACACTCTCTCTGCCGGCTCTTCCTTCCCTTCTCTGTCTCACACCCCTGCTCGTTTGGGGGATCACTTCCTTGTAAACTATCTCATGCTATGTATGGTTCAAACTGATACAAACTCAAAAGAGGTTCCTGGAGAGGAACCAAGAGTGCTGCCATCGGAACCCATGGGGACTGACGACAGGGTGGGAGCGGAACTCTCTCAGCTGATTTCGTCACAGACAGATAATGATTGGGACCAGCTATGCCCCAGTTCCCAGAGCTCGCATCTGGTAAGCCCTCAAAAAATCTTCAGAACAACCAGAGAGAAAGGGAATGAGGGCATGTGCTTTAAATTAAGTTGACTTGTGGAAAGAGGAAACTTGTGCTTTAAAAAATCAGAGTTTGTGGGTGCCTCCTCCATCCATTGCTCTCTTCATCTTGCCCTCTCTTTTAGCTGCTTGAGGGCAGGGAATGGGCCTGGCTCAGTCTGTGGCCTCCCATACACCAGTGTCTCCCATGGGAGTTGAGCCAAGTTCAGCCCACCTGGCAATGGGACAAGGCAGGCAGATGGTCTTAAGGAGCTGAGAGTCCCCCACCCGCCCCCGCCAGCTGACCACCAGCAAGGAGACGGGACCCCAGCCCTACACTGGCAAGGAGCTGAAATCTGCCAGCAACCTGAGTGAGCACGGAGGCGGCTTCTTCCCAGAGTCTCCAGTTAAGAACCCAGGCTGGCCAACACCTCGCTTTTGGCACTGGGGAACCCTAAGCCGAGAAGCCAGGCAAGCCCAAACAGCATTCCGACCTACAGGACTGCGAGATCATGAATGTGGGCTCTTTTAAGCCACCAAGTTTGGAGTAACTTGTTATGGCAGCAATAAGAAACTAATAAACAGGTGGTTAGGGCCAGTGAGGGCCACTATTTGTGGCAACTTTGATTAAAATATTGAAATGCAAGCTCTAGAAATGCGCTTTCTATTTCTGTCCATCCTAAAAAGCACGTAGGTCAGTTATGGAGAACTTCCTATCAGGACAGCTTACTGAGAGTAACGAATAAGGCAGGGCACAGTGGCTTGAGCCTGTAATACCAGAGCTTTGGGAGACTGAGGCAGGTGCATCCCTTGAGGCCAGGAGTTTAAGACCAGCTGGGGCAACATGGTAAGACCATCTCTACAAAAAGTAATAATTAAAAAATTTAGCAGGGCATGGTGGTGCCTGCCTGTCATCTTAGCTATTCAGGAGGCTGAGGCAAGAGGATCACTTGAGTGCTCCAAGATTGGAGGGCTGAAGGGTTAGAGTTTGAGGCTGCAGTGAGCTATGACGGTGCCACTGCACTCTAGCTTGGGCGACAGAGTGAGACTGTCTCTAAAGAAACAAACGTAAAGAAGAATGAAGAAAGTTGACTCCTTTTGGATCTTAAGGGGAGAGAGATGGCTACATATCTAAGATGGCTTTAGGTAGGTTTGGTGTGATCTGGAGGTGAGGTGGGGATGAGGTGATCACTGGGATGACTTTTGCATCGCAGAGTTTGATGAATACCACCACGACTGACTACCCAGTGGCTTTTGGCAGATGCGGGCCCTGGGATTTGCCAGGAAGTCTGGTCGTGTGCACACAGGCAGCCTTCCATGAGCATGTTTGACAGTGCCCTGTCCTGTTTGTTTCTCAGTCTGGGTGGTGTGATGGGGCCGAGGTGCAGCTTCAGGCTCACTAATGCTCTTTTGCTCCTCTTCATCCAAGCAAAGGGTACTTGGAACTCAGGTTTGGAATTTGCTTTTCCTCCTCAATAAAACTTTTCTGTTTCAACAGATTTCAAGCTAATGGTAGCTACAGCTGCCAACTGGAGCTGTTCATATGCATCCTGGGGGTTGTGGTAGGGACAGGATTTCACACTTTGATCTTTGCAATGAGGATAAATAGCATTTTCCAGTCCCCAAAATGGAGGAAGTGGGAGCTGGTTTCCTGTCCTAATCACAGAGCTCTGTGGAATCTACTTGTCTGGGATGGAAAACTCTTGTACTGAGGCTTGACTTTCATGTCTCTCACTGGTCAATATAGAAAGATGGTGAACTGGGAAAGTAACCAAATATTCTGCTTTCTGTTGTGGAGAATGTCAACCCTATACAAAGACACAGCATGGAAATAATAACTGCCATGCACCGGTTACTCAGCCCCAATGATGATCAGCTCATAGCCAGTCTCATTTCGTCTGTATCCCCACCTACTCACCTATCTTCTACATTCTTTTAAAGTGAATCCAAGACATCACATTATTTCATCCACAAATATTCAATAAAGCATATATCAATTTTATAGTTAGAAATAAAAAGAATTACCTGACTCATCCTGAAACTGCATACCCCACACTCTCCTGTAGAAGCACCAGAACAGCCTGGAAATAAAATGTAGCTCTTCATCTTTGGGGGATTTCGAAGAAACGTGTTCTCTGCCCATGTTTGTTAACAATGTTTAGGCCAGGTGCGGTGGCTCATGCCTGTAATCCCAGCACTTTGGGAGGCCGAGCTGGGCAGATCACTTGAGGCCAGGAGTTCAAGACAGCCTGGCTAACACGGTGAAACCCTGTCTCTACTAAAAATACAAAAAATTAGCTGGGTGTGGTGGCACATGCTTATAGTTCCAGCTACTCGGGAGGCTGAGGCAGGAGAATCGTTTGAACAGGGGAGGCGGAGGTATTGGTGAGCTGAGATTGCACCACTGCACTCCAGCCTGGGTGACAGAGCAAGACTCCATCTCAAAAAAAAAAAAAAACAAAAAAACAAAAAAAACAGGCTGGGCACAGTGGCTCATGCCTGTAATCACAGCATTTTGGGAGGCCAAGGCGGGTGGATCATGAGGTCAGGAGATTGAGACCATCCTGGCTAACACGGTGAAACCCCATCTCTACTAAAAATACAAAAAATTAGCAGGGCATGGTGGCAGGCGCCTGTAGTCCCAGCTACTTGGGAGGCTGAGGCAGGAGAATGGTGTGAACCCGGGAGGCGGAGCTTGCAGTGAGCCCAGATCAGGCCACTGCACTCCGGCCTGGGAGACAGCGAGACTCCGTCTCAAAAAACCAAAAAAAAAAAAGCAAAAAAACCAAAAAAAACCCCACAACAACAACAAAACAAAACAAAAAATTAGCGGGGTGCGGTGGCACATGCCTGTAGTCCCAGCTACTGGGGAGGCTGAGGCATGAGAATCTCTTGAACTCGGGAGGCAGAGGCTGCAGTGAGCCAAGATTGTGCTGCTGCACTCCAGCCTGGGTAACAGCACGAGACTCCATCTCAAAAAAAAAAAAAAAAAAGTTTAATCCAAAGGAAAGAATCTCTAACAGTGGAATTGCCAATCTCTATGGGATGGGCTGTATTTTGGAGCAGTGAATAGGGGAATATGGTCAGTTACTCCTCCGGGCAATTCCAGTCCTGGTAGGAAAATTGCAATTCATTTTCTTCCCCCAAACCTTCTTGTACCTCAAATGCAAAATCCCTTAGTAAGTACTGGGAAAATTATTTCGAATGATCTCTCAGGAGTTCACCAGCCTCTATCCCCTCGTTAAACAGTGGAAAGGTTTGGCATTCCCATGGGTACAGCATGCCATCCCCCTCATCAAATTGTGCTCAGGCAATGTCCACTGGACTCACGGCCCTATCTGTTGCCCACTGGGCTCTCTCTTCGACTTAATATCAGGCCTGAATTGTCCTCCTGCTTTGTCCATTTGGATTAGAAACCCCATGCTGTTCAACTGGGCTTACATTTTCCTTTCCCTTTTTGAAACAATAAAAATGTTTTGGAGAGATTCTGGAGTGCATTAGAGAATCATTTTCAATTTTCATGGGAGACATGTGGAAAGACTCACCTTCACCTACAGCTCATCCCCGGAGATGGTCTGGCTGACATCTGATCACTACCAAATGGAAAAGACCTTCCTGGCAGTCGGTGTTTAAGTACATCTCCCACCTTCATCCTGCATTGACCTCAGCACAGTTGGGGTTCACAGGAACGCGGGACTTTAGCTGAGGATCCAGGCCATGGAACCTTTCAGGCCTGGGGCGCCCCCTCCTCACTGAGGCTGGTGCTCACAAAAACTCTACAAAATGAGATGGGGCCTGAATTTGGGGGGTGGGGGAGGGCATGGCGATGGTGCAGGTGTTTCTTTTGGTGGACAGAGAAAGACCACCAGGATTTGTTGGATTTGGCTGTGGTACTCGTTTTTGTCCACTTGAGTTAATGGAAAAAAGCCATTAAATGCTGTCTACCAGGCGCACTATATTTTCCTTGCAAATACAAATGTAAATTACACTAGCACAGAGAGTTTTAATGGCTGAGTAAATGTTTGACCTTCAGTAAGATTCCAGAATTGAGGTGTTTGCATCATTAGAAAACATGCGCTTGCACATTGACAAGTGACAGAGGTAAAGACAGACGAGATCATTCACACGGGCGCGGAGTCACAGGGTGGGGAGCTGGAAAATTGGGTGTCTGCTCTTGAGGGGTTCATGAGCCTTTTGTATGGGGATTAGGATTAGCTGCAGAAGGGCCTGCAGTAGAGAGATTTTAAAGGAATTTTTCAAATGAAGGAAAGAATGGAAGCAGACCCTGCTCTCTGACCAGGGGGTGGGGGTGGTTTGAGAGTGTGCATACAGCAGGGATGTCTAATCTTTGGGCTTCCCTGGACCACATTGGAAGAAGAATTGTCCTGGGCCACACATAAAATACATGAGCACTAACAATAGCTGATGAGCTTAAAAATAATCACAAATAAATCTCATAATTTTTTTTTTTGAGACGGAGTCTCAGTCTGTTTCTAAGACTGGAGTGCAGAGGCATGATCTCAGCTCGCTGCAACCTCCTCCTCCTGGGTTCAAGCAATTCTCCTGCCTCAGCCTCCCGAGTAGCTGGGATTACAGGTGCACACCACCACGCCCAGCTAATTTTTGTATTTTTAGTAGAGATGGGGTTTTGCCATGTTGGCCAGGCTGGTCTCGAACTCCTGACCTCAAGTGATCCACTCACCTCAGCCTCCCAAAGTACTGAGATTACAGGGGCGAGCCACTGCACCCGGCCTGGCCAAATCACATCATGTTTTAAGAAAGTTTACGAATTTGTGTTGGGCTGCATTCAAAGCCATCCTGGGCTGCATGTGGTCCACGGGCCATGGGTTGGACAAACTTGGTGTAGAGAGAAGATAAAAAAGAGACTTAAGGTTGTCTTGGAGTGTGGGGACTCAGGAGAAGATCGTGGCAGGATGAGAGAGACAGAGGAATGACTGTTGACACATTTTGCTGTAGAAAAGCCTGGAATCTTTGGGTGTCTCCCCAGGGACTCCTGTTGAGAGGGGTCTTCTCCATTGCTCGCAGTTGCCATAGTGACACTGACTGACTGTGATGCCGATGGAAGCCTGAGGTGGTCCAGATATATTTGGGTTACAGAAGATGTGCTGGCACACCCTTCTTGAAGAAGGGAGGAGAAAAGCAAAATGCAGCCTTGGTAGATTGGAATGGTTTTCACTAAGAGATGAACTGTGGGGCCAGGCACGGTGGCTCATGCCTGTAAACCCAGCACTTTGGGAGACCGAGGTGGGCAGATCACTTGAGCCCAGGAGTTCCAGACCAGCCTAGGCAACATGGTGAAACCCTAGCTCTACAAAAAAAAAAAAAAAAAAAAAGTGGCCTGGAACGGTGGCTTGCGCCTGTAATCCCAGCACTTTGGGGTGCCAAGGTGGGTGGATCACGAGGTCAAGAGATTGAGACCATCCTGGCCAACATGGTGAAACCCCATTTCTACTAAAAATACAAAAAATTAGCCAGGCGTGGTGGCGGGTGCCTGTAGTCCCAGCTACTCGGGAGGCTGAGGCAGGAGAATCACTTGAACCCAGGAGGCAGAGCTTGCAGTGAGCCGAGATTGCACCACTGCACTCCGGTCTGGTGATGGAGTGAGACTCTGTCTCAAAAAAAAAAAAAAAAGCAAATATTAGCCGGGCATGGTGGTGCGCAGCTGTGGTCCCAGCTACTCAGGAGGCTGAGGTGGGAAGATCACTTGAACCTGGGAGGTGGAGGCTGCAGTGAACCGAGATTGTGCCACTGCACTCCAGCCTGGGTGACAGAGCCAGATACTGTCTCCAAAAGAGAAAAGAAGAAAGAAATGAACTGTGGCCTTTGGTTGGAAGAGTAGAGCCCTCTTTCCTTTCTGATGAGGAGTAGGTCACAGGCCCTCTCATCCAGCTCCTGGCACTTGGATCCAGGACCACACAGCACATTCCGAGCAGCCTTTGGAGACCTGGCCCTGTAGGAAAGCACTGGTCCTTTGGAGCTGGTTTGTCCAGCCTAGTGCTGAGCATTGTGTAGATCCAGCCAGCTATGCCAAGACACAGTATAGCACGCAGGCAGGGAAAGGGAGGTGGAGAGCAGAGCAATGAAAGACGAAGGCACATGTCAGCAAGTCCTCCATCCCTTCAGTCCCGGGGACTTGGCGGGCCAGCCAGAGTTTCCTGGCATTTGGTTCTGAAGTAGGTGAGGCCAGCTGGCTCTGGAGTTTTGTAGAGCTTATGTCAGACTGCGTATTGGGGTCTTGTTTGCTGCCTGGGAGGTGATGATGTTGGCTGGCTGAGTCCCAGCAGTTCCTTGGGGGGCCCATATGGAGGCTCTGGACCCTGATAGGTTCTTTCAAGCCAGTAAAGGAAGGGGTACAGGAAGGTAGGTCTGGGGATGGAAAGTAGAGAGGATCTAACAGCCAGAGCTGGGCTTCAGGGCTTAAGCTCGTCATTGGCTGTTGCAAGAAGGAATTCTTACTGACCTGGCGGCTAGACAGGGAACGTTGCTTCTTCCCTTCCTACTGTGAAGGATTCTGCATGCATCTTAGGCCCTTCCTTGCGGGGACGGGGCTCTTCCCCATGGGTGTGATGCGTGCTTTGAAAAGGCCTTCATGACCCCAGTAGCCCCACAAAGCCTTCTTCCTGGAAATAAAAAAAAAAAAATGCACCAAAGCCCAAGTTTAATGCAAACCCTGAAGCAGGCAGTCTTTCTGCCTCTTTATATTACTATCTCTTCAACACACTCCACTCCAGACCCGGCCTCTGGGGAGAGAGCTTGGGGTTTGCCTCTGAAGCCATGGATCTGTTTCCAGCGATGTTTGTGTACTCTTGACTCCCATTGCTCAGGCCTTAAAGGTAACTTGCATGTAAAGTTTCTCCTTCTTTGGAGCAAAGAGATCTTTTTCCAGGGGCCTCCAATTCCTCTAATGCTACCGGGAATGAAAACACCCAAGGCAACCAAGAGTGAATCACAGAGTCCTCAGCTCAGTGTCTCAGACACACTAAGACAATCTGCCACTGTCTGCCTTCTCTATGCTGAAAGATAAACACCCCACAGGCCACGAGGAAATGAGAGTGGCTGATGTCCACTGAATGCTTATCATGTGCCAGGCACTCTTCTAAGTGCCTTGCATGTCATATCTAATTTAACCCTCATAACAGTAACCACTGGAGATTGTATTTTTTATGATCCTACTCCAGGGAGGAAGAAACTGAGGCCTGGAGAGACTAACACACAGGGTTGTGCTGCAAGGGAGCAGGGATTTTTCTTTTCTATTCTTTTTCTTTTTAAAACAAAACAAAACACAGGGCCTCAGTCTGTTGCCCAGCCTGGAGTGCAGTGACACCATTACAACTCACAGCAGCCTCAAGCTCCTGGGCTCTGTAAGATTCTCCCCGGGGCCTGAAAGCTTAAGGAGATGAGTAACTCCTCCCTTCTCAGGCCCAGGCCCAAGGCGCAAGACCACTTGCTTCGGCAGCGTGTGTCAGCAAGATAGCAGAAGCGGGAGGAGAGCTGGACAGAAGACACCCACCCTCGCTGGAAGACACGGACCCCTGAAGATCGAGAAAGAGGCCATCCGGGTGCAACGTAGCAATTACGTCAGACTAGGGCACTTCCCGTTTACAGAAGACTATAAAACCTTTGCCCTGTCCTCACTTGGGGCTGACGCCATTTTAGGCCTCAGCCCGCCAGCACCCAGTGCGTCTGCTCATTAAAACGGCATGTTGCTCCACACCGCCTCGTGTTGTCTGTTGGCTCAGTCTTGGGGTTAGAACCGTTACAAGAACCGTACAGGCTCAAGCAATCTTCCTTCCTCAGCCTCCTAAGTAGCTGGGATTACAGGTGCACACCACCATGCCTGGCTAATTTTTACTTTTTTTTTTTTTTTTTTTAAATAGAGACAAGGGTCTCACTATGTTGCCCAGGCTGGAAAATCCTGACCTCAAGTGATCCTCCCACCTCAGTCTCCTAGAGTGCTGGGATTATAAGCTTAAGTCACCAAGCCTGGCCAGGGAACAAGGATTTGTCAACAGAAAAATCAAATTCTGTAAAATATTTAAAGAGGTTTATTCTGAGCCAGCATGAGTGACCACGGCCTGGAGAACAGTCTCAAGAGGCCCTGAGAAAGTGTGCCCCAGGCGGCTGGGTTACTTTGGCTTTATAAATTTTAGGGAGACAGAAGTTACAGGTAAAGACATAAATCAGTACATATAAGGTATACATTGGTTCAGCTGGAAAGGTGGGACATCTTGAAAGTGAGGGGGAGTTAGTGGGGTAGAAGGTGAGGGGGTGGTGTTTAGAGGTCATAGGTTGATTCAAAGATTTTCTTTTCTTTTTTCTTTTTTTTTTTTTGAGACAGAGTCTCGTGCTGTTGCCCAGGCTGGAGTGCAGTGGCGCAATCTTGGCTCACTGCAATCTCTGCCTCCTGGATTCAAGTCATTCTCAGCCTCCCGAGTAGCTGGGATTACAGGCGTGTGCCACCATGCCCATGATTTAAAGATTTTCTGATTGGCAATTGGTTGAAAGAGTTAAGCTTTGTCTGAAGACTTGAAATCAATGGGAAAAAATGCCTGAGTTAAGATAAGGGGGCATGTGGAGGCGAGGTTCTTGTGATGTAGATGAAGCTTCCAGGTAGCAGCCTTCAGAGAGAATAGATGGTAAATGTCTCTTTTCAGATCTTAAAAGGTGTCAGACTCTTAGGTCATCTCTCTTAGATCCAGGAAAGACCTAGAAAGAAAAGCCGTGGCTGTGTTAATGGAGATTTTCTACAGATGCATGTTTCCTCAACAGAAGATGACTTTGAGGGCCATTTCAAAAGATGTCAAAGGAATAAATTTTGTGGCAAAATATTCTGATTTCCTTCAGGGTCTGCTATCTGTCATGTGATGCTATACCAGAGTCAGGTTGGAATTTGGTATCTTATTGCCACAAAGAGTCTGTTTTGTCAGTCTTAGGATGGATCTCTATTTTAATGTTAATGCTGGTCAGCTGTGCTTAACCTCCAAAAGGGAGGGAATATATAACAAGGTGTGTCCCATCACAGCCAGGAATTCAGTTTTTCGGGTTTCTCAGGGGTCCTCTTGGCCCACAGGGGGTCCATTTAGTTGGTTGTTGTGCTTAGGATTTTATTTTTGGTTTATAGATTCCAACCCAGGCTCTTCCTGCTTCTCTCCCCACCTCAGCAAACTCAGGGGCTTTGGTTTTGTGCTGTGGAATCAGGAGCATCTTCTGGGGAGGAGTCTCAGTGTGGTGGTTAATGGGGGTCTGGGGCACCAGCATACTCAGGCAGGATGGAGTAGAACGAGATTCTTCCTGGAAGGCCTTTGGGGCTCTGGAACCAAACAACTCAGAATGAGCCACATCATAGCTGTATGCCTGTCCATAATCTCCCACTCCATTACTGTCCCCTAGGCCACCCCACTGACCCACCCCTAGCAATGATGGATGTGGCAGCTTTGAGCATCTTCACCCAGCAATTTCTCTGTGCCAGGCCCAGCTCTCAGGCCTGAGGATGAAGATGAAAAAGACACAGCTCTTACAACTGGTGACCTTAGGACCTGTGCACAGGTGACTAAATCCTGTATGTGATAGGGAGGGAGAAGAGGGTTTGCGTTAAAGTGCAGCAGTTGCTGACAGTTGGCTTTGTTGCAAAATTCCACAGAAAGAGGGTCTCCTATATTTGGAGAGAGACTTTTTTTTTTTTTTTTTTGAAACAGGATCTCATCTATCACCCAGGCTGGAATGTAGTGGGTGGAATCATGGCTCACTGTAGCCTTGACCTCCTGGGCTCAGGTGATCCTCCCCCCTCAGCCTACCAAGTAGTTGGGACTACAGGTATGTGCTACCATGCCCAGGTAATTTTTATAATTTTTTTTTGTAGAGGCGGGGTTCACCATGATGCCCAAGCTGGTCTTGAACTCCTGGGTTCAAGTGATCTGCCTACCTTGGTCTCCCAAAGTGCGGGGATTATAGACGTGAGCCACCACACACAGCCTGGAGAGACCTTTTTAATGGGCCTGCTTGACTAAGAGAGGCATATGGCCCATGGGCATGACCCAGAGGAAGAAATTTAGATAAAGAGGTGTTCAATTATGCATTATGGAAAAGAGAAAGAACCTCTGGAATTATCTGCATAGACCTTGAGATGGGGTTTGAGGTCCCGGAAAAAAAAGATAGGAGTGAAGGGTTCCTCAGTATTGTCTTATGTTATTAGAATGTTGATGAAAAGAGCCACACTCTGTAAAACATTTAAAGGGATTTATCCTGAGACAAGTATGAGGGACCAATGGCCTGTAACACGGCCCCAGGAGGTTCTGAGAACATGTACCTAGGGTGGTCAGGCTACGGCTTGGTTTTATACATTTTAGGGAGACATAAGTGGGGGTTGCTTCCAGGTCATAGGTACATTAAAAGATTTTCTACTTATTTATTTTTGAGAGGGAGTCTTGCTCTGTCCACCCAGGCTGGAGTGCAGTAGTGCAATCTTGGCTCACTGCAACCTCTGCCTCCTGGGCTCAAGCAATTCTCCTCCCTCAGTCTCCCAAGTAACTGGGATTACAGACACCCACCACCACACCTGGCTAATTTTTATATTTTTAGTAGAGACGGGGTTTCACCATGTTGGCCAGGCTGGTCTCGAACTGACCTCAAGTGATCCACCAGTCTTGGCCTCCCAAAGTGCTGGGATTACAGGTGTGAGCCATCATGTCTGGCCCATTGAAATATTTTTCTGATTGGCAATTGGTTGAATGTTCATCAGAAGACCTGGCATCAATAGAAAGGAGTGGTGTCCGGGTTAAGACAAGGGATTGTGGAGACCAAGGTTCTTATTATGCAGATGAAGCCTCCAGGTGGCAAGCTTCAGAAAGAATAGACTGCAAATGTTTCTTATCAGACTGAAAGAGTCTGTTCTATCTGCCGTAATTCTCTGTTTTAATGTCAGTGCTGGTCAACTGTGCCTGAATTCCAAAGGGAGGAGGGTATCATGAGGCGTGTCCAACCCCCACTTCCCATCATGGCCTAAACTCGTGTTTCAGGTTAACTTTAGAATGGCCTTGGCTGAGGAGGGTCCATCTGTCAGTTGAAGGGCTTGGAGTTTTATTTTTGGTTTACAAGGAGGGAGCCGTTGGCTAATAAGATCTAGGAGAGGACTAGAAGCTTGCAACTAAAGCTGTTCCCTGCTAGCACAGCAATTATTTAGTATAGTCACCCACTGCCTTCCTGATCTCCACCCCAAGGATCTGAAGTACAAGTCAGTCATATGCAGTCATGTGCACTGGAGTTGATGGTGAAGTCCAGGCAGTGATGGGCATAGGAGGCCTGAGACAGGGCCAGGCAAGATGGTTAGGAGATAAATAACAGTAGAGGAAAAGGAACAGTGCCCACAGAGTGAGGAACAGATCTGTAACAAGCCCTGTCTTCCTCCACTGCCCTGGAAAGGTGAATCTTGAAAATGTAGGGTGGGGTGTGGTGGCTCACACCTGTAATCCCAGCACGTTGGGAGGCCAAGGCAGGCGGATCATCTGAGGTCAGGAGTTTGAGACCAGCCTGGCCAACATGGTGAAACCCTGTCTCTATGAAAAATACAAAAATTAGCCAGGCATGATGGTGGGTGCCCGTAATCCCAGCTACTCAGGAGGCTGAGGTGGGAGAATCACTTGAACCTGGGAGGCGGAGGTTGCAGTGAGCCGAGATCCATTGCACTCCAGCCCGGGCAACAGAGTGAGACTCTGTCTTAGGAAAAAACAAACAAACAGACACCAGAAGAAAGAAAGTGTGGGATGGAGGAGGGGAAGCTAGATCCTTTTAGTGTGTGTTGCGGTGCTGGGAGTAGGGGAGGAAACGAGGCACTTGCCTCAGGCACAACGTTTTGGGTTGTGCCAAAAAACTCATGCAGCAAGATGATCCTATTTTCATGCAATATTTTTTTAAAAAATGCCAAAACAACCCGTGATAAACCATCAAAATGTTAAATAAAGAGAGGACTGGCATTAATAATTTTTCCTTTTACCTCAGGTTCCAGGATAGCTGAGCCATGCTCTAAATCCTGTCTTTATTTAATGTTCTGATAGTTTATGCATTATGGTGTTTTGTGTTAATTTTGGTCTTTAAAATATTGCAGTACGACATGATTTAGCTTGATTGCCGAGTTTTGGGCCACACCCCTAAATATTGCGTCTCACTTGTCTCACCCTAGTTCTGGCCCTGCATTGGGACTCAACACATTTTATTTGACTATAAAGAAAAGAGTAATAGGGGCTGGGAGCAGTGGTTCACACCTGTAATCCTAGCACTTTGGGAGGCCAAGGTGGGCAGATCACCTGAGATCAGGAGTTTGAGACCAGCTTGACCAACATGGTAAAACCCCTTCTCTACTAAAAATACAAAAATCAGCTGGGCATGGTGGCACGTGCCTGTAATCCCAGCTACCCGGGAGGCCGAGGCAGGAGAATCGCTGGAACCTGGGAGGCAGAGGTTGCAGTGAGCCAAGATTGCGCCGCTGCAGTGAGCTGAGATTGCGCCACTGCACTCCAGCCTGGGCAACAGACAGAGACTCTGTCTCAAAAAAGAAAGAAAGAAAGAAAGAAAAAGAAAATCCTTGAGCCAGTAGGTTTGTGGGGATGGGCAGATACCTGAGTGAAGACACTTTCACAGAATACCTTCAGAGACCCTATATCACCTTTGACAAAATATGTCTCTCTTCCTGCCGGTGAGTGCCCTGACTGGGAACAAGCCCTGTGTTCACACATCACTGCAGGCAGCAATGCTGGGGCCTTATTGGGATTCTGGACCCAGATGGTGGGCACAGCGCCAAAGTACCCACTGGTCCAGGAGGGAAGTGTTTGGGGGGTGGCGGGTTGATTTGATTTTGTCTCAATGGGAACTTTCTTTGGATCTCTCTCCCTGACTTCACTGTACATTTCAAAACAACATTCTTTTATGAACAAGCACCAGGACATCAAATACTTCCACACCCTGTGCTAGAAGCGCTTCAGGCCATGTTGTTCTTTTTCTTTTAAAGGCGTCCATGTAAAATCAGATGTTAACTCTCTGAATAAACCCGAGTGGAACGGCTTTTTTTTTCTTTATTAACACCAATGACAATCAGAACAGTTGGGAAAAATATGTGCCTCCTACCAAACAACGTACAATAGTTTAGAAGGAAAACACTACGTAGTTACATGTGTAACAAACAGTTCTTATTTACTGATGGTGAGAAAAATGAACAACAAAGCTTCAAGGGAAACCAGCAGGAAATATATTAGCAGGGAGAATGATTTATTTCTTTGAACGAGGCCTATTTCTTTTATAAATGAGTTTTGTTTTGCATCTTGGTCAATGTCAGCATCCCCTCTCTTTTTATTTATTAAAGTTTATGTTGGGTCCATCATGTATTACAGTCAGAAAACCACAAAACAGACAAAAGAACTAGCATGTGGGACTTAAATGATGTGCGTGGACTCCCTGGAATTCCAAAATTATAGAATGCTGGGCTGCATGGTGTCTTGGAAGACGACTGGTCCAACGTTACAATTCCCACCTTGACCACATCTATATCCGTCCCCATTTTGTTGGGAGGAAAATGAGACTCAAGGGAAAAGGATTAAAGCCAGAATCACACAGTTGGCTGGTGGTGAAAATGGATCATTTTTCAAAGAGATGCTTTGTAGGGGGAGACTCAAAACCTAGAGTTCTGGTCTTTGTTCTTTCCTTTAATTTTTTTTCCTCAAGTACTGCATAAAAGATCAATTTCATTCATTGTTATTGATTATAGTATATGTGGCTTACCCAGAAGCAATCAAATCTTTGTCTCCCTCCAAGGATTACCTTATTCAAGTTAGTGTTCTATTATATTTTTCTTTTCCTCTCTTTTTGTTGAGAGACTCCAGCTCTGTCACCCAGGCTGGAGTGCAGTGGTGTGATCTTTCATTTTCAAACACTTGAAGTGCACACAGAGGGCTGAAAGGGGCCTTAAGAAGAACTCTAATTGTTGCTAATGGTGATCCAAGTGGATGATAAAATGCTGCATACTGGCTGGGCGCAGTGGCTCCCAGCACTTTGGGAGGTAGAGGGGGGAGGGTCGTGTGCTCATGAGTTATAGACCAGCCTAAGCACGTGACTGTCCCAGCTACTAGGGAGGCTGACGTGGAAGGATCACTTGTGCCCAGGAGTTGGAGGCTGCAGTGAGCTATAATTGCTCCACTGCACTCCAGCCCAGGCAACAGAGCAAGATCCTGTCTCAATTTTTAAAAAATGCTGCATACTGCTAAAAGGCAAGATGAAGCAGGAAGACTATCTTTCTGTCTGCAGCCCTGGGCCTGACAGAGCTCCAAAAATATTTGTCTTGAATATTGTTGAGTCTTGAAAATTTCATGCTAAGCAACTGCTTCCTGTTGCAATAACAAATATTCTTCTCTGAGTGAATACACAGGACCAGAGGAAAAAAAGTTCCTACTTGTATTCTTAGAATTCTCCCATGCTCTGAGGGGTGGCCTTCAGTGCCCACCAGGCGATTCAGCATATCATGGTTTTCTGCCTTTTTCCTAGACAGTGTTCATTTGATTCCTGCGTTTCCAGACTTCTTCCCCTTCCTATCTTTTGTTGTTGGGCTTGTTTTGTTTTAAAAACTTTTATTTCACAAATAAGATGTATTCATTTTAGAGCCAGAAAACACAGAAAAAGGAAGTAAAGAAATAGAAATCAGCCATAATCCTAGAGTAGTCAGTCAACTTTGACATTTTGAAATATTATTTCTAGCCTTTCGGTATTAATTTGTACACACTAAAGGTCTATGTTCTCTTTCTTTCCTTCTCTCTTTCTTTTTCTTTTTTTTGAGACAAAGTCTCACTCTTGTCCCCCAGGCTGGAGTGCAATGGTGCAATCTTGGCTCACTGCAACCTCCGCCTCCCGGGTTCAAGTGATTCTCCTGCTTCAGCCTCCTGAGTAGCTGGGATTACAGGTGACTGCCACCATGCTCGACTAATTTTTGTATTTTTAGTAGAGACAGGGTTTCACCATGTTAGCCAGGCTGGTCTTGAACTCCTGACCTTAGGTGATCCGCCTGCCTTGGCCTCCTGGGATTACAGGCGTGAGCCACCTCGCCTTCTGTCTTTCTTCCCCCACCCCCTTTTTTTTTGAGACTAAGTTATGCTCTTGTCGCCCAGGCTAGAGTGCAACGTCGCGATCTCAGCTCACTGCAACCTCCACCTCCTGGGTTCAAGCGATTCTCCTGCCTCAGCCTCCCTAGCAGCTGGGACTACAGGTGTGCCTCACCATGTCCAGCTAATTTTTTTGTATTTTTAGTAGAGATGGGGTTTTGCCATGTTGGCCAGGCTGGTCTGGAACTCCTGACCTCAAGTGATCTCCTCTCCTCTCTTTTCTTTTTCTTTTTTCTTTTCCTTTTTTCTTCTTTTCTTTCTTCAATAGCCCTTGTCCTAATGCAGGGGTGTATCTTTTCAACAACAAAGATGGGATTATCCTGTGCCCACTGTTGCACCGCTGTTCTTTTCACAGACTGTAACCTTGATTCAGAATCTGCCAGTATTGGCAATGGCTCTTCTCTCTGGGCTAGGCTTTTAATTTGCTTCAATACAAACAGAGTGAGGTTTCCACATACAAGAGTCAGAGACCCATCAAGTAGATTTTCTTCTACACTTTGCCCTTGGTAGGGGCCAAAATAAAATTTTCCCTTTGCCCTCTAAAGTTTCACTGAAAACATCAACTCACAAAAAGCAGACTCATTGGAGAAAAGGCATGTGAACCTATTTAATGTGTACACATGGGAGCCTTCAGAATTAAGACCCAAAGATACAGTGTCCATTTTTTTTGCATAGGTTCAACGAAGTCTGGACGGCCATACAGAAATACACTTGGACCAAAGAGCACTAGTCTGTTAGTCTAGTGCTAACAGACCGCGTGGGGAAGCCCAGCAAGGCATGTCTGAATTCTTCTTGGCCTCTCTGAGCATGCATTTCTTCCTTCTGGGTGTAGGGGAGGACCTTCTCTGGAATGGGGTCTTATGACCTACAGTCAAATAAGGAAGGTCAGATAACATCTTTATGGCCAGTTTTTACATAGATAGGCAGAGAGAAAGTTAAAGTAGTAATTTTAGGTTTCATGGCTGGCTTTGGGGAAAAGCGATTCTGGTTTCTATGACCCGCCTTGGAGAAGAGGAATTCAGTTTCTATGGCTAGCCTCAGGGGAGAATGAGACTGGGAGAGAGCAGGGCAGAGGATGATCAGAGAAAAACTTTAGCTTCTGAGGACTTCATTTGGGGTATTGTTTTTTGAGCCCTTAATGCCCTATTTATGACAATGCAAAGCATTGTTTTCAACCTTGTGCTGAAAGTGGGATTATATCCAACCTTGAGCAGCCATAGATATTCACACAGTCCTGGATCTTCCACTGCCTCCACTCTATCAGTACTAAGGGAAAACATAGTATAGTTTGCCCACCACTCCCAGCCACACTCTATGAATGTGACTGGATAAACTATCAGAGGCATTTGAACCAGAGCAACTTCATCTTGAGTAGGGACTGGGTAAAATAAGGCTAAGACCTGAGGGGCTATATTCCCAGGAGGTTAAGCCATTCTTAATCACAGGATGAGATAGAAAGTCAGCACAAGATACAGGTCATAAAGATGTTGCTGATAAAACAGTTTGTTTTTAACAGCAGTAGAAAAGCTGGCCAAAACCCACCAAAACCAAGATGGCAACGAGAGTGACCTCTGGTCATCCTCACTGCTACACTCCCACCAGTGCCATGACAGTTTACAAATGCCATGGCAACGTCAGGAAGTGACCCTATATGGTCTAAAAAGGGGAGGCATGAATAGCATAATCAATAAATGCTTGTTTAGCATATAATCAATAAATAACCATAAAAATGGGAAACTAGCAGCCCACAGGGCTGCTTTGTCTGTGGAGTAGCCATTCTTTATTCCTTTACTTTCTTTATTTTTGAGAGATGGAGTTTCACTCATCGCCCAGGCTGAAGTGCAACGGCGTGATCTTGGCTCACTGCAATCTCTGCCTCCCGAGTTCAAGTGATTCTTTTGCCTCAACCTCCCGAGTAGCTGGTTATAGGAGCCTGCCACCATGCCCAGCTAATTTTTGTATTTTTAGTAGAGATGGGGTTCCACCATGTTGGCCAGGCTGGTCTTGAACTCCTGACCTCAGGTGATCTGCCCACCTCAGCCTCCCAAAGTGCTGGGATTACAGGCATGAGCCACTGTGCCTGGCTCCTTTACTTTCTTAATAAACTTTCTTTCACTTTACTCTATGGACTCGTCCTGAATTCTTTCTTGTGCCGAGATCCAAGACCCCTCTCTTGGGGTCTGGATCAGGACCCCTTTCTGGTAACAAAATGACCCAAGGAGGGAGTATTTAGTGCCTCTTTTTGTGGCCAGAATGGTTTGGCTTCTGCTGCAGTAACAAACCTCCAAATCTCAGTGTCTTAAGAAAGGCTTATCCCTCATGTCCATCATGCTGTACATGCTCTGACTTTGGAACACATGTTGGTAGCACATTCACTATCTTGAACATTGCCTGCTGGATTCCATGTCAGGAGGAAAAAGAGTTTTCATTGGGTGAATTTTCTGTCTTCCAAGTTATCTAGGAGTTATCACCTTCCAAGTTTTACCAAGTTTTGCCACTGCAAACCTGGATCATCGACCTTCCAGGCACCAATAGAAGTCTCCATGAAGTTGGATGCCTGCGTTTAAGCCTGTGCCATCTATTTTCTTTTCTTGTTGTCACCATTTTCTAGGTACTCATCTTGGTATCAGTCAGGATAGCCTAAGTTATGCTGTGGGAAAAAACAAGTCCCCAAACTCACTCAGACTATGCTCATTGAAGGTTGGCTGGGTCTATGCTGTCTCTGTGCGTTCATAATTGCGATGGTTGATTATATGTGACAATTTTACTAGGCCATAGGGTGCCCAGGTTAAATGTTATTTCTGAATGTGCCTGTGAGGGAGGGTCATTCTGGATGAGATTAGCATTTGAATCAGTGGGCTCAATGAAGTAGGTGGCCCTACACAAGGTGGGTGGGTATCATCCAATCTTTTGAGGACCTGAATAGAACAAAAGGTGGAAGAAGGAGAAATTTCCCCCACTTTTTCCTGCTTCACTGCTTGAGCTGGGATATCTCATCTCATCCCCTT
Source organism: Homo sapiens (assembly GCF_000001405.40). Classification (NCBI taxonomy): domain Eukaryota; kingdom Metazoa; phylum Chordata; class Mammalia; order Primates; family Hominidae; genus Homo; species Homo sapiens. The sequence goes on from NC_000016.10 coordinate 53,570,868, forward strand.
CTGACCTTGGATACAAATTTACACCATTTCCTCTAGGCCTTTAGATTCAGAATGAATTATATCACTGGATTTCTGTGTCTCCAGCTTGCCAATGACAGATCATGGGCCTTCTCAGACTTCATCGTTGCATTAGCCACTTCCTTATAATATCTCTCTCTCTCTCTCTCTCTCTCTCTCCTCTCCTCTCTCTCTTTCAGCTTTTTGCCTGAAGTCAGGCTTCAATCAGCCACCACACAGGTGACTAAAGCGGAGAAACCCTTAGCCTAAGAGGCACGAATAAGCAGAGGAGTTTAGGGTAACCACAGCAGCTGGAAAAAAAAGGAAGGGGGGAAATATGACAAAAGAGATGCATAGATGGAGAGCCCTAAATTCGGTGTATATACTGGCTGTCCCCTGACCTACACATTCTTAGGGAAGATTTCAAGAAGTGCAACATGAGGAGAAAAGAACCGAACTGAGATTTCAGTTGCTGCCCACCACAGAGGAGATAGAGTTTGGAGTTTGACTACACCCAAGTTAACTGCTCATTAAACAAACAAAAAAAGTCAATAATCTTCAAAAAATATAATGAATCCAGAGTCTTACAACATATCATTCCTAGTATCTAGGATATTATCCAAAATTACTAGACATAGAAACACACAGGAAGACAAGATCCATACATAAGAGAGAAGGTCACCAATGGAGACTAACCCCAGGATGACCTGGATGCTGGAACTGGTAGACAGGATTTTTAATACAGCTACTATAACTGTGCTCAATGATATGAAGAAAATATGCTTGCAATGAATGACCAGATAGGAAATCTCAGCAGAGAAACAGAAACAATTAAAAAGAACCAACTGAAAATTTTAGAACCAAAAAATGGCATGTCTGGAAGATGCATCAGGAGAAACTAACCTAAAGAGTACAGAGAAAAAAAGATTTTAAAAATGAACAGATCCTGAGTGATCAGGGGGAAAATACAATAAGGTCTGATATACATGTAATTGGAATTCTAAAAAGAGGAGAGATATGATGGAGCTGGGAAAAAATGTTTCAAGAAAGCAAAAAGGGATAAGAACAAAGTAAACCATAGTTAGCCACATCCCAGTCAACCTGCTGAAAACCAAAGACAAAGAGCAGCCAAAGGGAAATGACATCACATATAGGGAGCACTGCCACAAATGACTTCATCATTAGAAACCATAGAGGCAGGGAGATACTGGAAACATATATTTTAAATTCTGAAAGGAAAAAAAAACCTGTCAGTGCATAATTCTATACCCAGCAAAAATACCTTTCAAGAGTGAGACAAAATGAAAACACTTTCTATAAATAAACAGTAAGAGAATTTGTTGCTGCAAACCTGCATTACAAAAAGTGCTAAAGAAAGTTCTTCAGGCTGAAGGGAAACAACACTGGATAGAAACTCCATTAAACCTGCCACTAATAAGGTAAAAGATTTACGAATGAATATCCCTGTGGGCCCATTTCTTTGCCTATTCAGGTAGTAAAGTGTGAGGTAATCACTAGTGCTGTTCACCAAAGATGTCTGGTTTTCCTTCTTTCAGGCATATAGTAGAATTGCCACTCCACTTACTGGGGTGGGGCATGGCCATATGATTGCTTTAGTAAATGAGACGTGGCAGAAACTTTATCAGAGGGTGCAATTTGCCTCATTACCTTTTTTTTTTTTTTTTTTTCTGGCTTTAAAAATCATTGTATTCGGGTTCTCCAGAGAAACAGAACCAATAAGAGAGTTGGGGCTCGGAAACCAATACCCCCAAAATATGGCATTTTGACCTGTTGACCTGAAGAAGAATCCCCCAGGTCTCTCTGACCTCTGCCTACTCCTGTTTCAATTCTCTGTCTCTCCCAAAGTACAGGATGAAATGGTTCTCTGAAGTTCTCTTATCTGCCTAATGTCTGGACCTGCCAAAGAAGAAAACAGTTACCTCTGGTCACTTTCCTGATCATTAACTAAAGTCACATCTCAGGAAGAAAGACTGAAATCTGTCAACACACCTGGACAGACTTGTTGCAAATTATTGTCTGTTCTTTTGGCCCAGCAGACTTTGTTTCAGGCCACTGTATGTTCTTCAAGCCCATTGAATTCCCCTAAAAATCATTTAGTATCCCCCTAAGATCATCCATACTTCCCTATCTTCCTCTCCCCTAAGAAGAAGGGTATATGCCATCTGTACCCCATTGTGTGGTGGGGCAATGACTCTGTGATTCTCCCCTGCGCATGTTAATGCATTTGTATGCCTTTTTTTCTATCAATCTGCCTTTTGTCAGTTGATTTTCAGTGAACCTTCAGAGGGCAAATGTGAAGTTTTCTTCTATTTTGTAAAAATCTTCTTCACGTATCTTTGGTTCTAGCTGTGTCCCTTCAGAATATCCACAGTGAATCATTCATTTGAGTCTTCCATACTGGGGAGAAATCTGGCCTTGAGAACCTCTCTATGTGAATCACATGGACCTTCCATCAGCTCTGGACCCTTCTTCTGTGAAGGACAGAATACCCCCAAGTTTGCTGCCTGAAGTCTCCTGATTCTGAATACATTTTTTTGCATAAGTCTCTGGGCCTGCAATATCTTTCTTCCTGTTTATTCAGTTCAAGTCACTACCTGACTTCCAAAGTTATGCTCCCTCTAGCATCATTGGGTCCACTGTGACAATAGTCTTGAAAACTTACCACTTTATCACTATGGAAATAAAAATGGAAAATGAAAATAAATGAATCATATTTTCAAGGTGGAAGTGGTCCAATATTCTCATATTCACATTGAGGTGCAAGATCCAAGGAAGCTGGCCTAATTATGGACATGCACTTAGTTAGCAGTGAACCTCAATCAGTGGACTCAGCTGTTTCAAACTCTTTTTATATGGTTTGAATTCACATGTTTCTACTGTCACCCAAGAATCTTATATGAAAGAGCTTTTTAACATCCAAACAGCTTCAGTGCTTCAAAGAGGAGGCATGTGAGGACATATGTAAAGCTCTTCCGTAGTTCTTTTTTGTTTTTGTTTTTGTTTTTAATAGACTTTGTTTTTTACAGCAGTTTTAAGTTTGTAACCAGGAGTGGTAGCTCACACCTAGAATCCCAGCACACTGGGAGGCCGAGGCAGGTGGATCACCTGAGGTCAGGAGATCAAGACCAGTCTGGGCAACATGGTGAAACCCTATTTTCACAAAAAATACAAAAATTGGCTAGATGTGGTGGCACGTGCCTGTAGTCCCAGCTATTCAGGAGGCTGAGGTGGGAGGATGGCTTGAGCCTGGGAGGTCGAGGCTACGGTGAACCATGATTGCACCACTGCACTCCAGCCTAGGTGACAGGGCAAGACTTTGCTTCATAAAAAAAGAAAGTACAAAAGTACATAGAATTCCCATAAACTTTCTGCCCTCACCCATGCACAACCTCCCCCACTGTCAACATGCGACACCAGAGTGGTACATTGGTTACAACTGGTGAATCTACACCGACACATCGTTATCATTCAAAGTCCGTAATTTACATTAGGGTTCACTCTTGGTGTATGTGTACGCACTATGATAGTATCATATGGAATAGTTTCACTGCCTTAAAATGCCTCTTTTCCCCTAACTCCTGGCAACCCCTGATCTTTTAACTGTCTCCATAGTTTTGCCTTTTCCAGAATGTCAAGTAGTTGGAATCATACAATATGTAGCCTTTTCAGATTGACTTCTTTCACCTGGTAATAGGCATTTAAGGTTTCTCATGTCTTTTCATTGCTGGATAGCTCTTCTCTTTTTATTTTTATTTATTTATTTTGAGAGGCAGTCTCACTCTGTCACCCAGGCTGGTGTGCAGTGGCATGATCTCAGCTTGCTGCAACCTCTGCTTCCCAGGTTCAAGTGATTCTCATGCCTCAGCCTCCCAAGTAGCTGGGATTACAGGCGCCCACCATCACACTCAGCTAATTTTAGTATTTTCAGTAGAGACAGGGTTTCACCATGTTGGCCAGGCTGGTCTCGAACTCCTGGCCTCAAGTGATCCACCCGCCTTAGCATCCCAAAGTGCTGGGATTACAGGTGTGAGCCACCGCATCCAACTGCTCTTCTCTTTTTAGTGCTGAATAATATGCCGTTGTCTGGGTATGCCACAGTTTATCCACTTACCCACTGAAGGACATCGTGGTTGCTTCTAAGTAGTGACAATCATAGATAAAGCTGCTATAAGCATCCATGTGCAGGTTTTTGTGTGGACATAATTTTTCACCTTCTTTGGGTAAATATTTAATACCAAGGAGTATGATTGCTAGATCAGATGATAAGAGTATATTAATTTTGCAAACTGTCTTCTATAGTGGCTGTACAATTTTGTATTCCCACCAGCAATGAACGAGAGTTTCTGTTGTTCCACATCCTCACCAGCATTTGGGGTTTTAGATTTTCTCCATTTTAAAAGGGGTGTAGTAGTATCTCATTATTTTTTTTATTTTTAGTTTATTTATTTATTTTTTTGAGATGGAGTCTCACTCTGTTGCCCAGGCTGGAGTGCAGTGGCATGATCTCGGCTCACTGCAACTTCCACCTCCCGGGTTCAACTGATTCTCCAGCCTCAGCCTCCTGAGCAGCTGGGATTACAGGCATGCACCACCATGCCCAGCTAATTTTTGTATTTTTAGTAGAGACGGGGTTTCACCATGCTGGTCAGGCTGGTCTCGAACTCCTGACCTCATGATCTGCCCACCTCAGCCTCCCTAAGTGCTGAGGTTAAGGCATGAGCCACTGCGCCTGGCCTTATTTTTATTTTTTGTAGAGACAGAATTTCACCATGTTGCCTAGGCTTGTCTCGAACTCCTGGGCTCAAGAGAGCCACCCTACTTGGTAACCCCAAAGTGCTGGGGTTACAAGCATGAGCCACCATGTTTGGCCTTGTTTTTTATTTTTTAATTTGCATTTCCCTGATGACATATGTTTGTTGAGCATCTTTTCATATGCGAGTTTGCCATCTTATATCTTCTTTGGCGAGATGTCTGTTCAGTTCTTTTGCCTATTTTCAGTCAGGTTGTTCATTTTCTTATTGTTGAGTTTTAAGAGTGTTTTGTCTATTTTGGATAATAGCTCTTTATCAGATACCTCTTTTGTAAGTGTTTTTTCTCTGTCTATGGCTCATCTTCTCATTCTCTTGACAGTATCTTTTACAGAGCAGGAGCTTTTAATTTTAATGGAGTTCAGCTTATCAATTATTTCTTTCATGAATCCTGGTTTTGCTGTTGTATAGTTGATTCCAATAACAAAAACAATGACAATAACAAAACTGACCCAAAGTGGGATGTTAATTGCCTCAAAAGCAGTCATTTGGTATCAACCTGAGTTTTGTGGTAATGTTTTATTTGGCATGTAAAGATCCTTTTATGCAAATCATTTCCATGGACCCATAATATAAAAACATAAGTATTTCCAATTACTTTATCAGTGTAGCTATTCCAAATGAAATGTCTGCAGTAGCAACAGAGCAGACTGCATATGTCAGTCCTGACTGGAGACTAGCAGGCAGCAACCACTCCTCAAGCTGCTTCTCCTGACATCTTGCTTGACTCAAAGCCAGGAATGATCAACAAAGGCGTTTTTCCATCCCGTGGGAGTCTAGTAATGGTGTTCTATAGAAGAAGCAGCGGAGACTACTGCTGCTAATGACTGTAGACATGTTGAACATTAGAATTTGTAGCAGGAGTTGCCCTGCCATAGCAAGAAATGACAATGAGCAGACCAAGACGGTCATGCTCCAGGCAGGTGGACTCCAGTGAAACATGACTCAGGAGACCTTTGGGAAAGGGGACTGGCAGCCTTGTTTTAGAGATACCACTTCAGGCTGGGCGCACTGGCTTACATCTGTAATCCCAGCACTTTGGGAGACCAAGGCAGATGGATCACCTGAGGTCAGGAGGTCAAGACCAGCCTGGCCAACATGGCAAAACCCCATCTCTACTAAAAATACAAAAAAAAAAAAAAAAATTAACAGGGTGTGGTGGCAGGCGCTTGTAATCCCAGCTACTTAGGAGGCTGAGGCAGGAGAATTGCTTGAACCCAGGGGTGGAGCTTGCAGTGAGCCGAGATCACACCATTGTACTCCAGCCTGGGTGACAGAGTGAGCTCTGTCTCAAAAAAATAAAACAACAACAAGAAAAAGAGATACCACTTCATTCTGTTGATCTGAGGCCTGTGTGTTTGTCAGCCAATATGCTCAGATGGGCAGGTAACTGCAAAGGAACTGAAAGGAAATGGGGGACTTCTTGAGGGCTACGCCAGGAGTTGTCATAGCATCACTTCCACTGTATTCTCTTGGTCAGAGCAGCCACACAGCACAGATTCAAGGCGGAGGGAACGCAGATCCCACCTCTTGTCGGGTGCAGTGACAAATAATTTGTGGCCATGTGTAATCCACTGCCTGCAGAAATTCTTTTATTCTTTTCTTTTTTTACCTATTGCTCCATTGGCATGAGGAGTCCAATGAACACACGCTCGTTGTGACTTTGGTAGCTCTTGGGTGAAATGGCTCTCCTATCAGAGACCAGGACCTTACAGAACCTATGATTGTGGGGACGGGAAGCACATATTCTGCAAGTAACTCACTAGGAGTGGTGGTAAAAGGGGCATTCCTTTCAACTTTTGGTTTCTGGACCCATATATTTTAGTTACTGGAGACAAAGCACCTTACCAGCTATAGACTTAGCACAAAACTTGCATCCTGGTGGCAACTGACCAGTGCCTCAACTTGCTCAGTTGTATCTGAGCAGGCATTTCAACTGAGCCTGTAATGGGCCATTCCACCATTGTCTTTTTTTTTTTTTTTTTTTTTTTTGAGACAGAGTCTCACTCTGTTGCCCAGGTTGGAGTGCAGTAGGCTTATCACAGCTCATTGCAGTCTTGACCTCCTGGGCTCAAGTGATCCTCCCACCTCAGCCTCCCAAGTAGCTGGGAGTACAGGTGTGTGCCACCATGCCCAGCTGATTTTTAATTTTTTTTTTAGCTCACTATTTTGCTCAGGCTGGTCTTGAACTCCTGGTTTCAAGCAATCCTCTTGCCTGGGCCTCCCAAAATGTTGGGATTACAGGCATTAACCAACATGCCCAGCCCATTTCTTTTCTTTTTTGAGACAGAATCTTGCTCTGTCACCCAGGCTGGAGTACAATGGTGTGATTTCGGCTCACTGCAGCCTCCGCCTCCCGGGTTCAAGTGATTCTCCTGCCTCAGCCTCCTGAGTGGCTGAGACTCCAGGCACACAACACCACACCCAGCTAATTTTTGTATTTTTAGTAGAGACAGGTTTTCACCGTGTTGACCAGGCTGGCCTCGAACACCTGACCTCAAGTGATCTGCCTCAGCCTCTCAAAGTGCTGGGATTACAGTCATGAGCCACTGTGCCCGCCCAAGCCCATTTCATCATTTTATTAGGGTGGCTGCTTTGGGCATGGCAGTGTAGGGTAGAACCAATCACATGTTCTCTTTCATAACAGGGGTCCAGTGATCTGAGGCAATGTTACATGGGATCTCATTGGGTAAATCAAGCCTTTGTTATCCCTCTAATGGTAGTATTGCTAGAGGCATTCTGGACCAGGAAGGCAAACATATCCAGAGGAGGTATCAATTCCAGTAAGAACAAATTACTGCTTTCTACAGAGTAGAAGGAGTCCAGTGTAATTAACTTGGCATCAGATGGCTGGCTGATCTCCTTGAGGAGTGGTACCATAACAAGCAAGGACTTAGTGTTAGTTGAGTTACGCTGGGCATTCAGCAGTGCAGTAGTTAGGACCAGCCTTGGGAGAGGGAGTCCATCATATTGGGCCATGCATGTCTTCCAGCTGTGCTACCATGGGCACTCCATTCACGGGCTTGTTGAGTTAGCACTAGAGTGGCCAAAGAAAGAGACAAATTAGACCAGTCATCCCATCTACTGGATTGCTGAGGGCCTACTTCTGGTGAGCATGGACACCAGACACAAAAATAGGTGTTCTTTGTGCCCCTTCCCATGCTTCTTCTCCAGACCTCTTTGTTTGGAGGTCTGCCTATTTGTTTCCCATTCTGCCTCTTCCAGGTCCTTGACCAATCAACCAGCCATCTGTCACTCTCTAGGAGTCTGTGTACCTCAGGCCACTTCTTCCTCCAGCAGAGTGAATGACCAAGGGTGCTACTCACAGATCTGCCCACTGGTCTCCACTCCCTCCCATCACTGTCCTTTGGAGCCATCCTTGAGTGAGGCTGTTGTGTGTTGCAATCCATTTTCAACTTACACCAACAAATCAAGACTATGGATCCGTAAACAAAGCCTGAATTTTTCTTCCTCTGATATTTGGATGTGGGTAATACCTTTCCTGTCCCATGAGACCACAGGTGTGAGCTGAGAAAATGGAATTGGTATAACACAGTCGGGTGGCATGGCAGTGTGAGCCATCTGCTTGTTGATCTTACCAGCGCTCTTTGGATTTCTCTCTGGATTGGGCTGTTAGACCTGATCCTGACTGTTCCATTTCCATCACATAATAGCTGGCTGTGGCATGTGTACAGGCTGAGTAAACTCCTACTGTTGTGCATAGCTTCAGAGAAGTCCTAGTGTAGAAAGCAAAGTACACAGTATGCACCTGAGGCAAGATGTTGTTAGAGTGAAGTAAATGGACACTTTTGCAGAACTGGCCACCAAACCCACAGCAGGAATCTGAGATGTGGCAGAGGGGATGAAGTAGGCCCCTGGCAGTACCTAACATATCCCCCATCTCCTTCGGTTCTATTGTTGCGGGATCTTTGGGTGTTGCTTTTCTGGCTGGAAACCTCTGTGGCTGGTGGTGCCTTTGCCCAAGTTCTTGTTTTGTGTCTAGGAAGAATGAAGTATGCAGACAAGTGGAGGGTGAGCAAGACGAAGAGGAGCTTTATTGAGGTTAAAACAGCCCAGAGGAGACCTGCAGTGGGTAGCTCCTCTCTGTAGGCAGGTCGTCCTGTCAAGTGTTCAGCTCTCAGCAGAGAGGAGGTCTGGAGTGGGTGGCTCCTCTCTGCAGACAGGTCATCCCAACAAGTGTTCAGCTCTCAGCAGAGAGGGTAGCTCCTCTCTGTAGCTGGTCATTCTGATGTCAGCTGCTCCCAGGAGAGAGGAGGCCCTGGAGAGGGTAACTCCTCTCTGTAGCTGGTCATCCCAATGTCTGTTCTGCTTTGGCTGAGTCTGGAAACTTCATGGTCTTCAGAGGAGGGAGGTGCGTGCTGCCATCGGTGGGCCCAGGAAAAAGCAACAGAGTTCCCTCTTCAGTCTGCAGGAATGGCAGCCCGGCCTCCAGGCTTCAGGCCTTCCCCCTGAAGGTGGGGCTTCAGTGGGCACCTGCCCCCTTCTGCCCAAGAGCCTGTCTGCCTCCTGCTGCAGTCCATGGTACCTAGGCTGCTTGGGCCAAGAGGCACCTGCAGGCCACCGCTGACCTGCCTTCAGCACTCCCAACCCCCAGCTTCCCTCCCATGCTTGTTGGTACCCAGAGTCCAGACGGGGCTGAGGCAGCAGGGGGCTAGCATGTCAGCACTGCCCTGAGCATGTGTCCACCTGGCCAGGCTGCGACAATACCTGGGCTCAGCCGTACCCTTGCTCCACAATCAGAGCGAGCTCCGTGAGCAGGGAGAGGCCAGGCAGTGGCAGCAGGCACTTCTGAGCCCATAAGGGGTAGGGGGACCTTCTGGGGCCCCCAAGAGCACCAACATGCCCTGGTCCACAGCTGGACTTAGGCAGCTGCAGCAGCACCCAGGGAGGGCAGGGCTCCTGCCTGCTGTGCTTTGCTCTGTGGTGCAGGAGCCTGGGCCGTGCCACCCTGCTGCAGCCGGCATCTCGGCAGCAGCCACTCTAGATGGGTTGCTGCTTTCATCACTATTATCCAAAACTGGTTTAGATTCTCTGCCCTCATTCTCTTACAGGTTTTGGAGGAAACACAATGATCAGAGTGGGAAGCAGAGCGAGAGATCTTGACAGATCTTTAGGACCACATGACAGTATCTAGACCGCACCCTCTGTTAAAACACTTGACATTGAGTTTTACTTTGCTGTTTGTGGCTCCCTGCTTTTAGGGCTATTCTTTCTATACATATGCCCAGTTTACCCCTTTCTGTATCCCTATAAAATGATTTCAAAGCTTCAAATTGTACTTTTTAAAGTTCCTATGAATTTTTTTAAATTGAACAATCTGTTCCATTTATTGTATATCATTATATTTATCAGTATATTATTATATATTATCCAATATAAGCCAATGAATATTCAGAGGGTTCTTGACATCAATGTCCAACTCTCCAATTCCTCATTCTTAAGAAACTGATATCACTGCTGTTTGTTTGGTTGGCTAAAAAACTAAAAAGCAGTCTGAGTGCGGTGGCTCACATCTGTAATCCCAGCACTCTGGGAGGCTGAGGAGGGCGGATCACCTGAGGTCAAGAGTTCAAGACTAGCGTGGACAACATGGTGAAACCCTGTATCTACTAAAAATACAAAAATTAGCCAGGCATGGTGGTGGGAGCCTGTCATCTCAGTTACTCGGGAGGCTGAGGCTGGAGAATTGCTTGAATCTGGGAAGCAGGGGTTGCAGTGAGCAGAGATCATGCCACTGCACTCCAGCCTGGGCGACAGAGTGAGACTCTGTCTCAAAAAAAAAAAGAAAGAAAAAACAAAGAAACTGATAAAACTCTAAACCTGTGTTACCAGGAGATTGGTTATGCATCTTCCTTTAGTGTATCTCACGTTGGCCTCAGTGTATTCAATGTATGCTAGAATGTGTCCTGCTTTCAGGGCTTAATTGCTGAGTCCTCAGTTGATATTTTAATTAATGCATCACTGTTTTACTTCCTCCCCCTTACCTGCCCCGTGTGTTCCCTCCACCCTTCCAAACCATTGTTAGCACTCTTATATGCATCCTTCCATACATGTCTCCATGCTCATACAACCATCTTTCATTTATGTGTACATGGTGTCTGGCAGTCTTCCCATTCCTCCTTGCTAGCAGAATCCTGATTTGGAATGCAATGTGCTTAGCCCTGGCAATGGGTCATGACTGGGTTCAAGTCAGTAATGATAATTTGTACCCCATATTTCCTGGCCTATTCTGCAGCTAGTGGTAGCCATGTGACCCAGTTTTGGCCAATGAAATATCAGTGGAAGTTAGCTGAGTGGACATTTTTGCTGACTCATTTAGCAGGGTCTCTTGCCCTTCGCTCTTCTTCCTGCCTAGAATGCATAGATGATGCTTAGTTGGTGCTGCAGGCAGCGTGTAACCATGAAAGGACAAACCAATACATTAAGGATGGTGGAGTCAAAATACAAAAAGAATCTGAGTCTTTCAGGGTCCTACTGAGCTGCTGAACCAGTAGCAGAAACAGAAGAAATCTTTAGGGTACCAATAATAGGAAAAAACCCCTATTTGTTCATACCACTGTTAGTGTGGTTTACTATTATTTTGTATCCAAAAGCACTTATAACTGATACAAAATGCATATGAATGCACACACACAAGTTTTCTGGTGTTCAGTTTACAAAAATACAGCCATATTACTCTTATTATATTTTTATATATTTGTCTCTATAGTACCTTGCTTCAGATTATAATTTGTAATGGAAATCTCTCCAAGTCAGTGAGTATAGCTCTAATTTATTATTTAAACAATGTTTTATTGATTGTCTTGGATAGGTAATACCAGAACATGGTTTAAAATTCAAAATGTATAAATGGAAAGTGGTGCGGCCACTTTGGAAAACTGTTTGGCAGCTCCTTAGAAATTTAAACATAGAGTTACCATATAATCCAGAAATTTTATGTGTAGGTATATACCCAAGAGTAATGAAAACACATTACTTCACACAAAAATTTGTATAAAATGTTTATCAGTTTCATTAATAACGCCCAAAAAGTAGAAAAACTTAAAATATCTATCCACTGATGAACGGATAAACAGGTTGTGGTATATTCATATAATGGAATATTATTAAACAATAAAAAAGAATGAAATACTGATGAATGCTACAGTATAAATGAACAATGAAAACATTATGCTAAGTGTGATGGTTAATATTGAGTGTCAACTGGATTGGATTGATGGATGCCAAATATTGTTCCTGGGTGTGTCTGTGAGGGTGTTGCCAAAGGAGATTAACATTTGAGTTGGTGGACTGGGAGAAGCAGACCCACCCTCAGTCTGGGTGGGCACCATCTAATCAGCTGCCAGTGCAGCTAGAATAAAGCAGGCAGAGGAACGTGGAAGGACTAGACTGGCTAAGTCTTCTGGCCTCCATCTTTCTCCCATGCTGGATGCTTCCTGCCCTGGAACATTGAGCTCCAAGTTCTTAAGCTTTTGGACTCTTGGAGCTACACCGCACCAGTGATTTTCCAGGGGCCCTCGGGCCTTCCGCCACAGACTGAAGGCTGCACTTTCAGCTTCCCTACTTTTGGGGTTTTGGGACTCAGACTCGCTTCCTTGCTCCTCAGCTTGCAGACGGCCTATTGTGGGACTTCACCTTGTGATCGTGTGAGTCAATACTCCTTAATAAACTCCCCTTCCTATATACATCTATCCTGTTAGTTCTGTGCCTTTAGAGAACCCTGACTAAGACACTAAGTACAAGAATTCAGTCACAAAAACCACATACTGTATAATTCTATTCATGTGAAATGTCCAGAATAGGCGAATCCATACAGACAGAAAGATTAGTGGCTACCTGGGGCTGGGGGTTGGGAGTTGGGAATGGAGAATGACTGCTAATGTGTTTGTGGTTTCTTTTTGGATTGTTGAAAATGTTCTAAAATTAGATTTTGGTAATGGTTGCGAAAGTCTGTGAATACATTAAAAACCACTGAACTGTACATTTAAATGGGTGGATTTTATGGTATGTGAAATATATCTCAATAAAGCTGTAAAAAAGGTTTAAATGGAAATGCAGTAAAAAGTAAGTTTCTCTTCTACCTCTTCCCCTACCTACCCAGTTCCCTTTTCCAGAGGCGATCACTTACCAACTTCTTGGTATGCTTTCAGAAGTATTTTATTTATATTCACGCACATGCTCATAGGTGGTTTTACGTACTTTCTTACATATACCATTCACCATTTTTTCCCTTACTTTTTCACTTAAAAATATATCTTGGAGACACACACAGACAGAGAGGAGAACGCCCTGTGAAGATGGAGGTCAATTGGAGTGATGGCTCTAAATCAAGGAGTGCAAAGGACTTACCAGTAAGCATCAGAGCTGGAAGACAGGCCTGGAACAGATCCTCCCCTCGGCCTTCAGAGGGAACGGCCCCGTGACACCTTGATGTTGTACGTCTAGCCTCCAGAATTGTGAGAGAATAAATTTCTGTCATTTAAAGCCAAACAACAAGCAGACAAAAATGTATCTTAAATATTATTCCATATCAGCACATTTAAGGTGGATATCTTCAATAGCTGCATAGTTTCATGATTGTTACATAATTTATTTGATGAGTTCCTTATTGGATATTTGGGGTGTTTCCAATGTTTGCTTTTTCAAACAATGCTGAAATAATAACCTTGTCCATGCATAATTTCTTACCTTGGCAAGTATACTTTCAGGACAAACTCTTGGAGGTAGAATTGTTGGATTAAAAGATAATTATATTTCTAGGCTGGGCGTGGTGGCTCACGCCTATAATCCCAGCACTTTGGGAGGCTGAGGCGGACAGATCACTTGAGGTCACGAGTTTGAGACCAGCCTGGCCAACATGGTGAAACCCCTTCTCTTTCAAAAATACAAAATTTAGCCAGGCGTGGTGGTTCATGCCTGTAATCCCACCCTACTCGGGAGGTTGAGGCAGGAGAATCACTTGAATCCAGGAGGCAGGGGTTGCAGTGAGCTGAGGTTGTGCTACTGCACTCTAGCCTGGCCGAAGAGTGAGACTCTGTCTCAAAAAAAAAGAAAAAAAGTTAATTGTATTTATTATTTTAATTGTCAAATTGATCTCCATAGTGTTTGTAGGAAATTACCCTTCCACCAGCAATGTATGAGTATTCCTGTTTGCCCACTGCTGTGCGAATACCATATGTCATATAATTTTTGATCCTGTCAGTCAGGTAGTTGAAAATTCTATATCATTGTGGATTTAATTTGTATTTTTCTTATTAGGAGCATGTTAAGCATCTTTTGTATATTTTCATAACATCGATCATTATCATCATACTCAATAGTATTAATGTCACATTAACTTCATTAAGTCATTTGAATTTTCTTTTCTGAACTTTTTTTCATATCCTTTACCCATTTTTCTGTGAGTTGTTGCTCTTTTTCTTATTGTTTTCTTTAGGAGCTCACTACATATTAAGAAAATTAGGTTTTGTTCCAATTTTAGCAAATATTTTATCAAGATTTTTGTTTTTTGACTTTATAATTTCTTTTTTTTTGCCATGAAGAAGATTTCATTTTTGTGCAGTCAAATTTAATACTATTTTCCTTTATTGCTTCTGGATTTTTTCTTATACTTAAGTCATCCTCACTTGAGACTGTAAAGAATTATGTTTATTTCTAGGGCTTTTATGGTTTCATTTTTTACATACAAATCTTTATAAAATTTATTTTGCGTTGTTATGGGGTAGAGATCAAATTTGTTTTTTTCTAGGTGTCTTTTTAATGGTTCCAGCACCATTATTGGGTAGTCTACTTCTCCCCACTAATTTGATATGCCACTTTTCCAATTTCCTGTATGCATTTGCATCTGTTTCTAGACTTTCTGGGCCACGCAGTTTGCATTCCTAAAATAAACACCTCTTAATCATAATGTATTCTATTTTTAGTGAGGTGTTCAATTCTATTTGTTAATATTTTACTTAGGATTTCTGCTTCAATATTCACAAATGAGTTTAGTCTATAGATTTATTTTGTGTATGTATGTGTAGTGTTTATTGGGTTTTCAAATCAATGATATAGTCATTTTATTAAAAGGTTATAGAATCTAGCCTGAACAACATAGTGAGATACTTGTCTCTTAAAAATATCTATCTGTTGTTTAAAAGCCTGTTAGAATTCCCCTAAAAAATCATCTGGGCCTGGTGTTTTTTTGGGATTATCTCATTAATATCTTTCTATCTTCCATGGAAACTGATCTTTTAGATTTTCTATCTCTTTTAGGGTCAGTTTTGGTAAGCTGTATAGAACTGTATAACTGAGACATATGATATTTTAGAATATCCTCTGATTCAATGGTTACTCTCCTATTATCATGTTTTTTTTGTTTGTTTTGCTTTTTTTTGTGTGTGTGTGACAGAGTCCTACTCTGTCACCCAGACTGGAATGCAGTGGCATGATCTCAGCTCACTGCAAACTCTACGTCCCGGGCTCAAGTGATTCTCATTTCTCAGCCTCCCAAGTAGCTGGGATTACAGGCACATGCCACCACACCCAGCTAATTTTTGTATTTTTTAGTAGAGATGGGTTTCACTGTGTTGGCCAGGCTGGTCTTGAACAACTAGCCTCAAGTGATCCACCCGCCTCAGCCTCCCAAAGTGCTGGGATTACAGGCATGAGCCACCAGGCCTGGCTCCATTATCATGTTTTAATTTGTGTGTGTCCTCTCTTTTATAATGATTAGATCTATTATTTTGATTATTTAAAAGAATTTTTTTTTAGTTATAAGTTCTATTATGTGCTTTTTAACTCAATTAACTTCGATTTTTTATTACTTTCTTCTCTCCACTTTCATTGGATTTACTTTTTGTTCTTTTTCTGACTTCTGAGATAGATGCTTAATTCATCTATTGTCACACTTTCATGTTTATTTTTATAAATATTCTATGTATTTTCTTTTAACCTTTGCTTTTTAAAGTTTTAATGTTTAATTTTTTGAGATGGGGTCTCACTGTGTTGCCCAGGCTGGTCTCAAACTCCTGGGCTCAAGTGATCCTCCTGCCTCAGCCTCCTGAGTAGCTGGAATTATAGGCACACACCACCACACTCAGCTGAAACCTATGCTTTAACCATATGTCAAGATTCTGATATGTATAATCATTATCTTTGAAAGAAATTATACAATTTCACATCTTTGACTAAAGAGTTGCTTAATAATTTAAAAAATTTCCAGATGGAAAAGACTTCTCACCTTTTAACTTAATTTTATTGCATTGTGATAAAACGATGTTTGCTTTATTTCTACTTAATTGAAATTATTAAAGTTTTCTTGATTACCTCATATATGACTAATTTTCATGTATTTGAAAAGCAAATATATTCTCTTTGATAAGGCTGAAGAGTTCAATATATAGCCATAAGATCTACTTTGGGGTTATGTTGCTTATGTTTTTTATTTCCCCATTTGCCCTGTCTTGAACTGAGGGTGGATCTTAGTCTTCCCTAATTAATGTACTTCCACGTGTTTCTCTTCTTATCACCTGTATTTATACTTTATGAAGGTTGCTGCTGTGTTGATGCATAATTATTAATTATGGTGTGTTATTTGATGCATAATTATTAATAACTTTAATATTTTCACTATGAATTATGGACTTTAGTAGTATAAAGTATCCTTCTTTGTCTCATTAAGGACTTTTTTTCATCCATGAATATTTCAACTTGTCAGATATCAAGTTCACAATACCTGCTTTCTTTATGTGTTTTTGCCTGGTATAATTTTATACTTTCTTTTAATTGTATTTATCTTTGTTTTGGGAATGTCTCTTAGAGTACAAAGTTGGATTTTGTCTTGTAAGCCAATCTGAAAATCTTTTTTCTTCTCATAAGTTAGTTAAGACCATTTACATTTATTGCTACAAATTAAATGCCTGGTCTTAGATATGTTCTATTATTCTATGTTATATTTACTATGCATGTGAAATTTACCATGTGTTTTTCACTCTGTAGTCTGGGTTTTTTTTTCCTTTGCTTCTTTTAATTGAAAAAAATTTTGGTGACTAGAATGATTTGTGTTTTTGTCTTAGTAATTATCATTCCACTAATGTATTTATATAATGCTGACATTTTCTTTACTTAGGCTCCTATGATATGGTTTGTCTGCTTTAAATGAGACATTTGACTCTCACCTATGGTTTATGTGAAATCAGTGAATATATTCAATTTCCCATTTCTTTTTTCTTTTCCCCTCATTTAAAAATTTATGTTGTTTCTACTTTGTCAGAGTACACAACTACAATCTTTTCTTTCACCCTTACCCCCATCTTTGATTTGTTTAAGATCTATAGTTAAAATAGTCAATGCTCGCTACCAGACCAGTCCTTTTAAGTTTCCTCATTCATCTCTTAGTTGGATGAAGTTCAACCTCTAGTGAATGTTGTAGGAAGGACTTATTAGAACAATATACACTGAATTTTTTCATGTTTCAATTTTTTTAAAAAAATTATTTTTCTATGGCTAAGCACATGACAAGATGCTCAACATCATTAGTCATTAGGGAACTACAAATCAAAATCACATGAGATACCACTTCACACGCATAACAATGACTATTTTTTAAAAAACAGAAAATAAGTGCTGCAAGCACGTGTTGAAATTGGAACTCTCATACATTGCTAGTGGGAATGTAAGATGGTTTAATTCCTATGGAAAACAGTTTGGTGGTTCCTCAAAAAGTTAAATATAGAATTGTCACGTGACCCAGAAATTCCATTTCTAGATATATACCCCTAAGAGTTGAAAACAGGTACTTAACCAAATCATTGTACTCAAATTTTCATAGCAGCACTATTCATAATAGCCTAAAGGCAGAAACAACCCAAATGTTCATTAGTGTGTGAATAAACAGATTGTGGTATATTCATACAATGGAATATTATTCAGCCATAAAAAGGAATGAAGTGCTATTACATGCTACAATGTGGATGAACTTTGAAAACGCTATGCTAAGTGAAAGAAACCAGAGGTCATATATTGAATGATTCATGTGTATGAAATTTCTAGAATAGATAAATAGAGAAAAACAGGTAACAGGTTGGTAATTACCAAGGGCCGAAGGGAGAGGAGATAGGCAGTACATGCTTAATGTTTATGGGGTTTCATTTTGAAGTGATGAAAATGTTTTGGAACTAGATAGATACACGTGAAGTTTGCACAACATTGTGAATGAAGTCGATGCCACCAAATTGATTTTAAAAGCTGTTTTAAAATAGTTAATTTTATGTTACCTGAACTTCATAACAAAAATTGTTTTTCTATACTCTTAATATTTGAAGGATAGTTGAGTTAGATAAAAAACTCTTTCTTCACATTTTTTGACAAGATTGTTTCACTACTGTCTTGCTTTGTAAGTTACTCTTGAGGAATCTAATGCTCACCTGATTTTATTTTCTTTATAAATGTCTTGATCTTTTGTCTTTTTATCTTTTCTTAAACTGTAATGTCTAGTAGTAGTTTTAATAGGTTGTTTCAGAGTTGATTGCTTTGAAGCAATTTTCCTACATGGTGGGCCTTTTAAATATATAGGTTCAGGTTTTCTTTTATTTCAGGAAAATTTTCTTGAATTATAGTTTTATATATTAGTTCTATTTCAGTGTTTTTTTCTCTTAAGCATCTCCAATTATATTATGTTTTGTCTGACTACTATATCTATCATTTTCTTACTGATTCTTTCTACCTCTTTCTTTAATTTCATTTTCTTGGCTTTTTTTTTCCCACTTCTATCCACTGTCTTCCTTCTTCCTCAGTCTACTTTTGATCATACTTACTTTCTCTTAAGCACCTTACACTTTAATAATTTCAAGGTTATTTATTTATTTATTTTTGAGGCAGAGTCTCACTCTGTTGTCCAGGCTGGAGTGCAATGGTGTGATCTTGGCTCACTGCAACCTCTGCCTCCTGGGTTCAAGTGATTCTCCTGCCTCAGCCTCTCGAGTAGCTGGGATTACAGGCACCCACCACCACACCTGATTAAATTTTTGTATCTTTAGTAGAGAAGGAGTTTCACCATGTTGGTCAGGCTGGTCTCGAACTCCTGACCTCAGGTGATCCACCCGTGTCAGCCTCCCAAAATGCCGGGATTAAAGGCATGAGCCACCATGCCCGGCCAAGGTTATTTATTTCTTTTTCTTCAGCTTCTTTCCTAAAATCAGTTTCCCACTTTATAAGTTCTAGTTTGTCCATTTCTATTTTGAGTTTTAAAATCCCTGATGTGTTTTTCCCCAGTGCAACTGCTTAATTTTATTTAGTTCATTTTGGAATACTGTGTTACATTTTCTTTTCCATAAGGGCTGGTTTTATTTCTTCTGGAGTTTCTTATCTACTGAAAAGTTTATTTTTATTTTTTAGAGACAGGGTCTTGTTCTGTCACCCAGGCTCCATGGAGTGCAATAGCATGATCATAGCTCACTGCAGCCTCAAACTCCTGGGCTCAAGTGACCCATGTCAGCCTCCTGAGTAGCCTGGACTACAGGCATGTGCTGTCATGCCTGGATAATTTTTTTATTCTTATTTTTGTAGAAATGGGGTCTCATTATGATGCCTAGGCTGGTCTTGAACTCCTGGCCTCAAACAATCCTCCTGCCTTGGTCTCCCAAAGTGCTGGGATTATAGGTATAAACCACAACAACCTGCCAAGTTTTTTTAAACTTAAAAAAAATTGAAGTATAATAAATTCAGAAAAGCAAATAGCTGATAACGCAGAGCTTCTTTCCCCCTGCATTTATTATACCTTACCATTTATCAATCTTCCACCATTAAGAATCTAACACATGACAGGGTTTAATCTCAACACCACTTACCATAAATAATGTCATTCTTTTTTTTTTTTTTGCCATCTGATTAGTGAGTGACCCAGTTTCGAGTCCCATTTTGATGTCTACTTTCTAGGGCTATTCCTGATTATCTACTCTCTTAGCCTGGGCTTCCTGAAAGCAGAGCCTGAAACAAGGGCTTGCATGCAGGTGGCTTATTTGGGAAATGATTCTAGAAAGAGTGAGGGACTGGGAAGAAGAAAACAGAATAGATGGAAAAGCCAACAGGAACCTGTATTACCAAGTTGATCATCTCTGTGAGTGAGTGTGGCTTAATCCTGCTAGACCCTCTGAATAGCTATACAGAATGCACCTCAATTTTCCATTAGAGGATGGAAAGGAAGAGTATTTATCCACTGGCTCCTGGTTTCATGGGTGAAGAGGATCCCTGGGGTGTTTTCTCTGTTGTGTTTGGATAAAGATGGGGAAGGGGGATGTGAGGTAGTGTCCAAGAGGTGTTTCATACTATTTTCTAATGGCTTCCATTGTTGCAGTTAAGAAGTCAGCTCTTGGGCCTGGCACGGTGGCTCATGCCTGTAGTCCCAGCACTTTGGGAGGCCGAGGTGGGTGGATCACCTGAGGTCAGGAGTTCGAGACCAGCCTGACCAACATGGCGAAACCCCGTCTCTACTAAAAAATACAAAAATTAGCTGGGCATGGTGGCAGGTGCCTGTAATCCCAGTTACTCAGGAGTTCAGGCACGAGAATTGCTTGAACCTGGGAAGTGGAGGTTGCTGTGAGCCAAGATTGTGCCACTGTGCTCCAGCCTGGGCGACAGAGCAAGATTCCATCTCAAAAACAAAAAACAAAAAACAAAAAAAAAACCCAGAAATTTCCACCTGGATCTTTAAAAAAATAATGTCCAATTTGATGTAAAATTTCTGAAGTTTGTCTTTGAATTCCATAAACATATCAAACATATCAAACAAAACATTGTTATTTTGAAGTTCATAGACAATGACTATTATCTGAATTACTAACGGATGTTTCACTTGTCTGTTATCTTAGTCTTCATTCATGTGATCTTGTCTCCTTATGTGCCTAGTTATAGTTAAAATGTGTAGCAAACATCATACATTAGTGTAGTGAGAATTTGAAGGCCTGGATATCTTCTTCTAGAGGAGATTTGTCTTTGCTTCTGACAGATGGCTAGGCTAGTTGTTCTAGCAGTCTCAGATCACCTTAATCCATTCAGAGATTGAGAAGGTTCAGAACAGGGCTTCAGTGTCAGTGAGTGCTAGTCTATTTCCTATTCACCGTTATTCTCACGGTTTAGCCTTTCAAAGTCACAACTTAAAGCCTGGGCGGTTTACTGGGGTCTCCACCTTTGGTGTGCCTTAAATTCCAATCTTGTCCCTCAAAGTCCCATGAGTCTGTGGAAAGCTCTATTCAGCTTCTCTCACCCTTGCTTTCAGATTGGCAGAGCCTCAAAGGGAAAATCAGCCTAAGTATCTGGCTCACCCTCTGGGCTTTCTTTGTTCCTAGATCTTGTTCCTGCAATTTACTACTGACTTAAATAGCTTGTGGGCATTCACACCGTTCTATATATAATGTGTATTCTGGTTCTTCTAGTTGTTTTCAACAGGAAAGCTGGTTCAAACCATCACATTTACCATTACTGAGGGAGAGCTCCAAACTGCTGAAAAGGTTTTTCTTTCTTTTTAAAAAGAAACATGGACTAATTTATTGTAGAAATTGTGAGACATTGGGAACAACGGTACATTTCAAAAACATTGCTTAAAAAATTGAGTGAAAAAAGGCCGGGTGTGGTGGCTCATGCCTGTAATCCTAGCACTTCGGGAGGCCGAGGCAGGCAGATGACCTGAGGTCAGAAGTTCAAGACCAGCCTGGGCAAGATGGTCAAACCCTGTCTCTACTAAAAATACAAAAATTAGCTGGGTGTGGTGGTGCATGCTTGTAGTCCCAGTTACTTGGGAGGCCAAGGCATGAGAATCGCTTGAACCCAGGTGGCAGAGGTTGCAGTCAGCTGAGATTGCGCCGCTGCACTCCGCACTCCAGCCTGGGCGACACAGTGAGACTGTCTCAAAACCAAGAATGAAAAAATGCAAGTTGTATAAATAATGCCTACAGCCTGACATTTATATAAATAAAAAACAAAACAATTCTATGAATATTCTGTGGGTACATGTATATACACAGAATGGTAAACTCTTGGTGGGGAGCAGATCTGGATTAAGGGTGGTATTATTCAAGGGGATTTTAACCATCTGCATTATTCTGATTTTTAGTGAAAACAGGGTCATGTATTACTTGCTATTTTCTTTTATTAAAAACATCATTATTATTAGAGACAGAGTCTCACTATGTTGCCCAGAGTGCAATACAATGGCTAGTAACAGGTGTGATCATAGTGCACTACAGCTTTGAACTTCTGGGCTCCAGTGATCTTCCTGCCTTAAACTTCTGGGCTTCAGTGATCTTCCTGCCTCAGCCCCCCAGTAGCTGGGAATACAAGTGCATGTGCCTAGCTACTTGTGTTATTTTAAAAAATGTTACTTGCACATAAGAAAAAGACAGGAAGCAAGCATGCCAGATGTTAATGACTAATTCTGGATGGTGGGGTTATGGGGGTAACTTTTTTTTCTTTTTCTTTCTTTTTTTTTTTTAAGATGGAGTCTCAGTCTGTCTCCCAGGCTGGAGTGTAGTGGTGTGATCTCAGCTCACTGCAACCTCCGCCTCCCAAGTTCAAGTGATTCTCCTGCCTCAGCCTCCCGAGTAGCTAGGATTACAGGCATGTGTCACCATGCCTGGCTAATTTTTGTATTTTTAGTAGAGATGAGGTTTTACCATGTTGACCAGGTTGGTCTCAAACTCCTGACCTCAGGTTATCCGCCTGCCTCAGCCTTCCAAAGTGTTGGGATTACAGGCATGAGCCACTGCACCCAGCCAATTTTCTTACATAGCTTTATTGAAATATAACTGACAACTGCTGAAAAGTTTTGACCTTCGTTTTGTTTTCTTACAGAATATGGATGTAGGATTCTCTTTTTATTGAAACTTATTTGTTTTGGATTTTTCTGGACCAGGTCAGATATCACATGGGTGATGGAGGGATTTGGGTGGCTTACAAGTTTCTTTGTTTCTTTTTTTGACAGAGCCTTGCTGCATTGCCCAGGCTGGAGTGCAATGGTACGATCTCCGCTCACTGCAACCTCCACCTCCTGGGTTCAAGCAATTCTCCTGCCTCAGCTTCCCAAGTAGCTGGGATTATGGGTACCTACCACCATGCCCAGCTAATGCTTTGTATTTTTAGTGGAGATGGGGTTTTGCCATGTTGGCCAGTCTGGTCTTGAACTCCTGACCTCAGGTGATCCACCTGCCTCAGCCTCCCAAAGTGCTGGGATTACAGGTGTGAGGCACCTCCCCTGGCCAAGAGGCTTACAAGTTTCTTAGCTCAACAGTGTCCTCTGCTGTTGTTAGTAAAGGGCCATTTCCTTTAATAAAAAATTGTATTTATTTTATTATTTATTTACTTTTAAAAATAGGTTTATGGGGGAACAAGTGGTATTTGGTTACTTGAATAAGTTATTTAGTGGTGATTTCTGAGATTTTGGTACACCCATCACCCAAGCATTTTACACTGTGCCCAATGTGTAATCTTTTATCAATCACCCACCTCCCACCCTGATATGGTCTGGCTCTGTGTCCTCACCCAAATCTCATCTTTAATTGTAATCCAAATTGTAATCCCCATGTGTTGAGGGAGGGACCTCGTGAGAGGTGATCAGATTATGCAGACTGTTCCTCCATGCTGTTCTCATGATAATGTTTGAGTCTCGTGGAATCTGATGGTTTTATAAGGGGCTTTCCCCTCTTCATTCTGCACTTCTATTTCCTGCTGCCATGTGAAGAATGTTTGCTTTCCCTTCTGCCATGATTATAAGTTTCCTGAGGCCTCCCCAGCCATGAGGAACTGTGATTCTATTAAACCTCTTTCCTTTATAAATTACCCAGTCTCAGGTATTTCTTCATAGCAGTGTGATAACATACACCCTTTCTCCTGAGTCCCCAAAGTCCATTACATCATTCTTATGCCTTTACATCCTCATAGCTTAGCTCCCACTTATGAGTGAGAACATACAATGTTGGGTTTTCCATTCCTGAGTTACTTCAGTTAAAATAATGGTCTCTAATTCCATCCAGGTTGCTGTGAATGCCAATATCTCATTCCTCTTTATGGCTAAATAGTATTCCATGGTGTACACATACAATACAGGCACACACACATACACACACACACACCCCACAATTTCTTTATCCACTCCTTAATTGATCGGCATTCGGGCTGGTTCCATATTTTCACAATTGTGAATTGTGCTGCTATCTTGTGAATTGTGTGTGTACAAGTATCTTTTTCCTATAATGGGTTCTTTTTCTCTGGGTGGATACCCAGTAGTGCAACTGGTGGATCAAATGGTAGTTCTATTTTTAGTTCTTTAAGGATTCTCCATACTGTTTTCCATAGTGGTTGTATTAGTTTACATTCCCATCTGCAGTTTAAAAGTGGTCCTTTTTCCACCACATCCATAGCAACAGCTATTATTTTTTGATCATGGCCATTTTTGTAGGAGTAGGGTGGCACTGCATTGTGGTTTTGATTTGCATTTCCCTGATTATTAGTGATGTTGAGATTTTTTCATAGGTTTGTTGGCCATTTGTACATTTTCTTTTGAGAATTGTCTATTCATGTCGTTAGCCCACTTTTTGATGGGATTGTGTTTTTCTTGCTGATTTGAGTTCCTTGTAGATTCTGGATATTAGTCCTTTGTTAGATGTATAGATTGCGAAGATTTTCTCCCACTCTAGGGGTTGTCTGTTTACTCTGCTGACTGTTCCTTTCGCCATGCAAAAGCTCTTTAGTTTAAGTCTCACCTATTTATCTTTGTTTTGTTGTGTTTGCTTTTGGGTTCTTGGTCATGAAGTCTTTGCTTAAGCCAACAGCTAGAAGGGTTTTTCCCAATGTTATATTCTAGAATCTTTATTGTTTCAGGTCTTAAAGTCTTTGATCCATCTTGAGTTAATTATTTGTATAAGGTGAGAGATGACGATCCAGTTTAATTCTTCTACATGTGTTTTGCCAATTATCCCAGCACCATTTGTTGAATAGTGTCCTTTCCCCACTTTGTTTTTGTTTGCATTGTCGAAGATCAGTTGGCTGTAAGTATTTGGCTTCATTTCTGGGTTCTCTATTCTGTTCCACTGGTCTATGTGCCTATTTTTATACAAGTACCATGCTGTTTTGGTGACTATGGCCTTATAGTATAGTTTGAAGTCACGTAATATGATGCTTCCAGATTTGTTCTTTTTGCTTAGTCTTGCTTTGGCTATGTGGGCTCTTTTTTGGTTCCGTATGAATTTTAGGATTGTTTTTTCTACTTCTGTGAAGAATGATGGTGATGTTTTGATGGGAATTGCATTCAATTTGTAGATTGCTTTTAGCAGTATGGTCATTTTCACAACATTGATTCTGCCCATCCTTGAGCATGGGATGTGTTTCCATTACTTTGTGTTGTCTATGATTTCTTTCACCAGTGTTTTGTAGTTTTCCTTGTAGAGGTCTTTCACTTCCTTGGTTAGGTGTACTCCTAAGTATTTTATATTTTTTTGTAGCTCTTGTAAAAGGGGTTGAGTTCTTGATTTGATTCTCAGCTTGGTCACTGTTGGTGTATGGCAGACCTACTGATTTGTGTACATTAATTTTGTATCCTAAAACTTGCTGAATTCATTTATCAATTCCAGGAACTTTTTGGAGAAACCTTTAGGGTTTTCTAGGCCTATGATCATATCATCAACAAATAGTAACAGTTTGACTTCCTCTTGACCAATTTGGAGCCCTTTATTTCTTTCTCTTGTCTGATTGCTCTGCCTAGGGCCATTTTCTTAATAAATGGCCTTTTATTGATATTGATACCACTTGATATTGTCTTGTTGCACTGGGGCCCATAGTTTCAGGTGGTTCCTTCTTTCATTTCACTACCATGTCTCCAAGAGATAGATTCACCTTCTAAAATGCCCCCTTTTTCTTCCAGAAGTGCCTTTCCAAAGCTGCCACCTCTGGTCCTAATCTATCTTTCAATCCCCTTCCTTTTACTTCCCCTGTAGCTAATGCTCTGGTCCACCAGCCCTCAGATCAGTTCTCAGTATTTCCCCACTCAGAGTGGCCCTTCTCCTTCTGTGGGCACCTTAGTTGATATTATTTGTGTTCTGCCATAACTAGAATGCTGCCACACTCTCCCCTTATGCTCAATCCTTACCTTGCCTCCCCATCTGGTGTGGGCTTCTGAGCTGATGTGTATTTCCCCCACTTACACATAACGCTTATAGAATTTTGTCTCCTAGTTATGTTGTAGGAGAGGGCTATTTCTTGTCCTATTAGGACCCAGAATAGTAATAATACATCCATAAATATATATAATTTTTATCAACTAAGAATATAAAACACAAATATTTTTAACTTTTAGGCATGATTGTTTTAGCTATCCTCTTTTGCTATTGATTTCTAATTTTGTTGCATTTTGCTTAGAGAAATATATATTGTAAGATTTCAATTCTTTGGAAATTGAGACTTCCTCTGTGGCTGAATACATAGTTGATTTTTTCTTTCCATGTTCCATGTGCATCCCATATTCATTTTAGTAATCATGTTAAGCAAATCTAGACTTTTTCTTACATTTTTGATCTGCCACTGACAGTGAAAAGCTATTACTAAAATGGATGTAGCCGTAGTATTTTTCCATAGTTCTGTCAGTTGTTGCTTCATGTATTTTGAGGCTATACTGTTTGGTGTATATAAGTTTACATCCATATATCTTTAACTTGTTCTTCCCTCTAACAGCATAAAATATCCTTCTTTGTCACTTTTTTTGACCTTGAGTTTTGTCTGACATTAAAATGGTTACCCTGTCTTAATCTTTACATAGTCAATATGCCTTTGCTTTAAAGCTGTCTTTCCTCTCTGTTAGTAAAGTCTTCCCAACCTCTAGGTTGTATGTACAGTCTCTTACATTTTCTTCTAAAATTTCTCTTTTTTTTCCACCAACCTGATGAACAAAATTAAAAAATAAGTAAAAAATTTCTCTTATTTTCATTGTCGTTAATGATGATATGTGTAACTATGACAAAACATTTGCATCAAATCTAGCTGGATTTTAATGACATATATCCTTGAATTTTTAAAAAACTTCCTTATGCTTCAGTTCCTTACCAGTGATTCCTGAGAGCTTTCTGAGTTCCAGCCTCTGTTACTTCACTATAAAAACGTATAAGAAGCAAAGATACAAAAATTAGCTTGCTGTTTCCTCAGTTTCATAATGGCTAAGAGTGCCCCTGTCATGTTAAATTAAGACAAATCTTAACACAAAGGAACGTTTTGGGAAGGCCACTGGTCACAGATGTCGGTATCTCAAGAAGTGGCTGTCTCACCAAGAAAAGAAACAGTAAAGAGAAAGGAAAAAAACAGCAAAGAGGAAGGAAAAAAAATGTGCTTTGACTAGATAAAAATAAGCAGGAGAATAGACAGATGGGAGGAGATGTTCAGTTGAATATAGATGTGAACAAATTAGATAGTAGGAATATAAAAATCAAGATGTTAAATTTTATTTAAAAAGAAAACAAATGGTGCACAGTGAAGACAGAGGTAATGCTGTTCTAGGGATGAAAAAGGTGACTCTCAATAGAGTGAGAAGAGGCAAAAAGCAGAAAAGTCAAACAGCATCTACCTCAGAAAACAGGTCATGATCGAAGTCTAAGAGTACCAGATTGCACTTCCAAAAGCCTGAAGGAAAAACATAGCTTGATATATTAGTGAATGTCATATGGAAAATGAAAGGGCAAGAACAAAAGGTATAAGAATACCAGTAATATGGGTCCAATTTTCCAGGCGGTCAGGCTGGAGGGTGCAGTCCACTGGTGGCACTTTGAAATGGAAGTGAAAATTCTACCTTGTAAGATAAAAGAGATTAGGATGAGGAGATGTTTTCTAATTCTATATTT
Source organism: Homo sapiens (assembly GCF_000001405.40). Taxonomy (NCBI): domain Eukaryota; kingdom Metazoa; phylum Chordata; class Mammalia; order Primates; family Hominidae; genus Homo; species Homo sapiens. The sequence goes on from NC_000016.10 coordinate 53,598,571, forward strand.
TTAGTTTTAAAAACACTTGTTTCTCTTGCTTTGATATTTTCTAGCTTTCTGGTTGACCTAGAGGTTGTTTTTGTTCTGAACAAAGGGGATGTAAATCTGTTTGTTCCCATTCATGGATTTAATTAGGCATGTTGCCCAATCTCTAATAAATCACGGGTTTAGTTTTTCTTTGTTAAGGTAGTCAGAGGCCTTCAGGCATGAGTGACTTATTAAAATGTACTCTGATAGTTGGGGATGAATTATCATCCTGATATTGTCAATCACTTGATAATTTTTATCCCAAAATCTCTCTCCTGGTTGTTTTGTCCTACACAAAGATGACATTTTATTCTCATATTTGTTCACAGACATGATTCACATTTTTCTATCTAGTGCATAAGGAAATCATTCTACATTCAGCAATAGTGCCAGTTTGACTAAAAAAAAAATTTTCCATATCCACAAAAATGTTAATCAGATTCTTGTTAGAACATGTGTAAGAACTGGTTTTCATTTTCACAGCTCTTGATGTCAGATTACTAAAATAATTTATGTTTTGTTGTGGGAACATGAGTGCACGCAAAACCTCTCCAATCACATGACCACTTCTCAGCCCACATGTCTTCATAACACATAGAAATTATTTGTGTTTTGTGGTAACGAATGAATGGCAGGAACAGCAGAATTTCAGTGTGGCCTTTCTTTATTTGATTAAACATATTCTTTATGTATTTTTAAAAAAACTAATTTAAGTTAAATGGCAGTAAACCATGATAATTTAGAAAACATGGTGAAACTGAGAGTGAAGAGAAATGTTCTTTACGTAAACCACACTGTAAACCATAAAACTTATTTTTGTCAACTGCTTTTCATGACAGTGGCTGGGAATTTGACATTTCTACTACAGTAGGCAAAAATACATGTAAAATACACTCTCCCACATACCACATCACATCTCTATTTGTATTTCCAAACTAAAAGCATTACAGCCCAAAAAAGTGCTGCGTGCACTGGTCTAGTTACACCAAGAAGTGTATGTTCACACCAGCAACACCTTAAGCTGGTATCTGTGTGGCAAGGCCACTGCTGGTGGCCCCTGACGCCAAGCCCTCTTCAATGGATCCAGTTTGGCTCACCAAGAGAAATCCACTGCTCTTTAACCCAAAAGGTGGTAAGCTTTTCAATGGCCTCCAGTTACCACAAGATAAAACAAACAAAATTCTCAAACAGATTATGAAACCCAACTGAAGTATCCACATGACAGCGTTCAATACTACCTCGCCACTTCAAAATGTGTCAGCAGCAATTAGCTATGAAAATGAGTGTTGTGAAAATTCGCAATAGTTTGAAACTGAATATTTTAAAACTAGATATCTTTAATATGACAGTAAACAATGTGACAGAAACATGGCTGTTTCTCTCATCTTGTCTGAGATATACATTCCATACAGGTGACTGGGTCCCATAAGTTTTCTAAGAAAAACTTTTCCTTTCCACTTAATGATCCTAAGAAGTCAGTGCAATCTGGTTCTTCTCCCTGCAGAAGGGTTATTTAGTTTGGGATGTAACATTTTACAACAATAATACAAACCTCCTGGGAGAATACCACAATAAATGTCTCAAAAACCACTCAGTTAATCCCAGGGTATAATCTGGCTGTTTTAAATTACTGCAGGGAATATTATGGGCCTTAATGACACTGTAACTGCATAAAGCCAAAGAAAGCTAGAAAAAGGGGCCAAAAAAATGAGCTCAGAGCCAGCCGAAGTGACAACAAACATGTGGTTGTTTACTAGGACTGGAGAGGTTTAGTCTGCAGATGTTTGTGGTCTCCAGAAGGTTCCAGAGGAACGAGTTGTTATGAAGATTTGCAGAGTTGGATGAGAGCAAGATTCTTCTCGGAGATGGCAGGCCCCAGGACAGGGAGGCCCAGTGGTATAGACAGAATTTATAGATTTCTGTGGTCAGATCATACTCTACTGGTCCCACAATGTACATCAACAAATTAATATTGTACGGATGTCATTTCAAAGCCTTCTAAAGACGAGAGTCATTATTGAAGCCATTAGAGCACAGATGGTTCAAACTATATGCAGATATTCATACTTGCATTTTTGCATTATAGCTGCTTTTTTTTTCTATTGAACTGTAATGAATTGTCTCATAATCTATTCCATCTTCTTGCCATTAGCAGGCTTTGAATGTTCACAAATAGGAGCAAAGAACTCATTTTCCAGAGCTTTAATCACACAAAGAGGGAATGCCTAATTCTCTAAATGAAATGGTCTGTGATCACTGAAGCAGAGATTTAATATATCACGGCAAATTAGGTAGATTTTAATAAATTACTTATCTCCCTGAATACTTTACATATGCTTAAGAAGGAACATAGCCTGTTTGCAAACAGTGAAAACCCACAGCCTATAAAAATCCTTTGAAGAAAATGACAAATAAAAAAGTAAATTAAAAAATGAAATGCATTATATCCTAGACCTCTAGAGACAATTCCTTTGCAGCATTGATTCACAGCTCCATTAAAAATATCAATTAAATCCTTCAGTGAGATTGGGTAAAAGCTAGAAAATTAACTTTCAGAGCTGCTTTTCGAGGATCTGGTTACCCAGATACACCCTGGCACTGTACTGGCTTGATGTAAATTTAAAAAATGATAAAAAGATACTCCTTTCACGTCTAACTAAGCATATCAGAATTTGAGTTATACTTTTCATAATTTCTTTCTGTGTCATATACTAAGTTTTCAACGTGTAAATTTCACATCTATCTATATAACTATCTCCTTTTTATATATACATCCCTGGGTCACCATTACAAATGTATGAAAATAATACAAATAGAATGAACTTTTAAGAAAGAAAGACAAAAAACTTGCAGTCATTGAATAAGTTGGTGCTAAGTTTCATTCTTTATATTTAATTGATAGAAACTGCATGCATCAAAGAAAATGCATACTGAGCTTTAATGTGCATAAAATGGATATTAGCATTTTAAAGAGGAAGATTAACACATTAATCCAAGTAATTTTCATATATTGCTTCTAATAAAATCTTCACAGTATAAAACTCTTAATGAAGCTAATCATAGGCATTCCATTTAGTGGGACGATTAGGGATAACATAAAAGTATTTCTTTTTCATAGGTTTTCTAAGATTTATGCTTTTGCTTATTAAAAATAAAAATGGGAATTGCATTTCGGTTCTTCCTAAGAAAATGTTGAAAATGCAAATAGACTTTCTCACGCTATCACGTAGGTATAAATTATTGAGAAGGTACTGCCCATTATGGAGAACTTAAGTCCTGAGGGGTGGCAGTTATGAGAAGGAGGGAATAGAGAAATAAACAAATGAAAAAGTATACAAAACTTCAACACTTCAAACCCAGGTCTCCCCGCTCCCAGCTTCCCATGAATTATAGATTATATACACCAGAGTAATTACAAAAATCTCATGTAGGAACTTTCATGTGAGCATTTACTGAGGAGTAGGAGATGCCTCTGGAGCATTTGCTTTCAAGCCTCCAAGTCATCTCTGTATTGCTTGTAGACAGACTGGAGGGCATGGAGAGCTTCGACTGTTACCCTGAGCTTGCCAATACCTTCACCATCTGCTCGTGCATCAAAAACTAGGGAGAAAAGAGCAGGAAAGTGTTAATATCATTCAACAGATTTTTCTTTGGAAAGGCTCGCAGACAGAAACAGTAGTTGAAAAGATGAAAATAGTTCTACAGAAGTCCAAAGTTCACTGGCATCTTGGGTATCTAAAGAATAAACCTTGTCACGTGTGCATGGAGATGTGCATTTGAGACGTACCGCATGGACCTGTACATATTGTTTGTGGAGCTAAAACTAATAAGCTAATCCTGAAGTTTACCTAGTGAAAGCGTCTAGGATAATGACCCTCACACACAATCAGAATTTTTAAGCTACTGGACGGGCATGGTGGCTCATGCCTGTAATCTCAGCACTTTGGGAGGCCGAGGTGAGGTGATCACCTGAGGTTGAGAGTTTGAAACTAGCCTGACCAACATGGAGAAACCCTGTCTCTACTAAAAATACAAAATTAGCCGAGCATGGTGGTGCATGCCTGTAGTCCCAGCTACTCAGAGGCTGAGGCAGGAGAATCGCCTGAACTCGGGAGGTGGAGGTTGCGGTGAGCCGAGATCATGCCACTGCACGCCAGCCTGAGAGACAAGAGCGAGACTCCTCAAAGAAAAAAAAAAAAAAGAATTTTTAAGCTAGTAAGGAGTAAGTCTAAAGGGAATTTATGATAATCTATACAGTGTTTCAGAATGGCAAACCACTGTACAGATGTTACATGATCATAGCTTGAATTAGTTATTTAACTTTCTGAGGAAAACATTTCATTTAAAATAGATTTTATGTGAAATTAGAAAAGATTAAAATGGCAGACCCAAGAATCTTAAGATCTGTGGGTTTGAGTATATGTAGGATTTTCTTGGAAGAGGGACCACTACTTTCAGTGGTGTCCCAAAGGTAGATCTTGGGCTCAAGTGATTCCCCCACTGTGGCCTCCCCAAGTGTTAGGATTAGAGGCCTGAGCCACTGCACCCAGCCCCGAAGGTAGACTATTTGGCTGGAGCCATGGGCATTCTCTGAGCTCAGTGGTGGAAGCCAAATGGGATGCCGATTCAATACCTGAGACTCCATCCCTCTGTGGACAATGATAATGGCTAGTGACTCAAGGCCAGAAACCTGGATTTTTGTAAGTCTGATAGCACTTATCACTTATGAGTCTTCATATAGTTTCTGTTTTTTTCTTTTAGACAGTATCTGGCTCTGTCACCCAGGCTGGAGTGCAGTGGTGCAATCTGGGCTCGCTGAAACCTCTGCCTCCAAGGGTCAAGCCAACCACCCATCTTAGCCTCCTGAGTAGCTGGGACTACAGTTGGGCACCATCATGCCCAGCTAACTTATATATTTTCTTGTAGAGATGGGGTTTCACCATGTTGCCCAGGTTGGTCTTAAAACTCCTGAGCTCAAGCAGTCCACCTGCCTTGGTCTCCCAAAGTGCTGGGATTACAGGTGTAAGCCACCACACCTGGCTTAGTTTCCAATTTATAATTCCTTATGGTTTTCCTTGAACTTTAATGTGTGTGTGTGTGTGTGTGTGTGTGTGTGTGTGTTTAATTCCAAGAAAATTTGTTAGAAAGCCTTAAAACTTGATACACAAAGAGTTAGGTGCAGAAACTGAGCATTGGGTAAGTGAAAATGGCATGAGTGGTCCCCAGCTCATTCCCTGGAGCTGTCATCTCTGCTTTGGGACTTCTCACTTCTATGGTTGCTGCAGAACAAAGCATTAAAATCCCAACCTCACTTATACCTAATCTTTTGGCTCTTTCCCAAAACATGGCCACAATAGCTGATTATGTCAGATCAGTGGGTCATATGCGGTCTCTCAGAAGAAGATGGGTTGCTAAACAGCCATTTGGAAAAAATACGAAGAATATAAAGCAAAGATAATTTTGGTATTTTTGTCAGACTTTCTTGGTCCTGGTAGTCTTTAAAAGGGTTCAGGTTAATATTTCAATCCTCTCATCTTTTTCTCTGTGCCAAAGTTGTGACCAACTGCCACGTGGTTAGAAATGTATAGTTTATAAAGATTTCCCAGAAGAAGTTTTTAATTTGGTTATTTGGTCTAATTTGGTTAATTATCTGGCTTGAGCCTGACTTTTCAGCACTTGACACATACCTAGGACAAGCAGCTTGACAATGAACCAGGGCTGAACTACAGCGTAAGCAGAATGCCTGGCACATAAGAGGTGCTCCCTTCAGTGTTTGTTGAATGCACAAGTGAATATGTAAACAAGTCATGCACATTTTTCCAAAGATGGCTCTGCTAACTTAACAAATGGGACTAGGAATCAGCCTTATTTCTCTATTTACTACATAAAGCCTAGGCCATCCCTGATTATGATTTTTAAAAGTCTGATTAATAAAACAATTTAGCACGTTCTAAATACAGAAGAATAGAGAGTAGAAATTAAGCATTGTTGGGAATCACAACTAGTAAGTTAAAAATCCAGGACAGCACATTTGTCAGGAACAGATCAAATGTCATTACTCCTCACAAAATCCTGGTGGGAAATAAAGGATCAAAGCTACTTCCTTGCTTTGACTGTATCACTACATTGCAACACTGAATTAAAGAGAAGCCTTGAGAAAGACATTATCAGGATCACTCAGAATAACATGCTTAAGGTTAAGTACCTTAACAGAAATAAGGCTTCCATAAACATTAACAGAATAACATCCTGAAGGTTAAGTCTTAGCTGAAATGTGGCTTCCATAAACAACCCTAGAAAAACATGTGGCCAGGCGTGGTGGCTCACGCCTGTAGTCCGGGCATTTTGGGAGGCCTAGGTGGGCAGATCACTTGAGCCCAGGAGTTCGAGACCAGCCTGGGCAACATGATGAAACCCTGTCTCTATAAAAAATACCAAAAAAATTAGCCGGGCATGGTGATGCACGCCTGTAGTCCCAGATACCTGGGAGGCTGAGGTGGGAGAATTGCTTGAGCCTAGGAAGTCGAGGCTGCAGTGAGCCAAGACTGCACTCCAACTTGGGTGACAGAGCAAAACTCTGTCTCAGAAAAAAAAAAAATCCAATGGCCAACTTTTTTTCACGCCTTCACTCAATACTAACAAATGAATAATTCCTTGTGAAGCTAAATTAATTATTTTACAATTGCTGTTGATTCAAAGGAAAGCAGGGGGGAGGACAGGAAAAGGATATAGGAAGACGCTTCAGCTTCACCAAAGCGTCAACTTGAGTTGTAAAGGATTCAAGTAACGTGTGACTCAGCACCCTTGGAGCCAGCAAAAAGAAGGTTTTAATAAAGAGTTTGGAGTTCAGCAATTGTTGGTTGCACAAACTGAGCAACACTTTCACCCATACCATCGATATTTTGCTCAATGAGGTCCCTCCCTTCCTGAAACATGTCGGCAAGGTCGACGTGAGCCACGCCAATGTCCTCACACTCCAGGTCCTGCTCGTCCTCTGGAGGGTCACTGACCACGGTGAAGCGAAGGCTGGTAAGGCAGAGATCAGAGAAAGTCACCACCAAGTGAGAAGAAATCACCACGAGACAAAACTCCCAAATGGGGTGTTATCACTAGGTATAAAATGTTAAAGTTTCCAATTATCCCAATAAAAAGAAAGGTACACTAGGCTAGATAAGTTATTATATGAACTATTAGAATTGTTATAAAACACCCAACCTTCAAATGAACACTAATCCACTTTCTAAGCACTGATTAACATTTATCTCTATAATCTGAGAAAATTACTAGGCAAAGAGAAGGACCAGATGTTCACTCAATTACATACTATCTGATTATATTTTGACACCTCTACTTTTAAGGCTAAAAGGATGAAGTGAATAAAGACCATGGAGGTTAAATGGTCAGCATTTTCCATAGAAACGTAACATTTCCTATAGAAACACACAACTCTGGAGTTGCTACTAAGGAATTTAACAAAACTGTATGTGTTCTACAAAATGCAGAGATCATGCTCCCAGGGTAACATTTTGAATCATGTTAGATAAATGTTGTAACTCTGCCCAACAGCTATATCAAATGTTTGTATTACTTGAGCAATCTTTAACTTACAATCATAGCATCCAAGTTTTATTTTACTTTAAGACATATAATTGTAGGGTTCTGATGGAACTGATTTGAATTAGTGGCTTGTGCGGAGGCCAAATGCACTTGGATTGACCAAATGACAGGAATTTACAGTTAAGTACTCTTTTGATATGTCTTGGCAGCATAGCTTAAACCATAGATGCTTGTAAACTTTACCATTTTAAACTTTTCAAAATGTATCCATCCCAAATCAGAAACAAAACAAGAAACATAAAAATCTACATCTCTGAGAAATCATGCCTTGAAAAACACAAATAAAATCCTTTCCAAATGCTTATAGGTAAACATGACAATACATTTAACCAACTTGCTGAAAGTAAGTATTCTATATTGAATTCCTTTACTAAGTCTCTGTTTTTAGCTAGCAATAAGAATTTTTTTGTTTGTTGTGTTTTTTTTGAGATGGAGTCTCGCTCTGTCACCCAGGCTGGAGTGAAGTGGCGCAATCTTGGCTCACTGCAACCTCTGCCTCCTGGGTTCAAGCAATTCTCCTGCCTCAGCCTCCCGAGTAGCTGGGATTACAGGTGCCCGCCACCACATCTGGCTAATTTTTGTATTTTTAGTAGAGATGAGGTTTCACTACGTTGGCCAGGCTGGTCTCCAACTCCTGATTTCAGGTGATCTGCCCACCTCGGCCTCCCAAAGTAATGGGATTACAGGCGTGAGTCACTGCGCCCAGCCTGCAATAAATTTTTATTAGAAAATAGAAATCCTTTAGGTCAAAATCAAAGTTAACGCCTACTCACAAAATAATTATAAAGAGTACAGATCTTGGCCTTCAAGGTGGTACGAAGGAATTTTTATAACATGTATAAGATGGAGGGATTAAGATGGAGTGGTTAAGGGCATTCATTCTGGGCTCAAATTCCTGCTTTCCTACTGCTTAGCTGTGTGACCTTAGACAAGTTACTTTAACCTCTCTCATCTCAGTTTCCTTACCAGTGGAATGGGGATAATTATACTTATCTTACAGGGCTCTTGTGAAGATCAAATGAGATGATACAAGTGAACAGTTGCCTGGAACACAGTAAGCACTGAGTAAATGTTTGCTCTTCTTTTTAGTAGTATTTTTAATATAGATAGAGTTGCTTATGCTTCTACATTTCTAAGGGGAGAGAAAAACTTGGCATCGGAAAAGCTTGTTTCAATTGAAAATTTAGTTAGATTCCCAAATTATACATTGACTATATCATTCAATTAAGTAAGAGGAATGATTATGAAAGAAGTTTTCCTAAAATGAATTAGGAAAAGAGGAAGAATTAAAACTGCTTGGAAGAGGAGGAATTAAAAGTAACATATAATGCACATATTATAACACAAGACTTACAGAAAAGACTGAGGCTATGCAGACTGTAATAATAATGTTAAGTGTTATCTTCATACAGTGTCTCATATCTAAGGATCATGTCTGTATCACTTTACAAATGCAGACAATTACCTCCACTGAATATATGAGAATTCTGTGGCAAAAGAAAGCCTTCTAAATGCCAGAGAAAGAACTCGAAATTTAAAAATGCAATATTTCTGGCTTTAAATTCTATATAGAGAAAAATGAGATGTCAAAAACAAAATTAAGAAACCAGAAAGTTAAGCTGAAAAGGGAGGAAAAGTACACTAAAATCATTTAAGAATTAAAAGTAATTTTTAAAAAATAACGAAAAGACACACACACAAATCTTTTATCTTACTTTCAACACTGCCAAAACAAAAAGGCCAACTTTGTCCCATGTCTGGAAGAACGCTTACAGTCTAGTCTGAGGACCTGGATGGACACAGGGGGCAGATGTCAAGCACTCAGGTGGAAGGAAGAACAGGAAGTGCTACCTGAGCTACTCCTGCCTCCTCTTCCCACCTCTTTCTCCTGCCACTCTCTACTTCTCAGTGAGACCAGCCTTGCTAACCACCTCTGCCTGGTCCTGGAACACATCTCTCTATACTCCTTCATGCCTGGAGTTCCCTTTGCCCGAAATGATCTTCTCTGAGCTTTTTGTGACTTGACTGAGTCCTCTTATCCTTCATGAACCAGCTTACGTGTCACCTCCTCAGATTCACTACTGAGGATTCACTGAATTTGATTCAGCTTTCACTGTTACTTTCTATTTTGGCATTTAACTTTTTGATTTTCTCTTAGTCTTTGTAGATGTAATTCATTTATCTGTCTATTATCATCATCTGTCTTCCTCAGGGGTGGATCTGTTCAACAGAACACTGTTAACAAGAAAAAACTGAATCCAAAAAAGGACCTTAAGTCAGTGTTAAACTATGACTTCAAATAAATACTGTTTGAAGGCACATTTCAATATGTTACCTCCCTTTTAAAGTGACACGTGTATATTTGCAAATATAGCATGGGGTGGCATGCAAAGGTACTATATATAATTTATTATACAATGTCTATAACTTTAGACATGTCGGGGAAGATACATCAAACTTCTCTAACTGTCGCTTTGTAGGTTATCACCAATATTCAACAGGGTTGCTGTCTGAGAAAATGGATTCTCATAAACTAGGAGCTACTTTAAATAATGTGACCTCTGAGTATTTAAAAAAGGTGAGAACATTTGCTGGAATAACAATTGGCTTTTGGCTGTGGAAAAACATACATGTAAACGCCTCTTTCCCTTAGGACAATGATACTGTTGAGGGAGAACAGTCAATGGGGCCATCCACTCCCATGGTTGTTCGAGGAGTGCATGGCCAGCACTGAAACACTCATCCATGGTTGGAAGCCCTGAGCCAGTCACTTGGCACCTGCAATACCTCTCTATCTTTCTCAAAAATGACATGAACATTTGTTTCTTTGGGGGGTGTTTGCAGAAACAACCATGGGAGAGTGGGAGTCATTATAGTTACTGTGGACTTTTCTCTTTTTTTGAGACAGGGTCTTGCTCTCTCACCCAGGTTGGAGTACAGTGGCACAACCATTGCTCACTGCAAGCTCGAACTCCTGGGCTCAAGCGGTCCTTCCTCCTCAACCTTCATAGTAGCTGGGACTACTGGTGCATGCCACCATGCCTGGCTAATTTTTTCTTTTTTAATTTTTAGTAGAGATGGGGAGTCTCACTATGTTGCTCAGGCCAGTCTCTAACTTCTGGGCACCAGGGATCCTTTTGCCTTGGCCTCCCAAAGTGCTGGGATTACAGGTATGAGCCACCACACCTGGCCTTTTTAAATTTCTTAATCTATTCTGGTACAAATAAGTGGGTCCTCTGAGGAAAGGCAGGTCTAACACAAAAGCAGAACTTGATTTTAAATTTTTTAAATAAACACTTTTGGGGTAAAAAAATGTTGTCTCCCAATATGATCTCACATTTCAGAAACAAAGCGAACACAGAGGCAGACAAATAAGACTGAATAGGCTACTGAATCGCAGCCCAGGACTTGTCCATGGGAACTGAGCTCCATCCTAGACAGCCATGGCGCAGCTTGCTGACTGGAGGGAAGCAGATGCCATGGCCAGTGCTGTTTATTCCCTCGTCACTCATGACCTGGGATAACCCTGGGGGACTGGTGGCTTTGAAGGGGGCCCTGAAAGAAGCTGAAGCAAGTCAAACCTGAGTGATTACCATCCTGGGAAAAGTAGAGCCTCAGAAAGCTAGTGAAAGAATAGTGATAAAGCTATATTATCAGATCCTGAGAGCTAAGCATTCCAGTCTCTCTTCTTCAAACAGAAGATAAAATGCTAGTTTGGAAGCTCTTTTGAAAAATATGTCTTTAACATTCACTTTATGGCCCTCTGGAAAGGAAAGAACTTGAGTCTCCTAAGGCGGCAGAGTCAGCACTGTTTTTGAGGCAGTGAGAGGCTGTGTCATCAGTAGGTCATAAGGCAAGGAGAAGTGGGCAATGGAGACAGAAAAGGGGTACTCAAGCCGAGGGAGGACGGCCAGCAAGGGGCACTGGAGAAACCAGTTTGCGGTTAATAAGCAGCACAGAGGTAACTCCTCAAACTCTGCGGCAGAAGCTCACACAGAAGCACTAACTTTTTAAGATCAGTTTTTTTTTCTTTCTTCTGAAAATTATATACATGTATTTTCTCTACTGAACCAGAATTGCAAGGTATCCTATTTAAATTAGAAAAAAAATGCCTTCAAAAAATAATAATGAAATGATGGCTTATTAAACAGTGATAGTAAGATACAAATTAGTCTGAAAGGCTGATGAGCCATTACAAACAATAATATTAATGTCACTACTTACAATGATTGCAATTAACACTCACTGTGTGCTATGTGTCAGGTACTATACTATCTGTGTTACATATATTATCTCATTTAATCCTCACACCAACCCTCTATGGTGTTATCATCTCCATTTTAAAGTTGAAGGAAGAGAGGTGCAAGAAGGTTAGGTAACTTGTCTGAGGTCAGTCAGCTAGTAAGCAATAAGACAAGAATTTATACCCAAGGCATGTGACTCCAGAGTGTACCCACCTTTCAACCTGTTACAGTCTTTACAACTACAGGAGTGGCAATAGGATACTTTATACATGTTGTCCAGTCTTTGGTGTTCCAAGTCCTATAGGATCATTACAATTACTTTGTATAGTAGGAAGGACCATTAAATTTCTAGGAGGAAGGCGATCTACAGAGATCCCGTACTCATTCGAGGGTACAGAGTGAGTCAGAGAACCCCGATGTTCGGCTTCCTCATCTTGTGCCTTTTATTTTAACCATGTCCTGCTACAGAGATCTACTTTATGTAAACCATTAGATTATTTGGACTGCCAAAACATACCTTCTATTAGGCATCTCTTGTTTTTGTAGTATAGCTTTTAAGATGTCTCTCTTTGCTTTGTTGTTTTCTTTATCCACGTAGATCACTATACCAAAAGAAAAAAAAATGCCAAAAAGGAAGTCACTCAGGAATAGGCTACATTAGTACCATTCTGTATTTTTAAAAATACCTGTTTTTAAAGACACAAGTCATGCCACCTCACTTGCATGCCTGGGAAAAGAAAACAGCTCCAGAAACCAGAATCAAATCTGAGTAGTCATGTGATCTAATGTCATGTCACTGGCAGGTTTATGTGCACACTGTCAGAAAAGATACAAGCAACATCTAAGAGTGCCACATCACCGTCACTGCCTGTTAATGGCACTGGCAGTCATGACAGTAAAAGTCAACGGTCTTTATTGCTTTGTATTTGAGGGATTTACTGCATTTTCTTTCACCCAAGAAGCAAGTGATAATGATAATGTATGGCAGACTGCTTGTCCTTCCTGACAGCCTCAGTAATTTAATCCTTCTCTTCTGCCACAACATGCAATAAAAGAGGCATCTAGTGTATTGGGTTGAGGAAATCCGCAGGCTGACGCCTGCTGGGGAGGGGTATGGGAGAGAAACGTGCAGGGAGAGAAAGGCTTTTTAGGGTGTGAGGTTTTTGGTTTTAAAGGCACATGCTGGCATCGAGGAATGTGGCCAGACTTCACTGGGCTGAAGCATGAGATTAGATAACTGACCTCAAGTCTCAACAGAAAGAAGACGGTGAACACTTGACATTGTAAGTAAGCATCTGCACTTTGGGAAAATGGCATTTCAATGTGCGAACAGTACAATTTTCATCCTGATTATTTGTTCTCAGTTCGGCAGACTTTCAGCCATGCATCAGCTTCTGAAGACATTTCTTTTTCATAGGCCATTTTGGATGTAAAGGCTCCCCTGTGACCAGATCTCAACTTAGAGATTATTCCTGGCCAAAAGCATGCAATGGGTGAAAGATATCACGATAGTTCTAAAGCCAGTTCTCCTTAGGCTCTGCCAGGAACAAACATCTTTTATGTTGAAAATGTTTCCCTGAACAATTTTAGTTCAATTCCAAATTATGATGCTATCAACTCATTTGTTTGGCTCAGTTGAGCAAATATTAACTGAGGGCCAAAGGCACTGAGTAGGCACAAGGCGGGAGAGACATAAAGGTGGCGGGAGAGACATAAAGGTACCGGTATAGGGGTGGGTTAGTGGTTTCAGAGAAGAATCATCCAAGACATAATAACCAAGTTAATAATCAACTCTGGATAGCCAAAGTCAAACACCAGCTCCTAGCTTACTGCTCTTTGCATGAAACCATATTAGTAAATGTGGCTAGTTATATAGGTTACTGAAGTTTATAGAAATCAATACAGATTCAAAGGTTCAGAGTATTTTTTTTAATTTATCAATGCCAAAAAGTCATGCTAACAGATCACTGGAAGATAGACTTCGTTTTTTAGAGGCTGCCAGTACACAACGCTAAAGGGGAACTTTTTTTCCAAATGGGATTTTTTTTTTTTTTTTTTGCTGTTAATTACCAATTCAAGATGTGGCACACCATATTGTTTTTGACTTCAGAGTTGTAAAGCTTTTATGTCGTACTGGCTTCCATAGTTTGAAGACAAGGGTAATCTCAGTGGTTAAAAAAAAAAGACTGAATTTCAAATGCCAGCATCCAAATAAAGGGTCTTCCAATTAAACCTAGACCAGATTTGATAAATTTCAATAGCTTAAATCATTTTTTTATTGTGGTAAAATACACATAACATAAAATTTACCATCCTAAATTAACAATTAATATTTAAGTATTCAGTTTAGTGGCATTAAATATCTACATATTGTGGTACAATGATCACCACTATCCATTTCCAGAACTTCTTCATCTTCCCAAACTGAAACTCCATACTCATTAATCAATAACTTTCCATTCTTCCCTCTTCTCAGCCCCTGGTAACCACCATTCCATTTTTTGTCTGTATGAATCTGACTCCCCGAAGTATGTCATATAAGTGGAATCATACAGTATTTGTCCTTTTGTGTCCAGTTTATTTCATTTAGCATTGGTGTTCTCAAGATTCATACATCTTGTAGCATATGTCAAATTTCATTCCTTCTTAAGGCTGTATAATATTTCATCATATGTATATACCACATTTTGTTTATCCACTTATCCTGTGATAGACATTTGGATTGTTTCCACCTTTGACTATTATGGATAATGCTGCTCTAAACATGGGCATACAAATATCTGAGTTCTTGATTTCAATTCTTTTTGGTATATACCCAGAAGTGAAATTGCTAGACCATACGGGTCATTCTAAATTTACCTTTTTTTTTTTTCTTAGAGATGGGGGGCCTTGCTCTGTTACCCAGGCTGGAGTGCAGTGGTGTGATCATAGCTCACTGCAGCCTCGAACTCCTGGGCTCAACTGATCCTCCCACCTTAGCCCTTAGCCTCCCCCTGGTAGCTGGGACTACAGGTGAGCACCACTATGTCCACCTAATTTTTAGTTTTTGTAGAGATGGAGTCTCACTATGTTGCCCAGGCTGATCTTGAACTCCTGGCCTCAAGTGATCCTACTGTCTTGGCTTCCCAAAGTGCTGGAATTACAGGAGTAAGCCACCATGACTGGCCCAATCTTTTCTTTTTCTTTTTTAAACATCCTTACCATTGAAATTGGTTTTAAAAAGTGGTGTCGTTGGGGATTCCCTGTGCTTCTGCTTTATCGAGTTGGCCAACATGCTATATTTCCTATTCTCTTAATAAAGACAAAAATGATTGCCACTATTTACTGGGTACTATTTATGTGCTAGGTACTACACTAAATACTTTTACTGTCATCATGCAGGTTAAGTACCTGACCCACATTTTACAGATGATTAAATAGATCCAGAGAAGGTTAGGAGTTTGCCCAAGACCACCTACTTAGAATGTGGCAGAGCCAGAATTTGAATCCAGCAATGTTAGCCTCAAGAGTCTGCTCTCTTAACCTCCATGTTACATAACCTCTCCTCCTTCCATATGAAGCCAAAGTTTTCCTGTTTAAGCTGTAGTTATTTTGTTAACACAAGACCAGAAGGTAAGAGAATGTTCCATAACAATATCAAGGGAAGTCACCTCATTTTCTTTTGTTTCATAAAGGAATAATTGCTTAGATATACCTAGTCTAGGTGTGTCAAATCATATTTCTTGGCAGAAAACTTTCAAAATACTCTTTTTGAAAATACTCCAGCTACTTACCAATAAGCTTAGTTCTCCAAAAGTGTACCAAGTTGGAACTATGGCTCTCCTGCTTCCACAAACAAGGCCTAGATTGGGCATCTTTATCTAGCCCAGTGGTTCTCAGTCTTTATTGTGTATCACAACCCCTTAAAAGGCTTGTTAAAATGCAGATTATTGAGTTGTATTCCCAGAGTTTCTGGTTCAGTAGCTCTGGGTTAGGGCCTGAGAATTTGTAATTCTAACATGTTTCCAGTTGATATTGCTGCTGGTGGTGGGGGTTCTACACATTGAGAAACATTGTTTGGCCCAACATTCATTTGCCAAATTTTTAAATGGGATCAGGAGCTAGTGAACACTTTTGGGTTGAATACCGTGGGAAACAGGAACACTTTGGCTGCCTCTGATTATGTCATGATATCCTATGACTAACCATGGTTCATTTAGTATTCTAAAACCCTAGATGGTTAAAAAAACTCACAATTTCAAAACTTGAAATACATCCTATAAAAAGTGACTCTAGTGATTATTAAAAGTATCAGAACTCTCCAAAAGTTAAGGTATTTACCTTTCATTCTCCTCAGAAATCACATTTGTTTAGGACTTGTATGATTTTGACATAAACTTACTGAAAGCATATGTCTCAAAAAGGATACAAACTGGTAGTCCAAATACTTTAGTTGATCTTCAGTCATCTACCATTAAAAACATATCCTTTACTTCTGCAAGCTGGATAAATCCTTATATTCTGTTATCAATGTCATATGGCAGAAGAAATGCAGATGGCTTAATTATAAGGAGTCGATAACCCTGAATCTCAGATAATGTTTGTATTAAAGAGTAATCATCTGTATCATCCTTATCTTTGCCAAATTTCTCCTCCTATTAGTCACAAAATCTGATGTTTCACATCATCTTCATCTTTTGAATTAAACTTCAATTGTTCCAAAAGACAGACTGTTCCATCCCTAGAGGCTAAGGGTCCAGACATGTATAAGTCTCATAAAAACTTTGGATGATTTCATTAATCTTTTTCCTTCCACTGTCAATTCCACTGTAGGCTTTATTCAGCCCAGACAACATTCTTCAGACCTACCATTAATCTTATTTTTTCCCAAACTATTTTCTTGCTTTCTCAGCATTCTCTGAGCAAAATTTTCAGGCCCAATAAAATACAAATGTTTTGTTCCTGCTACCACTGTCTGGCAAGTAAATTCAATTTTAGTTTTTCAGTGTTGGTATTTCTAAGAATATATATATATATATATATATTTTTTTTTTTTTTTTTTTGAGATGGAGTCTCGCTCTGTCACCCAGTCTGGAGTGCAGTGGCGCGATCTTGGCTCGCTGCAACCTCCGCCTCCTGGGTTCAAGCGATTCTCCTGCCTCAGCCTCCTGAGTAGCTGGGATTACAGGCGCCTGCCACCATGCCCATCTAATTTTTGTATTTTTAGTAGAGATGGGGTTTCACCATGTTGGTCAGGCTGGTCTCAAACTCATGATCTGCCCACCTCCGCCTCCCAAAGTGCTGGGATTTCAGGTGTGAGCCACTATGCCAGGACGACTTTTGTATTTTTAGTAGAGGTGGGGTTTCACCATGTTGGCCAGGCTGGTCTCAAACTCCCAACCTCAGGATCTGTCCACCTCAGCCTCCCAAAGTGCTGGGATTACAGGTGTGAGCCACCACGCCCAGCCAGGAGATATATATTTTTGTGTATGTAGGTTATACTGGTTTTAACACCTCTTAATAAAGACTGAATTCAATTATGAATAATCTAGGGAATCACTAGTCTGCATCTCTCATTTTATGTACCTAATTTGGGCCTGAACATACAAGTCTCTTTTGTACAGATTCAAGTCACAATGCAGGGTAAAATCATTGCTAGGTTCAGCTAACCTCTCTACTGCATGCTGTTCAAACAGGAGACAGCATGTACTAATTGTCCTCTAAATTATCCATTTGAATTAAAAAGTCAGTTTGGAAATAAAATTACTTCCATTAATATTTAATGAGATTTGGAAGATGTAAGTCTACATTATATTGACCTTCTGTATCAGGTAACGAGTGAATGGTAAATCATTACAATAATATACAAGAGATAGTTACTTATTAACCAAAGACTCAAGGAGATCCCCCTGCAATGGAGATGCAAATATAATAATTTTAAAATAAACATTTTCATTATGTCATACTTAAATGAAAAATGAAGCATTCAACCAGGTTAATATTAATTATTTCTCAAATTTGCTGATGACCTAGGAGCTCATTTTTTCAGATATAACAGATATAAAACAACATTAGTTTGCTTCTAAGCACGGAGTACATTCCTTTCCCCTCCTCCCAGAAAAATATCCTTAAAATTATTTTCAATTAATCTTGAAAATTCTACACAGTCAAATTTCATTAGATAGGAAGAGAAGCTAAAAAAAGTATAGTAAACAGTTTTACTGAATTCATTTCTAATAGATTACTGGTTTTCTTGCTGCTATCAAATGATTGATTCATTAAAAACATAACTGTTAACATACCAATTAGACAATAAAATACCCTGCAGTAAAGGGAAAAAACAAACCAAAATGCACAACCAGGCTGGGCATGGTGGCTCGCACCTGTAATACCAGCACTTTGGGAGGCTGAGGCAGGTGGATCACTTGAGGTCAGGAGTTTGAGACCAGCCTCGGCAACATGGTGAAATCTCGTCTCTACCAAAAATACAAAAATTAGCTGGGTGTGGCTGCGTGTCCCTGTAATCCCAGCTACTTGGGGGGCTGAGGTGAAAGGATCGCTTAAACCCAGGAAGTGGAGGTTGCAGTAAGCCAAGATTGTGCCACTGCACTCCAGCCTGGGCAATAGCACCAGACCTTGCATCACAAAAAAAAAAAAAAAAAAAAAAAAAAGCACAACTAACAAAACACCCCAAACAGACCTAGAGGTAACCATGTGAGAATGCACAAAATTTGGGCCACTTGAGCATATATCACAGTTTGAGCTAAAGAAAGATTTGTATTGCTCTTCAAGCAAATGGAAACATCTACTCCTTGACATGGCCAAGTTTCTCAATAGACAATTAATCTCTAAAAAACAATGTTGTTGCCAGTCCAACCAAATATTCTACTCCTGACCTTTACAAAGAATAATACAAAAGCCAAAGAGTTTGTCATTTTTCTTGGGGTATCTTTCTTAAAATTAGTTGAATGCAACTATTAATAATATTTTGATATGGTTTTCTTTTCTGGTACTCTGCAACTGATGATTTCCAAGAAGCCTGAGAAAATACTTTTGGAAATGTTTTCTTTATACCAAGTGCATGAAATGAAGGAGGAATCAGATTCTTGTCCTGTCCACACTACTTATTTCACATGTGATTTCTTAACACACCTGTTATTGTAGAATTTAAGCTGAAGTAGATCTTAGAAAGCACCTTACTTTTCAAATAAGAAAACAAGGAATCATGAAATTTAAACATCTTGCCTTAGTTCACATAACAGTAAAAATTGGGGATAAAGGGAGGACTAGACCACTAGGCCAGATCTCTGGATACTTAAGATTACTGTCTTGAGGAATGAACGTATTTCTAAAAATGCCAGATGGGGGAAAAAAAAGGTAACTGTGAGCATTTGTAATCCTGCTGATACAACAGCATGGTTATACATGTTGATTAAAATGCAATTTCTAAGATTAGTGAGGAAAAAAATAGTAGTGATGAACTAGCATGAGATGGCCCATTTTGCTAAAAATAACACAACACTCCATTTTTATGGTTTGTTTTAATGTAGAGCTCTAGGAGAACATACTAAGCTGTTTTAGCTTAGGGTCATGGTAGCCTGATATTATTTTTTATTCCTCTCCAATTATATACTAACAATCACACAATAAAGTTGATTGATCTCAGAATTTATAGGGTGTCTATTGGGTCTGTGCTGGTCCAGTAAACTTACATGTCAACTGGCTGCTAGATCAAGCCCTAAGACAGAAAACCTGCCTGCTGCTATGAATGGATGTGTGTGCTATATGATGAAAGGTGTAGTAAGAACTTATGCTTCACTCAATTAAAATCTTGAACATCTAGACACTGAGAGAGATATATACACGTATTGTAAAAACATCCATGTGATGACATTGATCAGAAAGGTAGACAATAAATAGAACATTGAAAGCTTCGAATCATATGATTAAAAAATGACTTCTTTGAAAGATATTTCTTTGAAATATCATATATTTAAATTAAATTCCTAATTATAGACCTAGCTGACATTTTTCTGTTGAACTATGACATAGCAGGACCATCTTAGAAATATTTTTTCACATTGTTTTGTTTTCTCTTAACTGTGGTATTACTTCAACTTTCTCTTCTTTTTTGAGACAGGGTCTCACTTTGCCACTCAAGCAAGAGTGCGGTGGCAAGATCAGAGCTCACTGCAGGCTCACCCTCCCAGGCTCAAGCAATCCTCCTGCCTCAGCCTCCTGAGTAGCTGGGACTACAGGAGCGCAACACCATGCCCGGCTAATTTTTGTATTTTTTTTTGTAGAGACGAGGTTTTGCCGTGTAGCCCAGGCTGGTCTGGAACTCCAGAGCTCAAGCGATCCACCCGTCTCGGTCTCCCAAAGTGCTAGGATTACAGGTGTGAGCCACTGTGCCTGGCCCAACTTTATTTTCTTAATCTTTATGCTACTGGTTTGACTTTTATTAATCAATTCTGACAAGACTTCCATGAATTTATGTGAATATTAGAGAAATAAACTTTCTCTCTGTTCTTTCCACTTCTTTCATAAATAAAAAAGACAAACATAAAAGTCTATATTACAAATGAATCATACATACCATTGCTATAGTTATAGTAGACCCACTGCCCACTCTTGGGTTTTGGAAGTGACACGGGTGTCTCTTCAGCAGGAAGACTGTAGAATCGACACTCAACAAACAGCCGTTGGATAGTGTCATCCATGGTTACTTGAGAATCATTAAGGCTTAGAGCTATGATCTCAATCCGAATTTTTTCTGATGGCTGTTTAAAGAGCAAAAACAAAAAACAACAAAGAAATAAAATAATTGAACAAAAAGATCCACTATTACTTTCCACTATCAATTTTAAATAAAACACGAAGGCCAATGGGCTTCTTTTCTTGAATGCAATGTACACTACTGTATGTTACACATGATAGATTATTCATGACAGAGACACAGAATGAGATGCTAATGCCCCAGGGTTTGAAGTTAACAGTGTCATGGCAATAGTCTCCTGATTTACATTTGAGGCTATAAATACCCCACTAGTAGTCTATCAGGAGTGAAGATTATGAGATCTTCATCTCCGATTGCTTTCAGAATGACAAGTTGGCCTTGTTTCAAACTATGTAATGAAGTACATGTTTATCACTGCCTTTACTTAATCTACAGTACCTGAGAAAGTTTCAGTTATTCGGAGATCAAAGCCTGTTGAACACTTTATAGGTATTATGCTAATATATGTAGCTATATGAATCAATATTAACTAGAGCAGAAACTACAGTTCATTCTCTTATATTCTGTCATAATATACTTTGTTGAATAAATAATACATTTTCAAGCAAAAGAAACAATTTTATGTCTAATTTGAACATTTTCTCATAATTTATCTTTAATTTTATTTTTACAAAATTAACAACTAAAATGGTGTTTGTTTAATTTTCACCTCAATCCTTGCTTAATAGATTTTGGTGTCATAGACATTATCACAGGAATTACAAATGTTTCCTTGAGTAATGATTTCAAATAATTAATAGACTAGGATTAGAAATTATATCACACCAAGGTAACTCCTCAGTTAAATCTGTTTTTTACAATTTAAAGTTTGTCCTTTAGTATCAAAATCCTATTTTACTAAATTCAGAGACATGCTATAAATTATATAACTTCAAATAATAATTAGAAAAACCTGAAAATAAGACCTGTTTATATGACCAGCTTTTAGGAATTCATTGTTAAATTTAAATCAGTGTGTAAATTCACCATAGTGGTTACTTAGATATTTCAAAGCATATAATATAATTAATCAAATTGAAAAGCATAAGTATCCTATTGTAAAAATATTCCCATAAAGAACAATTTCCATTGCTGTCAAACCCTCTCAATATTTGATGAAGTAATTTTACCCCCTTCTTTCAAAAGACATTTTCTTTTATTATGTATTCTAAGACACTTTAACTAAAAACCCAAATCTGAATATTTCAATAAGGTTATTTTATTATTCAGTAGATTCATGGAAATTTTACTAGGATGACAGAGAAAATTCCACACCATTCTGTCTCCACTAATACAGGTACAAGGCTGCAGCTGGCAATATTACTAGGATTAGCATAGTATGATGAAATATTTAAAGGAAAATTTTTTCTAAAACCTAATAAATCAAATGACTGCCAAATGTCATTAAAGTGATGGTCTTTGACTTGAATATGCTTTTCATATTCAAATTTGAAAAGAAAGAGATGAAAGCCTGGAAAGGTTACTCGGTTTCAACTAATAACCTCAAGCCCTCTCCGTTCACGTGCATAAAAAATGAAGTTGGCTCTATTGTCTAATCTCACTTCAGAAAACCCCTTCTCTGCTCGCTGAAGACTACATGGTAAAGAAAATATTTTAAATGATATTTTTTTTCCTTAAAATGTATCGTGGTAGTGAAAATACTGTAATACATATATTTTATAATTCTGCTCCAACTGTAGCATAATGTATAGTTAAGTCTTCTACATAAGTTGGAATTTGACAAACTTAGAATTATAGCAATAACATCTTATACAACATTTATGTTTCTGCACAAAAGAATTAAAGGAAAATAGCTATAAAAAGAAAAAAGTGCTATACATACTTATTTCTACTCTGTGAAAAGAGGAATTTAAAATTGTTTATCACAGAACCTAATGAAGAAGTAAATGAACTTGTAAATAGCAGGGGAATCAAATTTATCTAAGTGGTTATTTTATTAATAATATATTAGCTCTACAATCCCCATATGAAAACTTGCATTATTGTAAGAACCAATTTAGACTGTCAAATATGACTACATGCAACTCTTTAAAGTTTAAAATACAATCCTAGATAAAACTATTCACTTGGATCCTAGCCAAAACACAGAAACAAAATAACAAAACCCCAAACACCAAAACAACAAAAAAGAAAACTCACTGTATTATCAAAAAAATAAAATAACTTTAAAATTCTTTTTATGATGTCTATCTTATTTCTGGTCAATTTTTTTTTTTTTTTTTTGGATCTCTACACTACTGCCATTACTTCGATCAAATGTCCTTTTTAATTCTCTGACCAATACACCTGGCAGAAATGATCAGTTATTGTTTCTTCATTCATTTAATGCTACATGAATCAACTTGAAATAAATCCTAAAAGGGGTACATTTTAAGCAGCTTTTATCTAAGAAAGTAAGCTCTAAATAAAGAATTTTCCAAACATAAATTTTGACAAATGATGCTAGACAATTTATTTTTCAATGCTGGAACAATTCTGGTTGTGTTCAAGCCCCTCTGATTAAAAAGTTCAACTAGGCCGGGCGCAGTGGCTCACGCCTGTAATCCCAGCACTTTGGGAGGCTGAGGTGGGCGGATCACGAGGTCAGGAGATCGAGACCATCCTGGCTAAATATGGTGAAACCCCGTCTCTACTAAAAATACAAAAAATCAATCGGGTGTGGTGGCGGGCACCTGTAGTCCCAGCTACTCGGGAGGCTGAGGCAGGGGAATGGCGTGAACCCAGGGGGCGGAGCTTGCAGTGAGCCGAGATTGCGTTACTGCACTCCAGCCTGGCAGACAGAGCAAGACTCCGTCTCAAAAAAAAAAAAAAAAAAAAAAAAAAGTTCAACTAGATTTTGTATAAAGATCTGAAGATTGGCCCGGCGCAGTGGCTCATGCCTGTAATCCCAGCACTTTGGGAGGCAGAGGTGGGCGGATCATGAGGTCGGGAGTTTGAGACCAGCATGGCCAACATAGTGAAACCCCGTCTCTGCTAAAATTACAAAAAATTACCTGGGTGTGGTGGCAGGCACCTGTAATCCCATCTACTTGGGAGGCTGAGGCAGGAAAATCGCTGGAACCCGGGAGGCGGAAGTTGCAGTGAGCTGAGATCGCGCTACTGCACCCCAGCCCGGGAGACAATGCGAGACTCTGTCTCAAAAAAAAAAAAAAAATCTTAAGATTAAGAAGCACATTAAATGCATAATAGACAACTTCATCTCAGCATGTCAGAAATGAACTCATTCCCTCTCCTCTCCCCCAATCCTATTCATACTGTGTTATTTCCTATCTCAGCCGATGACATCACCATCCACCTAGTCCCCTACAACCAGAAGACATAGCAGCATCCTTGCCTTTCCATTTTTTTCACACCCACTATATCCTAAAGGTCACCCATTCCTGCTCATTTTACTTCCTAAATATCGCCACAATTGGCCAGGTGCAGTGGCTCATGCTTGTAAATTCCAGCACTTTGGGAGGCTGAGGAGGGGCAGATTGCTTAAGCCCAGGAGCCCAAGAGCCCAGGAGTTGGAGACCAGCCTGAGCAACATGGTGAAAACACGTCTCTCCAAAAAATAAAACAAAACAAAAACCACACACACACACACACACACACACACACACACACACACACACACAAATAGCCAGGCCTTGGAGTGGCATGTGCCTGTGGTCCCAGCTACCTGGGAGGCTGAGGTTGGAGGATTGCTTGAGCCTGAGAGGTTGGGGCTGTAGGGAGCCATGATCTTGCCACTGCACTCTATGCACTGTAGCCTGGGTGACAGGGTGAGACCCTGTCTCAAAACAAAGAAACAAACAAAAAAACCACTCAATGATTCACTGAATTGTTGAAAGCATATATTTCAGACATTGTTTTAACTGTTGGGGAGATAAAGAAAAATAAGATGTTGTTTCTTTTCCATTTTTTATCTCTAGAGAAAATACTAAGTTCTCATGGGGGTAACTAATACAATAGCTTCCTAGTTATCAGAAGGTAGCAATTTGACAGAACAAGGAGGGAGAAAATAGAAGGAACTGACGTAAGAGATTTGAGAGCGAACTGGTAGCCGATTGATGAGCGTTATGAGACTGTAAGCTCAGTGACAGTAGGGACTATTAGATTGCTCATTGCGTTATGTAGTACACAATAAATGAGTGGATCTACTCTCATGACAGAGAGAGGTGAGGCACTCATCTCTAATCTCTTGTCTGCAGTCCCAACCATTCTCCTTATTGTAGCAGAATTCTCTTCCTAAAAACCAATCAAATATCATCTTTCCGCCTGAAAATATTCCTATTGCCTTACACTCTAGCCACTCCTTTAAACTCATGGTGTGCTGTTTTATATTGCTCAGTTTTTGCATCTGTTATTTATTGTGTGAAATCTTTTCCATCAGAATTCCACTCCTGTGAGGCCCTGAACCACACATCCTCTCCTTTATGACAGCAATACTGATCTCTAAGAGCAAGTTGGTTGTTTCCTCCTCTGGGCCTTTACTGCACTTCTCCATCACATTGTACTACATGGAACTGTTCACATATTTGCCTCTGTCTATAGACTCTGGGCTTCAGGAGGGCAGGACCAATATCTTACTCATTTTTTGCTACTTCACATCCTCCCCAACATAGACTGTCAATAAATATTTAATGAAATAGTGGAGACTGTGTATCTTTTATATATTCAGAATATCTTTTTTTATTTTTCTTCAGGTTCTTGCTTTGTTGTCCAGGCTGAAGTGCAGTGGCAAGATGACAACTCACTGCAGCCTCAATCTCCCAGGCTCGAGTGATCCTCCCATCTCAGCCCCCTGAGTAGCTGGGACTAGAGGAGCATGCCAACATACCCAGATATTTTTTAAATTTTTTGTAGAGACGGGGTTTCACTATGTTGCCCGGACTGGTCTCAAACTCCTGGCCTCAAGCAATCCTCCCACCTCGACCTCTCAAAGTGCCAGGATCACAGGTGTGAACCACAGTGCCCAGCCTAGAATATCTTTTATTTATTGCCAGAACTATGTGAAGCTGCAGGTATTATTGCCTTCTCATTTAAAAAATATTTATTATGGCTGGGCGCACTGGCTCATGCCTGTAATCCCAGCACTTTGGGAGGCAGAGGCAGGCAGATCATGAGGTCAGGAGATCGAGACCATCCTGGCTAACACGGTGAAACCCTGTTTCTATTAAAAATACAAAAAAATTAGCCGGGCGTGGTGGCACGCGCCTGGTACTCGGGAGGCTGAGGCAGAAGAATCACTTGAACCCGGCAGGTGGAGGTTGCAGTGAGCTGAGATTGCGCCACTGCACTCCAGTCTAGGTGACAGAGCGAGACTCCACCTAAAAAAAAAAAAGGAAATTATGTGCTACTAAGTTTTGGGGAGTGGTTATTATTAACTGCCGAGAAATATATAGAACTCTTGCTGTTATAGATTTTAATGAAATAAGACTATCTCAAGACAGGTGAATATTGTTGAATCTAGGTGGTAGGGTACTATTATTTCTACTTTTCTGCATGTTTGAAATTTTTCATCATAAGAAAATGGGAGTCCCTCCCCCTCCCCCTCCCCCTCCCCCTCGTCTCAGTCTCCTGCTTTCCACGGTCTCCCTCTGTTGCCCAGGCTGGACTGTACTGCCGCGATCTCGGCTCGCTGCAACCTCCCTGCCTGATTCTCCTGCCTCAGCCTGCCGAGTGCCTGGGATTGCAGGCGTGCGCCACCACGCCTGACTGGTTTTTGTATTTTTGGTGGAGACAGGGTTTGGCCGTGTTGGCCAGGCTGGTATCCAGCTCCTGACCTCGAGTGATCTGCCCACCTTGGCCTCCCCAGGTGCCGGGATTGCAGACGGAGTCTCGCTCACTCAGTGCTCAATGTTGCCCAGGCTGGAGTGCAGTGGCGTGATCTTGGCTCGCTACAACCTCCACCTCCCAGCCGCCTGCCTTGGCCTCCCAAAGTGCCGAGACTGCAGCCTCTGCCCGGCCGCCACCCCGTCTAGGAAGTGAGGAGCGTCTCTGCCTGGCCACCCATTGTCTGGGAAGTGAGGAGCCCCTCTGCCCGGCAGCCCAGTCTGGGAAGTGAGGAGCGTCTCTGCCAGCCGCCCATCGTCTGGGATGTGGGGAGCGCCTCCGCGGCTGCCCCATCTGGGTGGTGGGGAGCGCCTCCGCCCGGCCGCCACCCCGTCTGGGAACTGGGGGGGGCGCCTCAGCCTGGCGGCCGCCCCGTCTGGGGGGTGGGGTGGGGGGTGCCTCCACCCGGCAGCCGCCCCATCTGGGGGCTGGGGGGGGCGCGCCTCCGCCCAGCGGCCGCCCCGTCTAGGGGGTGAGGGGGGGGCGCCTCCGCCCGGCAGCCACCCCGTCTTGGGGGTGGGGGGGCCCCTCTGCCCAGCCGCCATGTCTGGGAAGTGAGGAGCCCCTCTGCCCAGCCGCCACCCCGTCTGGGACGTGTACCCAACGGCTCATTGAGAACGGGCCATGATGAGGATGGCGGTTTTGTCGAATAGAAAAGGGGGAAATGTGGGGAAAAGAAAGAGAGATCAGATTGTTACTGTGTCTGTGCAGAAAGAAGAAGACATAGGAGACTCCATTTTGTTCTGTACTAAGAAAAATTCTTCTGCCTTGGGATGCTGTTAATCTATAACCTCACCCCCAACCCCGTGCTCTCTGAAACATGTGCTGTGTCAACTCAGGGTTAAATGGATTAAGGGCGGTGCAAGATGTGCTTTGTTAAACAGATGCTTGAAGGCAGCATGCTCGTTAAGAGTCATCACCACTCCCTAATCTCAAGTACCCAGGGACACAAACACTGCGGAAGGCTGCAGGGTCCTCTGCCTAGGAAAACCAGAGACCTTTGTTCACGGGTTTATCTGCTGACCTTCTCTCCACTATTGTCCTATGACCCTGTCAAATCCCCCTCTCCGAGAAACAACCAAGAATGATCAATAAATACTAAAAAAAAAAAAAAAAAAAAAAAGAAAATGGGAAAAAGTCTCAATCAGGTGAATTGGAAGATGTCCTAAATAATATACTGATTCAAATGACAGTAATTGAAGCAAAGGCTTTTAAAGAGATGAATAATAATTGTTCAGAATTACTAGAGCAACATGACCGGTCATTCCTCTGCAGGCTACCAGCATCCTTTGATACAGGAAATTGGCCAGACAGCACAGGCTTTAGACTTTTCCTGTTTTGTTTCCCCTCTACGTGTATGAATTTTTGTTACCAGGTAAGATGCTTCTTCTCAGTTCTTTTTTTCTTGTTCACCAATTACCCTATTAGCATCCTCAGTATCACCATGTAAAAAGAACATTTATAAATTTTGATTGTGGGCTGGCCGTGGGGACTCACGCCTGTAATCCCAGCACTTTGGGAGGCTGAGGCAAGTGGATCACTTGAGACCATGACTTCAAGACCAGCCTGGCCAACATGGTGAAACCCCTTCTCTACTAAAGATACAAAAATTAGCCAGGTGTGGTGGTGTGTGACTGTAATCCCGGCTACTCGGGAGGCTGAGGCAGGAGAATCGCTTGAACATGGGAGGCAGAGGTTTCAGTGAGGTGAGACTGCACTACTACACTCCACCCTGGGTGACAGAGTGAGACCCTGTCTCTCAAAAAAAAAAAAAAAAAAAATTTTTTTTGTGGTGAACAGAAGTCATTCAAATCAGAACTCCATGCAACTTATTTTTAGTTGTCTGTATAGATGGACACTATGTGTTATGTGATTAAATGATCTAGAAATGTGATGACAGCTTGTATTGCTCTAAAAAAATAAATTATAGCTCTCGTGATTTTGGCTCAATTCCACTATTGCTTCCTGACTGATGATAATTCATACTTTGGATCATATTTTTCTATGTGATCTAAAGTGTTTACTTAGGCTTATTATTGGCATGCTTAAAATTTTCACATCCTACTTCACAGGATTGTGCTGAATTCTTCCTCTGGTTTCAGCCACTACACGCAGCCATACTGGAGTTGAATTGTTGGGCTTCTGAAAACTAATTCAACCTGACAACCCTTAAAAATAGTACTGCATAATTGAGAATGGCCTATGATAAAGGTCTTGCAACTTGTTTCAGTCAGTTACATTTAAATCTAATTATGGTGAGATTACAGGTGAGCTTAATTTTATTCCAAGTTTCTAAAATGAATAGGCATTTCTTTAATTTTTTATTATAAAACATTTCAAACATGATAAAGTACAGAAAATAATTTGGCATATTCAATTCAACTAGTCAGCCATCTCAAACAGATGTTACCATTTTTCTATAACCAACTTAAGTCTTTTTATTGTTGTTTTTGAAGAAATAAAATATTTCAGATACAGGTAAAACTACCAGCTGCCAAATCCTTTCCCCTCCCTTCCTCATTCCCCCATGGTTACCACTATCTTGAAGTTGGTTGTATCATTCCCAAACATGCCTTTATATTTTCTACTGCATGTGTGTATATCTATAAACAACATACAGTATTATTTTCTGTTTTTTGGTTTTATATTTGTGGTATCATATTCTTATTAATCATTCTGCAATTTCTGTTTTTTTATACTCAATACTATATTTTTGAGATTTATCACATTTATTTTTCAAATCCAATTTATTCATATTAACTGTTGTACAGAATCCTATTTATATTGCATATATAATCTATAGTACATTTATTTACCTGCTGATGAACAATTATGTTGTTTACCATTTTTTGCTATTACAATGCTGCATTAAATATCCTTTTATGTTACATTGTTTACAATTTTTTGCTATTGCAAACAATGTTGCATTAAATATCCTTTTATGTTTTCTTGTATACATGCATGATTCCCTTAGGAGCAGAACTGCTGGGTAATAGGTAAGAGAATTTCAACCATAAAGTATTATCAAATTAATCTCCAGATAATTATAAATTGGTATTATTTATAAAAATACTGTGTGTGTGTGTGTGTGTGTGTGTGTACATAGATACAAATAAAGCCTACCTGTAGGAGCCACAGTATGTAGAACTTGTTACTTTGTAACAAAACAACAGAGACAAAATGGAAATAGAAGGCCAAGATCTATGTCAATGCTTTTGAAGAGTACAAATTTTAATTGGGGTGAGCTCTAAGACAAGCTCAAAACAGTTGGTTAAAACAATCAGACTCAACCACTGGTATTGACAGAGCCATATGTAAGTAGGGTAGGAATGCATATTAATTAATGGTGATTCTTACAAGTTCCCTTCTTCAGGCTGGGCATGGGCAGAGACATCCTCTCAAAGACTCAAAAAAATCCCCTTCAGTCCTTCACATCAGGCTCCAAAGCTTCCTCTTACATTGTGCATCAAATCCACTCCTCATACAAGTTCTGATTAAAGCATTTTGATTGTTTAATAACTGTTTAACTGTTTATTTTAACAACTGTTGATTATTTAAAATAATAATAATAAGTACATACAAAGGTGATGTCTCCAGAATCTCAAGCTGTCAAGGTAATAAGGTTTTTAACAAACAAAAGAAAACCACCCAGTTTTCGTCCGTGGCAGTAATCTATCTTTTCTAACATGTTCTGTTAAAATGTACTATATTAAACAAATAAGGTAAACGTTGCAAACTTCAGTGATGGGGATCAAAACAGTGCTAGCTTTAACAGTACTTATTTTTAGAACATTGTCACGGTGTCCTTATATGCCCTATAAATTACTATGTCCTTGCAGTGATTTGGATTATTTTTTTCCTGCCCTAATATCAAATTAATCTCCAAATAATTATGCCAAATAATTATAAATTGGTATTATTTCATCACCATAGAAATGGTGTGTGTGTGTGTATAAATGTGTATAAATAGATACAAACCTGAGGGATATGACACATTGCAGCAATGTGAAGCAAGGAGAATTTTAAAAATCACCCTCAATTTCAGGTGATTTTGATATGCTACTCTCCTTTCACCATCACTGAGAACAGATGTTGCAGTGCAGTGGTTCTTGATTTTGGCTGCACATTAGAATCACCAGGGGAGCTATAAACAAAATTCTGACTTAATTTATCTAGGTGGAGCCTGGGCCCTGGCATTTAACAATGCTCCCCAGACGATTCTCATGTGCAGCCAAGGGTGAAAAGTACCACTTTTTTCTAAAGCTATGGTTCTTGCATTTTAGCATACCCCAGAATCACTTGATAAAACACGGATTGGTGGACTCCATAGAACTTCTAATTCATTAGGTCTCTGGTGGGGCCAAGGATTTGCATCTCTTACAAATTCTCAGGTGATGCAGATGCTGATGCTGAACTCTGGGGATCACACTTTGAGAAATATTGCTCTAAACCAAAAAAGATTCATCTTCCATCCATGGAGACTTCTAACATCTTTATAGAAAAGCTTTCACAATATTCATGTTAAACAGTTCTTTTGCTATTATTCAACATTTTAGTACAGAATTAGCTAACTACTTCCTTTTTTGAGTCAATCGATGCTCACCATTAAAAATAATCCAACAATATAAATTACCAAATGTCAAATATGAAAGTTCCTTGTTTCATTCTACCACCTAACTCATGAGTTGGCAATTTTTTTTTCTGTAAAAGGATGAATACAAATGTTTTTGGCATTGCAGCTATATGGTATTCAACTGTGCCCTTGTGGAGTGAAAGCAGCAATAGATAATATGTAAACGAACGGGTGGCTGGGTTCCAATAACAGTAGAGGGCTGGATTTGGCACAGGGGCCATTGTTTGCTGACTCCTGCCCTAGAGATATTCACTGCTAACGCTGTCAGATGTACATTTTCCCAAACATTTTCTTTGCTTACATAAACCTAAATGTCATGTCTGTATGTGCAAATAAAAATATATATATAGACCTTTTTGTATTTCTTTTGTGTGTGTGTGTGTTGCAGCGACAGGTTCTCCTCTGTCACACAGGCTGGAGTGCAGTGGTATGATCCCAGCTCTGCAGCCCTGAACTCCTGGGCTCAAGCGATCCTCCAACCTCAGCCTTCAGAGTAGCTAGGACTACAAGCATGTGTCACCAGGCTTGGCCAATGTAAAAAAATTGTTTTTGTAGAGATGGGGGTCTTGTTACATTGCCCAGGCTGGTCCTGAACTGCTATCCTCAAACAATCCTCTTGCCTTGGACTTCCTCAAGTGTTAGGATTACAGCTGTCAGCCACCACATCTGGCCCCATTTGTTTCTTTTTAAATGAAATCATCACTAAGGCAAAATTTATTCATTAGTTTGGCAAAGAGTGTAATAGGAGAAAACATGAATTTTCAAACATTGTTATATATAATAATGTTCATCTTAAGCAGATATATTTGTATTAGCAAAAAATCATAGAAACACTTAAGGGTCCATCAAAAGGGGCTTATTTAAATAAATATAGTATAGCCATATAATGGAATATTATAGGTATGTTGAAAGAAATAGAGTATACTGTTATGGAAAAATGTTGATGGTATATTAGTAAGAGTTAGTTAAATTGCAAAGCATAAAAAATAGTTTTAAAAGCAATTTCTACTAGGAGAGTATGTCAACATTTCCAGTTTGACATAAAATATATTTTATTTTTATTTATTTATTTTTGTGACAGAGTCTTGCTCTGTTGCCCAGGCTGGAGTGCAGTGGTGCAATCTCGACTCACTGCAACCTCTGCCTCCCAGGCTCAAGGACTGTCTTGCCTCCCCTCCCGAGTAGCTGGAATTACAGGTGCCCGCCAACACGCCCGGCTAATTTTTGTATTTTTAGTAGAGACAGGGTTTCACCATGTTGGTTGGGCTGGTCTAGAACTCCTGACCTCAGGTAATCTGCCCACCTCAGCCTCCCAAAGTGCTGGGATTACAGGTGTGAGCCACCGCACCCGGCCAAGTAAAATATATTTTAAAACCTACTCTCTATCTAGCTTAAGCTTCCACATGTAAAACATTGAGAGTGGCTTATTTTATCCACTGATAAGATATCATATTTGATTCCTAAGTGATTTAATAATTTTTCATATGCGAATTCTAAAGCGAGTGAATTGATTTCTGCATTGTGCCTTTCAAAGTTTTAAACATACTTTGCTGAACATCGTTATTGTAATCACCTGGGAATGCCAGCTCATTGTTCAGAGAACCTAGTTTCCAGGTGGAACTGCAATTTAGTCCAATTGAATATGGCAGTTTTCACACAACTGCTAGGAGTAGGAACAGAGAAAGAGAATGATGTAAATATGCACTGCACAGAAGAGTCCATTGCTCTTTCAGCCTGTAATTTCCCGTTCTCACCTGTGGGCACATTTTAAGACAGCTGTGAGTTCATGGCAATACATTTTGTTGTGAAAAATGAAAGCTGCACTATTGAATGATAAAATTAGAAATAATGCAAAAGATGGATTGTTAATTTTTTTTAATGCCATGGCAGATGCAAATGTTCAGTTTTGATGTCTGTTTTGAGGACCTGAAACAAGGCTTTTAATCAATGTATTATACATCAAATTTATACTGTTAACTTCTGATTATTCAAATTAATAAAATATTCATAGAGAAATGTCCAAAGTTTTACATCTCTCAGAATTCTGTCCCCCCACACTCGCCATTAATTATCATGCCTAGAAGCTTTTTAGTAAAAGCAGCAGTTGTCAGGCTGACGGAATCTGACAGGCCAGCAAGGCCCAATTACACTTGCGCTATGTGGCACTTTGATGTCCGGGAAACGAAGAAAGATAGGGGCAAATTGGGTGGCACATTATGTTAATGACTTGATTTAATCCAGCCACTAAACTTTATGTAGCCTGTTAAAAAAGATGCTAACACTAATTACGCCACTTTGGAAAGGAAAGGAGGGGACAAGCATTTCATACTGACAAAGTGAAGCTCATAAATGTTGTAAATGAAATGAAACAAAATGAAGTAATCTATGATTAATTATACATCACAGACATGAAGAAAAGAGAAAGAACCAAGTAATACGTAGAAGTACTGGGAAATCTGTTAGATTCCTTTTAAGGATCAACATTTCTAAGAAATAACTAGGAACTGTCAGATTCTGTAACATGAAGAAAAGAAACTGATCTTAAATTGCTTACACAGTATATCAGATAATTCAAATTCACAGTGTAACTGGCATAAATGATACTTATCTAGGACACTACTTCTAGTCCTAATTTTGTGACATTATAAAATAGAGGCAATTTTTTAAAAAGTAGGGATAACTATAGAGTAGGGTTATCTAATTCCTTTCTAACTAGTTTGTGCCTCTAATCTGTTTTTTACATTATTGACAGCATGATCTTTCAAAATGTGATCAAGCATGCAAACTCCTTAAGATCAGGAGCTTAATTTTTTGTATTCGTGGATCTATTCCCAGTCCCTAGAACAAGGCTAGGAACACAGCAAATGCCCACTACATATATATCTGTTTAATGAATGGGTGATCTTCTATCCCCATTCCTTAAAAATCTCAGAGGCCTCAACGCTCTGGATTATGCCTCCCTTTTCAGCCTATTCTCCTGGGCTCCCTAAGCATACCATAATAGGCTTGGCCCATCCTGAAACCATTCTGAATTCCAGAACAAGCCATGCACTACGTTCTCTCAGATTCTCATGCTTTTCATTCCTTTGGCCTATGATTTTCTCACCCTTTTCATGAACTCCTAATCATCTTCAACACTGGCTCCAGCTTTACTGACTCTAGGAAGTCATCCTTGATGAAGGGAAGACCCCTCATGCTGACTTAGGGACCCCTTCTGAATGCTCCCATAGCACCCCATGCATTCCATTCTCCTGGTGCAGACCACTATGCATTTTAATTGTGTTTCCCCTACAGACTATGAATTCTTTGAGGGAAAGAACTGCTTCTTTTATGCCTGCCTGACACACGATGGATGCTAATAAATAAAGAATTGTTGTGAGGAAATATTAACATAGGATGTACTTAGCACATAACAGGCATTCAGTAATACATTCCTTCCTATGAAAGCTATGTTTCACTGTTCTGAGATTTTTACCAGAAGCAGTTCTTAGAGAAGACAAAAGAAAAAACTAATGAACCACAAGTATTTTTAAGCTTACAAAAGGATTTATGAAACAACACTTCAACCAAAGTTAACACCATCAATAATTAGGCAAAATGACATTTTCTACCTCCTGATATGATGCAATGAAGAGCACACAGTATCGCTTCTGTATTCCTACCAAAATGCATAACTGGAATCTGATCTTGAGGAAACACCAGACAAATCCAATGAAGAATATGTTACAATGTAAATGGCCTGTATTAAAGAGTATCACTGTTATAAAACACTACAAGAAAGCCTGAAGAAGCATTACAGATTAATGCAGGCTAAAGAGGCATGAAAACGAAATGCAATGTGTGATCTGGATTGGATCTTGGACCATATGAATAAGATGCTATAAATGGTATTACTAGGACAACTGGCAAAATTCTAATGAAAACCGTAGATTAGATAACAATATTATATAATTGTTCTGAAGTGTTTAGAATTAAAGGGGCATGATTTCTGCAACACTCAAATGGTTCATAACAATTATGTATGAAAGAATGTATGTTTATAAGTAAATACCTAAGTATGTGCACTATATGCATATATAGGAGAGAGACTAGAAATGATAAAACAAATAGAGTAAAGACTTAAAATCTATGAATCCAGGTAAGGAATATACAGAAGTTCTTTGTACCACTTTTGCAATCTTTAAAGAGAAAGGTTCTATTATTCATATTAAATGATTTGCTAAAGTAGTACACACAAAAACTGGTAAAATCAATAGAAAATCCTGTATTTCACTGTCTTAGTCCATTTGTGCTGCTACAACAAAGTATCACAGACTGGGTAATTTATGAATAATAGAAATTTATTTCTCAGAGTTCTGGAGACTGGGAAGTCCAAGATCAAGGTGTCAGCAGGTTTGGTGTTTAGTGAGGGCTGCTCTCTGTTTCCAAGATGGTGCCTTGTTGCTGCATCCTCTTCAGAGGAGGAATGCTGTGTTCTTACATGGCAGAAGAGCAAGATAACTTCTCTTCAATATCAAGCCCTTTCAAAAGGGTGCTAATCCCATTCACGAGAGCTCTGTCCTCATGACTTAATCAACTCCTGAAGGCCATATTTCTTAATAATGTTGCATTGGGGATTAAGTTTCAACATAAATTTTGGAGGGGACACCTTCATTCAAATTACATCATTAGCCATTATGATTTCTTGAGTTTTGTTCCCAGGCTTTCAGATGATACCATTTTACTAAATTTGGTATATAATTTACCAAGATTAAATTTCACCTGTTAACAATATGCTATGGTATGAATATGGTTTGTTCGTCTCCACCAAGGTCATGTTAAAATTTAATCCGCAGTGTGGCAGTGTGGGGAGGTGGAGTCTATTGGGAGGTGTTTGGGTCATGGGAGCAAATCCCACACGAATAGATTAATGCCCTCACTCTGTTAGTTCCCTTGAGAGCTGATTGTTATAAAGAACCTGGCAACTCTCACCTCTCTCTCTCCTCCTTCCTCTCTTGCCATGTGATCTACACATGCTCTAGCTCCCCTTATCCTTATGCCATGAGTGGAAGCAGCTTGAGGCCCTCACCAAATGCAGATGCCAGTGCCATGCTTCTTGTACAGCCTGCAGAACTGTGAGCCAAATAAACCACTTTTCTTTGTAAATTACCCAGCCTCAGGTATACCTTTATAGTAACACAAAACAAACTAAGGAAACATAGGATGCTGGTCAGTGACTGCTGCTGAAAATAGAATTTTTTAAAGCCCATGGGAGCTGAAGCATGAAGAACTGCTTGCTTTAAATGATGTTCACATTTGAGATAGCATCTGAAACCATTATAGGAAATCAAATTTTGGAATGGTAGTGAAGACCGTATCAGGCTGTAGCAAAGTAAGACAAATTATTTTCCCTTAGGTAATGAGAAAAAAATCCAGTTTATTAGAAAGAAAAAATATATATGTACATTAGAATTATTGGAATATTTAGAGAAACAGTTATTTATTTTGCTAAACTTCTTTGTTAAATTAAAGTTTATTCTACCTTAGTTAAGAGCAATGTACAACTTCACTGAGATGCTAGCCACGTTGCCAACATACACATGGTTCTATTGCAGGTCTAAGTAGGAGTTTTCATAGATTGGATGCTGTTATTGTAATTAATAAATATATAATAATAATGATAAAACTTTGGACAGATAAAATGTTCTATTTGTATTTATCAAGAACAGAAACGATGGGTATCTCTATTTCATGGAGGAATCTGTGACAACAACTGAAATGTTCTGTTCTATTGTTTTGCTTTATTTCTTTATTTTTTGAGAGACAGAATCTCACTCTGTCACCCAGACTGCAGTGCAGTGGTGCAGTCATAGCTCACTGCAGCCTTGAACTCCTGTGCTCACATGATCCTCCTGCCTTGGCTTCCCAGAGTGTTGGGATTTCAGGTGTGAAGCACTGTGCCTGGTCTGTGGTTTTGTTTTAAAGAGAGATTAAACTAAGAATGTGTGAAGGAAGAGTTAAAAGAAATATTCCAATTCTTATCAATAAACTAAAAATTCTACAAAAGTACAATTAATCACTTAAGAAAAATTAACATAGATGAATAGAAAAAGCTAGAGCTTTTTACTCTACTTACATTTACTTTATAAAAACTTTTTCCCTCTTACAATAAAAAATGCTCTGGTAAACAGTATACTTCCCATATATATTTTAAAAAATATAATTTTCTTCTCAAAATTTCAATTTACATACTACTTTTCAGCCATGTGCTCTAAGAAAAGCAAAGTATACCGGCACAAGATTAATTGCTTTCTAAGAAGGCTTCACTTGTTTTGGCAGAAATGAAATAACTGTAACATATTATCAGTGGATATATCTAGGTAAGAGTAGTCTATGAATTCACATAGGCAAACTATTATAGTTTCAAAGAGCATCTCACATTTTGAATTCTTTAAAGTTCAAATCTTCTTCAACACATCTTGGTATGCTAGTCTTGAAAAGGAGTCAAGAAGTCAGCTAGTTTCAGCAAGTAGCTATTGGAGGTACAGATTTAAGGTACTCTTTGTGAAAATAATACTTACATGTTATAGTCCATTACATAATGAAACCATACATAAAAATTTCTTGTAGTAGATGACTACTTGGTTAAGATTATGATAAACATTAAAGTTTTTCCAGAAATAGTTTTCCTTAAGATTTTTATATATGAAGACTACATATG
This sequence comes from Homo sapiens, assembly GCF_000001405.40. Taxonomy (NCBI): domain Eukaryota; kingdom Metazoa; phylum Chordata; class Mammalia; order Primates; family Hominidae; genus Homo; species Homo sapiens. Next base: position 53,636,379 of record NC_000016.10, read on the forward strand.
TACTGTGAATGAAAGGCAGCCTTATTTCAGAACATTTCTAGTTGGCATCAAGTTACTGACCTGTTTGATATTCTTGGAGATAGGACCTGGAATAATACAGTCATCACTGTCAGAAGCTGACATGTCCTCTTCAACTGTTTAAAAAATAAAAGGGTAACATTTACACAAGTTAAACCAATTCTACTTATACCCTGTAAAATAAAGAGAAACAAGCACACACCATAAGATAACCTTAAGAAACATGGTAATTATACCTAGATCTTTTTTAGTAGCAAATTTGTTTACAGACACATTACATTTTAGGGAAAAAAAAGACTAAAAATTTCAAGGTTAATTTTGGTAGAAGCAAAGGAAATGCCAATAAAAATACAGCTTATTGTGAAATTTAAGAAAAAAATTTTAAAAAGAGAACCATAGGGTAATAGATGTTTTTTAACAGTCTGACCAGTAATGTTATGTAAGTCAATGCTATTCTTATTATTTTAAAGTTTTAAAATTTTTATTGCTTTGTTGAAATAAAACTGACAGACAATAAACTACACACAATTAAACTGCAATATTTGACACACACACACACACACACACACACACACACACACACACACACACTCTTTAATTACTTTTAGAGACAGGGTCTTGCTATGTTACCCAGGCTGGGGTACAGTGGCTATTCACAGGCACCATCATAGCACACTGCAGCCTCGAAGTCCTGGGCTCAAGTAATCTTCCCTTCTCAGCCTCCCAAGTAGCTGGGACCACAGATGTGCAACACTATGCCTGGCTAAAATTAGATGTTTTGACGTAAGTGTAACTGTGAAACCAACACCACAGTTAAGACAGTGAACATGTCCATCACCTCAAAAAATCTCCTCAGGTCCCTCTGTAATCTCTTCCCTTCTGCCCCTCCCCATTCCTATTCTTACAGATTGTTTGCTTTTACCAGATTTTAAAAAATACAGTAAGTGGTCATTTTTGGCTGGATTTCAATTTTTAAAAAGTCAAGACCTCTACGCTAATGCAAATAATAATACTGAACTCAAAGAGAACACAAAACTGTTTAAAACATAAATTGGGAACATGGTCAGCAATAACACTTGTATTCTATTGTGGAGCTCCAAGTTGAAATAAGAAGAGATACAACAATTCCACCTAACTACAACTAAGAAGATGGAACTATATTCTATCATTTCTGTCAAGAAACAGGTATCGTGAAGTAGACGCTACCATTAAATGAAGATGTTCTATGATGCATACTCTAACAGATAAAACAAAGCACAGGGTTAACTAAACAATGTTAGTTTAAATAAGAAAGTCACCTTCTGGTTCCAAGTCCTCTGTTATTTCTGTTTCATCTTCAGAAGATGCCAAGCTTTGTTCTGCAAGCTGACCTTCAGATAGTAAAGACACATCATCTTTTCCTTGCTGCATTTTCTCAGTATTCTCTTTTACCTCATCTACACTGCCTTCTTGTGAAACCTGAAGAAATCAAAGCACACTGGTATATTTATAATTGCTTAGATCACATTTTATAGCATTATTGCTGGAACAGTTGAATAATAAAGCATGTAAATTTGAGACTTAAATATACAGATATGTAATATGTATGAGACTCAGAAAACAACCACTTCAATTTGTACAAATGATAATATATAGATAAATGGAAATCTGAATATGTACTAAGAATAAAAAATGTATTAATCTCAAAATGAATTTTACATTAAGACTTTAATTCAAATATTCATATATTACCTGTCAATAGCAGTATAATTATGGCTGTTACCCTTGTCATATTTTTGACTTTCTATTCCAAGGAAGTCATATATAAAAATAGGGGAAATGCTATGACTTCCTGAGTCATGTCAAAACTTATAAGACAAAGTATTTAAGAACCAAATTAAACCTTCCAAAATAATTTTAACACAAATGCATACCTTGGGAACATGTGGAACAGTCAGCATATTAATTTCTATTTCTGGTATATGCTCTACCTCTGGTGAAATTTCCTTCCTATCTTCAGGAGGAGGAGAAGTCTCCTTATATTAATGTGAAAACACGCATGTATGTCATTTTTTATTTATTACTAAATCCCAAATCATTCTATCATATACATATTGAACTACTAAAAATTGGCAGCAAATGTAACAGTTACTCATATGACACTGAATTTACTTAGTATATTTCAATAAAATGGTATTTATATTCTTTAAAATATAAATATATATGTAATTTAAGAACTGCAAGTTTAGTTCATTGAAGCACTGTTTACAATAGCAAAAAAAAACTGAGAGCAATGCAAATGTTCAACAGGGCATTAGTTAAATAAAATATGCTATATCCAAATACCTGAGTTCTGTGTAACTGTGAAAAAAAAATGATGTAGACCTGTGTTTATTAACATTACAGAGAATACATAACATAGTGTTGAGTAAAAAAGCTACTTATAGAACTATATATATAGTTGTATTATGTTTGATTAAAATACAAACAAGCAAGCAAACACACATATGTGTGTATTTCCATGGGAAAAAGTATGAAAGGAAATTCATCCAAACAGTATCTCTGAGTTTTAGATTTGGGAACATTAACTTTTATTTTCACTGTTTTTTTTTTCTTCTTTGTATTTTCTAATATTTCTATGATGATTATAAACTACTCATGTGATTTTAAAAATGTCATATGCTAGCATAGGTATGTATTCCTTAAAATCAATGTCATCTTTTTATTTCATCAAATATGAATTTATAGTTAGCTATTATTCCTGGGTTAACAAACGAATGTTTAGTTTTAAAATACAGCTTATGACTTTTACTATTTTTAAAAGTAAACATGGCCAATATAGGAAATGTAAAAGATAAATATAAAATAAATCAATATAAATCTAGTACTCAATGGTAATACCTATTAAACTTCTTAGATTTCTATTTCTTTAAAACTAATTTTTGATGGAAATAAAAATTTTGGTTACACAATAATAACTGCATTATAAATACAATATATCCTGTTGCATTTAAAAAATTTAATATCATAACATAAATATTTTCTCCTGATATGAAACTTAGAAAAACATAATTTTAAATGACAATAGAATATTATATTCATGGGTGTGCCATGGCTTAATGAACCATTTTACTATTGTTGGACATTTAACTAGTTCACAGTTTTTAGGTATCATGACTAACATTGCAACAAACACCTCTATGTTTATGTCTTTTTAATGTTAGTGGTCATTTACTTAGGAATCAGGCTACTGTGTTCAAATCCCAGTTCTAATACTTGGGCCATGAACAAGTTACTTAACCTCTCTAAACATCACTTTCCCTATCTTTAAACGGGAATAATTCTAGTATCAACTACATAGGGTTGTTGTGAGGATTAAATGAGTCCAATGTATATAAAGCACATAACAAGCACTCCATAAATACTAGTGATAAAACATCTACTGAATTATAATTATTGAATTCATTATTTATCACATACATATTAAATGCTCTGTATGTGCCAGGTATTATTTTAAGCTCTGGAGAGACAGAATATTTTGATGTGGGTGGTAGTTACACAGGTGTATACATATTTAAAAATCCATTGAGCTCTATGCTTAAGATTGATGTCCTTTACTATGTAAGTTATATGTGAATTACAAAGAAGATATATTTTCTAAAAAGTCCACCACAGAGAATGGTAAAAATCTGAATACAGTATATATTTTTAAAGTACAGCTGACACCTTTTGTGGATGACCTGGGTGTAGGGGTGAGAAAAAAGAGGAGTCAAGAGGATGCCTCCAAAATTTCATGCCTGTGCAATCAAGTGAATGATTATGTCATTTACAGAGAATGGGAAACAGTGAAAGAGGCAAAAATTTTGGAAGAGGGTTGGTATAATCAGGAGTTTGGTTTCTGACATGTTAAGTTTAAATTCCCATTAAACATTCATTGCACATTAAATAGGTAGTAAGAAAATGAATATGAAATTCAGCAGTGAGGTCTAGACTAAAGATTATAAATATGAAAGTGTCAGCGTATAGATGCTTTTTTAAAGCCATGTGACTGTATAAGGTCTCTTAATGTAGATATGGATTGAGAAGACGTCTGAGGATTGACTGCAGAGGCACGACGATATTTAAACATATGATCAAGGAGCATGAGAAGTATAACAGTAAAGTTGGAGGCAAGCTAGGAAGGCATGGTGTCCCAGAGGCCAAGAGAAGAGAGGCCCATATTTCACTGTCAAATGCTCCTGGGAGATGAAGACAGGCACTGAGAATTGACTACTGTATATGGCAGAGAGAAAGTCGCTGTGACCTTAGTAAGAGTAGTTTTATGAGGATAAAAGCTTGAATGAAGTGAGTCCAAGAAACAATGTGAAGTGAAGGAGACAGAATTTAGACAATTTTTTGAAGACTTAAAAAAAAAATAGGAGCAGAGGATTGGGGCAGAAGCTAGAGAGAGGTAAGGGCCCAAAAAAGGGTTTAGATAAAAAATTTGAACAGTTAACACTTATATATAGTGCCGAAACACAAAGCAATCACTTTAATGGGAAAAGACATACTTTATTCACCTGTTTCCATTTAAATCAGGTAGGGAATAATATGCCTATATAATTTATTTCAAATATTTGTTATGAAAAAATCAGTATTTTCAGTGTCTACTACTTACATCACTCTGATGTGGCATGATATCCACGAAAGATACCTTCTTATCTACAGGTGTTAAACGTTGTCTTGGTTTAGGTCTTGGTGCCTAAGACAAACCAACCAATGTGTCAGACTGAGTATGATGACCATTAGATTTCAGATAAGACTTTAGCTATTATTATTATTTTTTTTTGGTGGGGGTGGCAGCTTAGTTCTTAAGCTTTATATTCAAAATTTTATACTTGTAAAAAAATTAAAAGTCACTGATACTCACTAAAACTAGTGTGCTAACAGAGGATGCTGGAGGAAGTCTTTGAACAACTTCTGGCTCTTCGCTGCGAATGAAATTTCCTAAGTCTTCAGTTGTTATTGATCCACTTGGTGGAAGGTAAGCAAATTTCCATTTCAATATAACATGGATGGTGCCAGCAGGATGCTTTTGATGGTCTGTTAACTCAAATATTCCTGTCAAATTACAATAATTTTAATTAATGCTAGAGTGAAGTTTTATTACTGTAAGAATTAAAGAACAAAGAACTACTCCCTACTTTAAGAGACTCATGCTCTACCATGTGAACTAGCCAGGTGGTTGTACCCCCTACTTTAAAAATAATTTTGGCTTTCACTCAGAATTCAGATGGCTTAGAGAGTAAAATAAAGACAAAATGATCTATGACAGGCTCATCTCTCAAGTAGATCTCCTTCAGAAGTTAAGACCTCAAAGATAATACTGATTCAAAGATGAGACAATTAATTTATAAATAACTTAATTCACTGAAATTAAATTCAGACATTATTCAGAATTCTTAGCCTTCCTTCGTGAAGGCTCAAGTATCCTCCATTTTGACTTGAAAGTTTTTGTAAGTCTTTTGGCTTGTCTCTAAAGAAAAATATATTAATACTTTAAAATTTCAAATAATTTACACATTTAAAGGAAACTGTATGTTACCATATAATTCTATTATAATTTTAAATATATTTTGTTGGGATTTGTTAAATCACTCCAAATTAATAGTAGCACAGAAAAAGCCCATAAAATAAATGGACCATCTACAACAAATAGCAGTAACAAAAGAAACTTGAATCTGTTATATTGAGTCTCAAATTTTAACAGTTGCACTGGATTTTTGGGTATAAAAAAATCTCTGACTTAAACAAAATCTATATATCTTTTTATTTTTTTTTTTAAATAGACAGGTTCTCACTACGTTGCCCAGGCTGGAGTGCAGTGATTATTCACAGATGCGATCATAGCACACTGGCCACCTTGAACTCCTGGCCTCAAGCCATCCGCCTACTCAGCCTCCGGAGTAGCTGGGACTACAGGCACCGGCTCAAACCTAAATTTCAGGCATTAGCTTTTGCTTAAGAGTATCCTTTACTTTGCTCTCAAGTGTTGATACTCCTTTTAATGGCTGGCTGGAAAAAAAAAAAACCTCCCAAACTCTAGACTTTGGGTAGGATAAAAGGACATAAGTAGAACATGAGGTGATAAACTTTTATAGGCATAGCAAGACTTCCAGAATGGCTAAGTAAAAAGCTCAGCAAATCTTCTCTAAAAAAATGATAAAACTGGACAAAATGGTCAGAAACAACCATTTAAGGAGTCTGGAAATTGATCAAAGATACTGGATAAATTGAGAAGCATTTACTCAAGAAAATCAACTGCACCTCAGTAAGAACAGTAGGAATCTGTGGGACTGCTCTCATCTTACCCTTTCTCCCCCACTCCCATTTTGGAGAATTTCTGCCAGTCTAGGATAGGCTAAGAGGACTGGCAGCCTCTGTTGTAGGGTGCTGACTATATGTGGAGCAAAATATAGATAATTTCATGCCCAGAGGCATCGTTAAAAACAACAGCAACCTCAATGGCAAACAATCAGAGAAGGTCAACATCACAGACAGCCTGAGGTCTCAATACTGGTTGGGGCAAGCCAAAACACCAGAAGGCCAGCCAACAATTTAAAAGGGAAATCCAAGGAATAAGATATCAGAAGTGGGCGTTGGCTGGGTGCGGTGGCTTACCCCTGCAATCCCAGCACTTTGGGAGCTGAGGCAGGTGGATCACTTGAGGTCAGGAGTTTGAGACCAGCCTGGCCAACTGGCCAACATGGTGGTGAAACCTTGTCTCTACTAAAAATACAAAAATTAGCCAGGTGTGGTGGCGGGTGCCTGTAATCCCAGCTACTTGGGAGGCTGAGGCAGGAGAATTGCTAGAACGTGGGAAGAGGAGGTTGCTGTGAGCCCAGGTGGCACCACTGCATTCCAGCCTGGGCGACAGAGCAAGACTCCATCTAAAAAAAAAAAAAAAAAAGAAGTGGGCCTTGACAAGAGCCTATTTATAGCTCATGATGTGGAAGGCTATGGGCACACACACAAAACTGTGTAAATGCTCAGGAGAAATCAAAGAGGACCCTGGTAAGCTATCTGTCCCTGGGTGAATGAGAGGTCTAGTCAATTCGGAAAGTAAAAGCTGAGGCAGGCTTGTAGACTGAACTTTGATTTGAATGCATCCTCCATGCCACACACTGACCCATAGGCAAAAGGTGGAAACCTACTGGCTCAAGGTGTTTAAGCACACCTTTGAACAATCACTGACTGACCACTAAGCTATGCTGACCTATGGTTAAAAGTGAAACAAAAAGAAAAAAAGAAACAAAACTTAGCTGAAACATCAGTGGCTATACACAGCAGAGGAAATAGATTCTACAGAAATAGTCCAGGCAAGTCACCAAGCAAAAATAGCAACAATAACCACCTAGGAAATGACGTTACAATATATTATCCAAAAATGTCCAGTTTTCTACAAAATACTTATGAGACATGCAAAGAAATAGGAAAATGTACTGCATACACAGCAAAAAAACCCATCAATAGACAGTTTTTAAGGATGACCACATGTTAGACTTGGCAAAGATCTCAAAGCAGCTATTATCCATATGTTCAAAGAACTAAAAGAAAGTGTGTTTAAATAATTAAAAGGAAAGTATAATGATAATGTTTTATCAAATAGGGAATATAGTAAGAGATTATAATGTTTGGGTGCGGTAGCATGTGCCTGTAGTTTTAGCTGCTCAGGAGGCTGAGGCAGGAGGATCACTTGAGCCTAGGAGTTGAAGTCCAGCCTGGGCAACATAGCGAGACCCCTAATTCTGGAGTTGAAAAGTATAATTACTGCAATGAAAAAATTCAATAGAGGGTTCAGTAGGAAATCTGAACTGGTAGAAGAAAGAATTAATGGACTTGCAGGTTGATTAGAACAGATTATTCAATCTGAAGAATGGGAGGAAAAATGAACAAAAATGAATAGAGCCTCAGAGACCTGTGGGGAAACCATCAAACATACCAGCATATGGTACATGTACTGGAAGTTCAAGAAGGAGAAGAAAAAAAGAGGAGAAAAAAATAACTGAAAAAATAATGGCAGTAAACTCCCCAAATGTGGTGCATAACATTACACTACACACAGGAAGCTCAATAAATTCTAAGTAGGATAAATGCAAAAGGATCCACATTTAGACACATCAGTAGAACTGTTGAAAGCCAAAACAAATAGAAAAACCTGGAAAACAACATCAAGTATGAGAGAACCACAATAAAATTAACAACTGATTTCTTATCTGAAACAATGGATGCCAGAAGTAAGTGGTCTGATGTACTCAAAGTGCAGAAAGTTAAAAACTAAACTGTTGACCAAAAATATTATATACAGCAAGACCATCCTTCAAAAAACAAAATCAAAATAAAAACATTCCCAGATAACAGAATCCTCCCAGACTGAGAGAATTCACTACCAGTAGACCTAACTTACAAGACATGTCATAGGAAGTTCTTCAGGCTGAAGGAAAGAGACAGGAAATGGTAACTCAAATCCACACAAAGGAATAGAGACCAATAAAGGTAATTACATAGGTAATTACAAAACACAGTATAAATATACATTTTATCTTTTCTCCTCTTAACTGATTTAAAAGATAACTGCATACAACAATAATTGTTGGGCTCATAACATAGGAAGACCAAATATATGGTGACAGCACAAAGGAGGGGAAGGAAATGGAGCTATATTGGAATAAGAAACTGATATCAGACAGTAACTCAAGTCTACAGGAAGAAATAAAGAATATCAAAAATGCAAATATGTACGTAAATATCAAAGTCTTCTATAATTATATATTTTCTCTCTTCTCTTACTTCTCTTAACCTCTTTAAAGAATATAAGATTTTATAAAGCAATGATTATAACATTGTACTGTTGGTATATAATACATAGAGATGCATACTATATACATATATACAATAATAATTGCAAAAAGGAGATGAGAGAATGAAATTATATTAGATTTTCTATATTTTAATTGAATTAAATATTTAATTAAATACCTTAAGTATTTAATTCCATTAAGTTAGTATTAATTTTAACTTAATACTGGGATAAGATGCACATAGAGCGACTAGTAAGAAAATAATTTTTAAAATATAGTAATATAGGCCTAAAGTTTAAAGACTGAGAAGAGGTTAGGGTGATTAGTTATAAACGAATCATATCCATAACACTAAGGTATAATTTTGTTTTGTTTTTACAATTTTATAGATTCAAAAACATAGGCTTACCTGAGATACACCTGTCATGTGCCAACGAAATCAGAGGCACATTGACTTTTCCTATGTAAATATTCTCCTGGGTATCACTATCATCAAAAACATAAAAACTCAGAGACTCTGACTTAAGGTATCGATCCAAGTCCATATTCATTGGCACTGGGAAATACATATGATCATCAAACTGTGGATCATTGCTACTGGGAATGATAGCTGTATCATGGTCTGCAAAATCAAAAAACTTGTACACAACATATGGGTGTGGCTGCAGGTGGCTTGCTCGGGACTGCAGGTGGTTGCAACATCTTATTGTAATGTGAAGTTCATTTAAGTTGCCATCTGTGGAATCTGTAGAACTGAGTTGAGCAGTTTTGGGTGCTTGCTGACTTAACTGGAAAAACATACATATTTATATTAAGGAAATAACACAGTTAAAAGATGAACAGCAGCTGCCAAGCCCCAAATAAGATAATTTTGTCAATGACAAAAGCTGCATATTTTCACTTCATAATTTCTCAGTAAAATAAACTTTTATTCTAATGGAAAATCAATATTCCCTAGAACATGTATGAATAGATGATCCTGTTATTAGCAATAAACCTTGGAGACTGAGCATACATGTAGCGATTGGTGCTAAAATCAAATAAAACCAAGAAAAATGTTAATCTGATGTTCTTCAATTCTGTTAGATAACTAAAGACTATAGTGAGCAATGGGTAGATAGACGAATGTCCTAACTAAAATACATTCACCCGCCCACCCAGAGTAATGATTCTGTTATATTTGGGTTGGCCCTCATCCTGAAACTGTTGGGATTTGAGGAAGCAGATACCTGAGGCCAAATTAGCCAGTATAACAAAGTCTAACTGTTACGAGAAAATGAGAACAGAGTCAGAGACAAACCTTGAAGGGAAAAAGAGCCAGGACCGGGAGGATACTTCAGGAGAGAGATGAACAAAAGGAGTTATTAGGTAGAGTTGGAAACTACTCTACGGTTCCTTTGGAACTATTATGGAGATGGACGGCACACAGATATTTTAGAAAAGTATTGTGCTGACTGTTAAATCTTCCATGGCTGATGTAATCTGGAACAAAGAAAATGCTAGTGTTTCTGTGCTTTGTTTGGTTTAGTGCTGGAGTCTCTACATTCCACAAAGGCATCCCTCTGCATTTCTGAATCTGGATTGAGCATCTGGGACCCTGACTCCATGAGAAGTTTATTGGAGGAGGAAAAAATAAAGCTGTTGTCATAATCTCCTTAGTGGACAAATCTGGTGTGTGGAGAGGAGAAATCTAAGACGTGAATCACAATATTGCTTTCCCAGGGCTAGTTTGCCCTCAGCAATAGAAGGCTGAGAGGAATGACTGAAAAAGTACCTCCACTTCTCCCCTTCAATCTACACACCAGAGCTGAAATTCCACCAGGAAACAACTTATTCAAGTCAGAATCTGGGAGTCTAAAAAGCTTTAAACTACAAAACCAAACAATGTGGTCTCCTTATCTCTAACTCCCATCCCCATAACAGCATTTCCCAAAGTATGTTGTAAGGAATACTGGCCAGAAAGATGGTCTCTGGAAGCAGGTGCACTCTTTCTTAAGTTTGGGAATCAGTGTGATATTAGTCACGCTTCTTTAACTGAAAGTCATAGAAACTAATTCTATTTAGCAAAAACAACAAAAAAGGGACTTTAAGGTTACAGGCATATTTCACGGAATACATAGTAGAAATATGGCTGGACCTTCGGAAGGCAGTGGCCTAGAAACCAGCAGAATGTCCTCTCCATCTGATCTCCATTTTTTTCTGTATGTTTGTTCATTACTCTCTTTCTTCAGACTCATTGTGTTACCTTCGCTGTTTAACATGGTAGATGATGGCTGCCTACAGCCCCCAATTTTACGTGTCCAGATATGTCTTGCTTTCTCCTGATCTCAGAGGGCAGAATCTGATTGGCTCAACTGGGGTCAAGTGGGTATTCCCAAATCATTAGTTATAATAGGGTGGGGAGTGAAAGAAAATGGGATCTGCTAACGCAAACCTGGCCACTGGGAGCCCAGCTCCATGGATTGGAGGTGAAGGAGTTCCAAATAAAAAAAGAGGTAAGATAATTATGACTTGAACAGACATACCAAATGTTTCTACTATATCTTATCCCTCTGTTACTCAATGTGAGTGCATACTTTACATTGCCTACTAAAATTCATGTTATATAGACTGGCTGCGGTGGCTCATGCCTGTAATCCCAGTACTTTGGGAGGCTGAGGCGGGTGGATCACGAGGTCAGGAGATCAAGACCATCCTGCCTAACACAGTGAAACCCCGTCTCTACTAAAAATACAAAAATTTAGCCGGCTGTAGTGGCAGGTGCCTGTAGCCTCAGCTACTTGGGAGGCTGAGGCAGGAGAATGCATGAACCCGGGAGGCGGAGCTTGCAGTGAGCAGAGATCACGCCACTGCACTCCAGCCTGGGTGACAGAGCAAGACTCCGTCTCAAAAAAAAAAAAAAAAAAAAAAAAGATTCATGTTATATATGAGAACTCCTAAAGTAAAGAATCCTATTTAACCTTGCTCAATTCAAGGCCTTCTGCATTTATTGGATCATGGAACTAATATGAAAATATGGTCATTAAGACTCCATGAAACATTGGGAAATGCCACCCTGAGGAATTGCATTTAAATTCCAAGTTCCCAGAAAGAGAATATTAATTTTGTATCCTACTTTGCAGTTCAGAAACTTAACATGAGGAAATAATTTGGAAGCACAATAACTGATAGTCCAATAACGGCTGTTTATTTCCTTAACAGTAGAAATTTTTAACAAAAGTCTTTTGATGTGTGACAGCAGTATTGTGATGATTAATTTTTCAAAAGTGTCCTGAATAGCACGGGGCAGTTTCTTTGTGTTGATGGAACAGCTCTGTATTTTGGTTGTGGTGGTAGTTATATGAATCTATACATGTGATAAAACTGCAAAGAATAATTGCACATATACGTACGCGCGTGCGCGCGCGCGCGCACACACACACACACACACACACACACACACAAAAGTGCATGTAAAAACTGACGAAATCTGAGTAAGGTATGTAGCCTAATTAATAGTATTGTCCCGATTTTGAAATTATTCTATAGTTATGCAAGACGTTACAATTAGGAGAAATTGGGTTAAGGTTACAGGGGATCTCTTTGTACTATTTTTACCACTTCCTGTGAGTATATGATTACTTCAAAATAAAAGTTAAAAAAAGACACTTGATGGCTGTGAAAATGATTTTAGTTTAAAGCACGACACATAAATAAATATTATAAAATTTCTATGTCATAAAAGGGTCTTAAAGCCAAATGAGCTTACCGACTGCATATGCTCTGGCCCCTTAAAATTTGATGTTATATACCCCAAAGCCTTTGCCCTTTCTCGATAAAGTCGAATTGCTTGATCCATGGGAACTCTTAATCGGAACCAGTATTCCACTGTGCCAAAATTTGGGATGTCTCCTTTTGTTCCTACAAATCAGTACATAACCCAAGGTTAAAATAGTTTCATACATTAAAATAGATAGCAGTAAAAATACATCAATGGCATTATGCATTAAAACTATACATTTTATGCTGAGTAAAATAATATGACTTGCACAAATGATGTGAGATTGGCAAATAACAGATGAAGAAAATAGTTACTTCTGAAGTATGAGTTTCATTGTATATTAAATATTATTAAAGAACTACATCAAACTATGTTTGAGATATTCCAATTTGTACTATTTCATTCCTTCTGAAATATATTTTAAAAATCTAAACATTGGATCAAATACTCCACAGATTCTTTTTGATGCTATAGTATAATACTTTTTTTAAACAAGTTGCACTCAATGTTGTCTGACATTTACAATATGAAACCTCAAAAGTATAAATATGACATTCCACATTCTAATTCAAGTTTCAAGACATCTTTGGCACCTTCCCATTTCTAGACTATCTCACAAGCATAAGGGAAAATGTCATAGCTATGCCAAATACATGTCCCATGCAGTACACCCTTGCACGATGTTTGCCCTGCACACCCTCAGTACTCCTCTCAACTCAGGCAGCTCTTCATCTCTCTTCCATGGGGAAGACTTTCTGTGTGGCTCCCAGGAGAGTAGAGCCCTGTGCCTCCTTCATGGACATCGTATGTCCTTGTTAGGGCACTGACTTCTTTGGCCCGTCTGTTTACCAGCCTATTTCTCTAATACGCCATAAGTTTCTTGAGAGCAAGGGCCATAATTTCCACCAATATACTCCTACTACAGGGACTAGTATATAAAGGCTACTTAATATTTGTCAAATAGAGAATATTCTATACATAAACTTTCCTGAACACACCAGATTATTACAAATATTACCCCTACTCTCTCCTACTTTATCAATTTTTTCCCTGCTAATGGATCATTCTCATCAGCATACAAATGTGACTTACTATCTGCCTGCTATAGTTTGAATGTTTGTACCCTCCAAGAATCATGCTGAAATTTAATTATCATTGTTAAGAGTATTACGAGTAGGACCTTTAAGAGGTGATGAGGCCACGAGGGATCCACCCTCATGAGTAGGATTGGTGCCATTATAACAGGCCGAGATTGACCCCTTCTTGCTCGCTCCCACCCTCTAACCTTCTGCCATGTTGCAGCAAGAAGGCCCTTACCAGATGTGAACACCTTGATATTGGACTTAGGTATTCTGTTACAGCAGCACAAGACACACTATGACAGAAGTCATCATTTAAAAATAAGTCCTAAAAGAATAATATTAATGTAATATATATTTGCTTGTATATGCATAAAAGATCTTTCAAGCTGGGTGTAGTGGCTCATGCCTGTAATCCCAGCACTTTGGGAGACTGAAGTGTGGGCACTGCTTGAGTCCAGGAGCTCGAGACCAGCCTGGGCAACAGAGTGAGACCCTGGCTTAATGAAAAAACACCCCAAACAAACAAACAAAAATCTTTGAAAGAATCTGCAGCCTTTGGTGAGGGGACCCAGGGTGGCTAAGGAAAAGGGGAGGGAGGTAGACATTGAAGTCTTTTTGATTTTTGAGTCATGTGAATATATTACCTCAATCAATCACTCAATTAATAAAATAAAATCCGTCCTGAGACCCTAAGTCACCCTCCTTCCTTCTTCAAATACTTTCTTCACTTGGTCTCTGGGGTACCACAGACTCGTTTTCCTCCTACATCACTGGCCACTCCTCAGTTTCTTTTGCTGGCTTTTCCTCCTCTTCCTGAAGCCTTAATTTTGGAGTTTCCCAAGGCTTGGTCCTTGGCTACCTTCTTTCCTTTATTTACATTCACTCTCTATGTGATTTTATCTATGCTCATGGCTTAAAATATATTCTATATGCTAACAACTCCCACTTTTATATCTCTATCCCTTACTTTCAGATTGGTGTGTCCAGCCACCAGCCTGACATCACCACTTGGATGTCTAATAGGCGGGTCAGTCTTAACTTGTCCAAACAGAATTCTTGATTTTCTTTATCAGATGTGCTCCTTTCCCAGTTTTCCCTATCTCAGTAAATGGCATCACTATTCTTCTAGCTGCTCATGCCAGAAATTCTTACTTCATCCATTTCCCTCATTATCACACATTCAAGTGATAAGCAAGTCTTGAAGGAGAAGTTAATAAAATATGTACTGAATATGACTACTTTTTATCGCCACTTTCATTACCATCTTAATCCAAGCCACCATCGTCTTTCCTTGATCAATACAATAGCCTGAGAACGGTCCTATTTTCCCTCTTGCCTGCTTCAGACTATTCTTTCCACAGCACTCAGGGTGATTTTTCTAAAAGCTCAGAAAATCCAAACTCCTCACTCTGACCTACAAGGCTCTGCAATATGATCTGGCCCCGCCTATCACTTGAATCCCCCCTTTGCTGCAGGCACTGGGCTTACTGCTGTTCCTCCCACTGTCAGGCTTGCTCCTCCCTCAGGTTTTTGCACTTGCTATTGCCTCTGCCTGAAACATTCTTTCCCTGGATCCTGGCATGGATCTTCATTCTTTACCCCCTCAGAGAAGCCCTTACCTGAATTTGCAACCTGCCATTTCTCCCTTTAGCCTCTTTCTCTGATTAACTGTTCTGTATTGCCTGTATTCCTCTCTAGAAGGTAAGCTACAGGGGGTAGTTTTGTCTGTCTTATTTACCACTGACCACCATATTCCCAGTGCCTACTAACAGTGATAACATAAGGTCTTAAAAAATTAATAATTTCATAAATAGCTTATATTATTATTTATAATAGTTATAACTATTAAACCATAAATAATTTAAACTATTATTATGAACTTAAATTACAGTTCAATACATAAATTAATTTATTTATAAATAAATTACATAATTTAGCCAAAAAGAGTATCAA
Source organism: Homo sapiens (assembly GCF_000001405.40). NCBI lineage: Eukaryota > Metazoa > Chordata > Mammalia > Primates > Hominidae > Homo > Homo sapiens. Next base: position 53,652,011 of record NC_000016.10, read on the forward strand.
TACAATAAACATCTGAAGTTACAAGTTTTAAAAAATTAATAGCCATTGTACTGACATCATCAATGACATTTTTTTTTTGAGATGGAAGAGCGAAAGCTCTTGTTATCCAGGCTGGAGTGCAGTGGCGCCATCTCAGCTCACTGTAACCTCTGCCTCTCGGGTTCAAGCAATTCTGCCTCAGCCTCCCAAGTAGCTGGGATTACAGGCATGCACCACCACACCTGGCTAATTTTTGTATTTTTACTAGAGACGGGGTTTTGCTGTATTTGTCAGGCTGGTCTTGAACTCCTGGCCTCAAGTGCTTCACCTGCCTCGGCCTCCCAAAGTGCTGGGATTAAAGGAGTGAGCCACTGTGCTCGGCATCAGTGACGTTTAAGATAGTCCAATTAACTGTGGGTAAAGAATGTTGTCCTTGCTCTAAAGGCACCTTTAATATACAAGAAAAGATAGTAATGTAGAGTACCATAACGATATATAAACCAAATTAGTAATTCAAACACCCAAGGCTTATACATTGTACTTACCAATCAAACTTGCTGTACAAAATATTCGGCCGCTTTTTTCAAGAATTTCGTGAAATTTTAATTGACATGCTGCAATTGTTTCATATTCTGTGCTATAAGCCTGGTGGACCTCAAGGGTGATAGTATTCTTCTGAATATATTGCAAAAATAAGTCATTAACATGAACAAGATATTGAGAAGTGAAGTTATATTCGGGATGAAGGCCTCGCACTACGGGAGTTGTCTGTAGTTCAAAATCATAGAAAGCATAGGTACAGAAAGTGACAGGCTCTTTATCTCCAGATGCCTGTAAAACTTCAGAAGAAAAGGTTACTTTGTTGATATGGATTTCAAATAGATTTTCGCCTCGTTCTAAGTGGATGGTTTCATCAAATTCATCAACAGAGTCATCTGGCATGATTTCTGGTTTAAATTTGTACTGCTTGGTGCCATAGGCAATATCCTTTAATTGGGCTGCAAGAGAAGACACACAGTTTAGAGATTTCAAAATATTGACATGAGAAAATGAAAACTGGCTTTTGAAGTGTAAGAATGAGTACTTCTGGTGAACAGTCTCTATTTTAAATTCTATGACTACACTGTTTTTCTGTAAATAATACTTTATCGTACAAAAATTTATCATTTCTGTTTTGACATCACTTATTAGGCAGCAACAAAATTGCAACTTCAGTTTTAATATAGCCTAAGCCAGGAAAAAGGGGAGAAAAATATCAAAAGAAGAAAAGCGCTCTTAATGAACAGCTGAGATAACTACCTGGATTTCACCTGCTTCCCTGTCTCTGCTCCACCCATTGTCTTCACTCCTATAAAGTCAGTCTCTCTTTCTGCTGCCTCCTTTCCTTTAACTTATTAAGATTTATACTTTTCTTCTTCGT